>NC_000011.10:57252346-57555377 GCF_000001405.40 Homo sapiens | reverse complement strand
TAGCTTATTTCCTGTAGCATAGTGTCTTCAAGGTTCATCCGTGTTGTAGCATATATCAGAATTTCATTCCTTTTAAGGCTAAATAATACTCCATTGTGTGTATATGCCACGTTTTGTTGATTGATCCATTGATAGACACTTGGTTTGCTTTCACCTTTTGGCTGCTAGAAACATTGGTATACAAATACCTGTTTGCTTTCAGTTCTTTGGGTGTCTACCCAGAAGTAGAACTGCTGGATCATATGGTAATTCTGTGTCTAATCTTTTGAGAAATGGCCATACTGTTTTCCATCACAGCTGCACCATTTTATTTTCCTAAGCTCCTGAGTTCTTAGGATTTCCTCATTTTCTCCATTTCCTCACCCCCATTCTAATGTTTTAAGAAAGGATGTTCCATCCTTTTCTTCCATAATCTCAGAAAGTCTTGAAAGCTGAGATGGTCCTTAGAGCTCATCTAGTCCATCTTTATCCACTTTTCAAATGAGGAAACTGAGGCCTAGAGGTGGGAAGTGGCTCACCCGTGGTCACACAGCAAAAGCCAGGATCAGACTTCTCTGCCTCCCAGGCCAGTGCCCTTTGGTGATTTCACATTTTCACTAATCCATGACTCAATTGTCAAATGAATGCAGGTGCTGTGTGTGTCCTGGCTCATGATTCCTCCTGGGAGTGAAGCAGAGGATGCCTAGGACCCTCGGATTGGGGCAGGAAGGGAGGAAAACCAGACTGGAGCTTGACCCCTTTTCTCTCTGCACAGGACCAACCTCCCTACCACCTGAAAGCCTTCAACCTGCGCATCAGCTTCCCGCCGGAGTATCCGTTCAAGCCTCCCATGATCAAATTCACAACCAAGATCTACCACCCCAACGTGGACGAGAACGGACAGATTTGCCTGCCCATCATCAGCAGTGAGAACTGGAAGCCTTGCACCAAGACTTGCCAAGGTGGGGTTGGGCTTTGCTTGGAGGAGGGACTGATACTGGGTAGAGATTACTGGAGAGGGGGTTCACAGCTTATTCTGAGCTTGAAAAGCCCCAAAGAGAGGAGATAAAAATTGTGAGTCTTGGCTGAACTTACTATGAGATAGAAGGGATGCTTCCTGGACAGACTGACCTCCTCCTGCCTCTCTTCTTATACCTGTGCAGTTGTGACAGAGGAACGTTGCTGCGGTTCATGGGAGAGGCAGCTTGGCTGCACAGGGAAGGGCTCGGGAAAAGAAAGCCCGCTGTTCCCTCTGTGGACTTTGGGCAAGTTTTCGTTCCTTTCTGGGACTCGGTGTCCTAAATGACAGTGGAGGGAACTGGCCTCATAATGATAATACCTGTCACTTGACTGAGCACTTTCGGCACTGTGCTAAAAACATCACCTGCCGACTTCATTTTTATTTCCCCAACAAGCCCGTGAGGTAGTGTTGTTTAGTAGACCCGGACATCTGAGGCATGTGAGAGGTGAAGTGGTTGCCTAAGGTCATACAGATGACAAACGGCAGCACTTGGCTGACTCGCAAGCCACATGTGGCTGTTGCAACTGAAGAACTCAATTCTTTTTCTTTTTTAAGACAGAGTCTCGCTCTGTCGCCTAGGCTGGAGTGCAGTGGCGCGATCTTGGCTCACTGCAACCTCCACCTCCCAGGTTCAAGCGATTCTCCGGCCTCAGCTTCTTGAATAGCTGGAATTACAGGCGTATGACACCACACCCAGCTATTTTGTATTTTTAATAGAGAGGGGTTTTGCCATGTTAGCCAGGCTGGTCTCGAACTCCTGACCTCAGGCGATCCGCCTGCCTCCGCCTCCCAGAGTGCTGGGATTACAGGTGTGAGTCACTGCGCCTGGCCAGAACTCAATTCTTAATTGTACTTAATTTTAATCCTTTTTGTTTTTTCTACTGAGACACGGTCTGTCTCTATTGCCCAGGCAGTTAGTTCAGTGGCGCAATCTTGGCTCACTGCAACCTCCACCTCCTGGGCTCAAGCCATCCTCCCACCTCAGCCTCCCGAGTAACTGGGACTACAGGAGCATGCCACTATACCTGGCTAATTTTTGCATGCTTTGTAGATACCAGGTTTTGCCATATTGCCCAGGCTGGTCTCAAACTCGTGAGTTCAAGCCATCCACCCATCTTGGCCTCCCAAAGTGGTGGGATTACAGGCGTGAGCCACCGTGCCCAGCCTGATTTTAATTCATTTAAATTTAGATGCCTGCATGTGGCTAATGGCTACCATATTGAACAACACAGCTCTAGAGCCTGTGGCTGAATCAGTGTGCAATCCTCCACCTGGACCAGCTCAGGAGTTTTTAACTCAGGAAATGAAAGTCCTTAGGTTGGTGGGAGTGGGAGCAGGGAGAGGAGTGGTCCTTGGATGAGCTTCAGGGGGTCTGGGAACTGTCTGTTTTGCATGTGGATGTGCACATCTGTCTCGGGAGATGGGCTGCTGCCTTCACTAGGTTCCCAAAGGCATCTGTGAAAGATGAAGAGCCAGGGGGCAGTGGTGGTTTTCAGTCTTTAGCCTTAGACCTCTTTTGCCCAAGGAAAAGTTTATTTGGACTACCAATATAATGGAGGAAAACAGAGCAGTTTTTGTTGAAATGGGGATAAGACCCAGAAACCTCACTTATCTCAGTGGCCCCTGTGATGAGGAGCTTCTCTGAAGCCATGGAATGTAGTTGTTTGAAAACCACTGATGTAATCAGTCAAGGCCTTGGGTGTCACCAGCCAAGAATGAGCGGGGCGTTTGATCTGGTCGTAGAGTAATCCTAAGCGATGTAACCTTTCCCCCAAGGAGTGAGTGTGGAGTGTCAGGACATTGGGAACGGGCAGCCATGACTCCCTTCCCTCTGCCCTGATATCCTGATCTGGCCTGTCTCTCCCCAGTCCTGGAGGCCCTCAATGTGCTGGTGAATAGACCGAATATCAGGGAGCCCCTGCGGATGGACCTCGCTGACCTGCTGACACAGAATCCGGAGCTGTTCAGAAAGAATGCCGAAGAGTTCACCCTCCGATTCGGAGTGGACCGGCCCTCCTAACTCATGTTCTGACCCTCTGTGCACTGGATCCTCGGCATAGCGGACGGACACACCTCATGGACTGAGGCCAGAGCCCCCTGTGGCCCATTCCCCATTCATTTTTCCCTTCTTAGGTTGTTAGTCATTAGTTTGTGTGTGTGTGTGGTGGAGGGAAGGGAGCTATGAGTGTGTGTGTTGTGTATGGACTCACTCCCAGGTTCACCTGGCCACAGGTGCACCCTTCCCACACCCTTTACATTCCCCAGAGCCAAGGGAGTTTAAGTTTGCAGTTACAGGCCAGTTCTCCAGCTCTCCATCTTAGAGAGACAGGTCACCTTGCAGGCCTGCTTGCAGGAAATGAATCCAGCAGCCAACTCGAATCCCCCTAGGGCTCAGGCACTGAGGGCCTGGGGACAGTGGAGCATATGGGTGGGAGACAGATGGAGGGTACCCTATTTACAACTGAGTCAGCCAAGCCACTGATGGGAATATACAGATTTAGGTGCTAAACCATTTATTTTCCACGGATGAGTCACAATCTGAAGAATCAAACTTCCATCCTGAAAATCTATATGTTTCAAAACCACTTGCCATCCTGTTAGATTGCCAGTTCCTGGGACCAGGCCTCAGACTGTGAAGTATATATCCTCCAGCATTCAGTCCAGGGGGAGCCACGGAAACCATGTTCTTGCTTAAGCCATTAAAGTCAGAGATGAATTCTGGAGTGCAGCTGAGTCTTTGATGAGGGGATGGGGTGGTTTCATCAGGACCATAGAGGACTAGGGATTTAAGCATAAATTTCTGACCTTGCTTCCCTTGAATGTTCCCTAAACATCATAAGGAATGTTGGCCATGGAAAAATAGGCCATCCTTGGACAGAGGAGCTTTCAGAAGGTCCACAGGGGTGACGTCCCCATTTTATTTTATTTATTTATTTATTTATTTATTTATTTATTTATTTAAGACAGAATCTCACTCCGTCGCCCAGGCTAGAGTGCAGCAGTGCAATCTCGGCTCACTGCAACCTCCGCCTCCTGAGTTCAAGCGATTCTCCTGCCTCAGTCTCTTGAGTAACTGGGATTACAGATGCCCGCCACCACGCCTGGCTAATTTTTGTATTTTTAGTAAAGATGGGGTTTCACCACATTGGCCAGGCTGGTCTCGAACTCCTGACCTCAGGTGATCCACCCGCCTCAGCCTCCCAAAGTGCTGGGATTATAGGTGTGAGCCACCATGCCCGGCCAACACCCCCATTTTAAAGATGAGGCAATTGAGGCACAGAGCACTTCAGTGGATTGCTGGGGTCCACTCTGCCAATCCACACCCCTGCAGGTGAGCCAGGGTTATGGCTGGGGTGTGTTTTGTTTTCTGTATTTTTCATGAGCTGCTTTCATCAGCACACATGCCCCAAATGGCTGATAAAGCCAGACTGGATAGTTAGCAGGAAATTGTAATC
This sequence comes from Homo sapiens, assembly GCF_000001405.40. Taxonomy (NCBI): domain Eukaryota; kingdom Metazoa; phylum Chordata; class Mammalia; order Primates; family Hominidae; genus Homo; species Homo sapiens. The sequence goes on along the minus strand of NC_000011.10, from coordinate 57,550,922 downwards.
AGCTCAGGGGTTTGTATCTCATGAGCAATGGAAAAACAAAAACAAGCCAAAACTTCAGCCAGGGATTAACTTCAGTTAAGGGATTAACTTAACCCAGAAGAAGAACTTTCTGGTTGCAATTGTTGTAAGCTCCTGGAATACTGCTGGCTTTTCAGAGATAGAATATGGGGTGATTTGAGTCAAGGAAGTCACCCAGATCCCACTAGTTTCTAGAGAATCTTCTCCAGCTCCTGCCCTGGAGTCCCCTAACCTGAGAAGAAGTGTGAAAAGAGGGGAAGATAACCAGAAGAAGTGCCACCAGAGTCAAAATGTAAGTTTTTTATTTTTGGCGACCACTTACTGAACACTTGAGTGGCAGGACTGGGCAAAGCTTTTTGCCCATTTCATTATCTCGTTTAACTCTTGCAACACCTTCATAAGGTTGGAACTCTCATTATCCCCTTTCAGACTGTAAACTGGGGCCCAGAGAGGTTAACTGTATGTGTCACACAGCTGGTTAGTGGTGGGAACCAGGCCATTGTCCTTTCCCAAACACCTTGCGCAGTTATTGAGACCTCAGCAGGTGAGGAATCCCCTATGGCCAGAGTTTATTATCCCAGAGTGCAGAGGTTCCTGGGCCAAGTATGGAGAGAGCACTGAGGGGCCAGACAGGATTTTACAAAAGTACTTTTAATGCAGTTAAAACCAACGCCACACACCCTTGCCTAAGCCCCTGGCTCTGGTGCCTCCATGGAGCAGAAGGGAACCCCCGGGCCGTGGCTGCTGAGCTGGGCACCCTGCCCATCTCTGCCCACAGAGCCAGTCACCTCCTCACTTCTTCTTGGTCTTCACCAGTCCTTTCTGCACAAGGCTGCGGTACAGTTCCTGGATGTATGTGTAGACGCACTTGGAGTCGGGCACAGCCAACCGCACCATGTCATCCACGTCCAGCAGCTGAGCACAGTCAGCCAGTTTCCTAAGGAATGGGGTGGAATGAGGAGCAGAAGGTCAAAGGTGAAGGATATGGGAGCCAAGGGGATGGGTGCAGGCAGCCCAGCAATGACGAAGCCCATAGGATGGGCTGGGATGTTGGGGCTGGGAGATCATCTAAGCCAATCATCCCATTATATATCTAGATGAGATAACTGAGACCCCAACAGAGTTAAGACAAACCCAGGCCAGGTGCTGTGGCTTCCTTTAGGTAGGTCACAGGATGTAGACAGGTAACCCCAAAGCCAACACCAGTGAATAATTCAATAATGAGTTTTAGGCCAGGCACAGTGGCTCACACCTATAATCCCAGCACTTTGGGAGGCCAAGGCGGGAGGATCCCTTGAGCTCAGTAGTTCGAGACCAGCCTGGACAACCTAGTGAGACCTTTTCAGAGAATGGGAGCTTCTCCAAAAAATAAAAACAAAAATTAAAATAAAAAAAGACTCAAACCCAGCTGGGTCTGATTCCAAGCCCACATTTTCATTGCACTTATTGTCCTCACATGGGCGCAGGACCCTCTGGTCTCTAGTTCTACATTAACCCACCACTTCCACATGCGTATGTATCTGTCCTCTGGAACCGGGGAGCTTCTGTTAGACCAGGCCCCTCAGGAAGAATTTAAAGGGGCCAGGTGTGGTGGCTCATGCCTGTAGTCCCAGCACTTTGGGAGGCTGAAGCAGCTGGATCACCTGAGGTCAGGAGTTTGAGACCAGCCTGGCCAACATGGTGAAATTCCATCTCTACTAAAAATACAAAAATTAGCTGGGCATAGTGGCAGGCACCTGTATTCCCAGTTACTCGGGAGGCTGAGGCATGAGAATCACTCGAACCCAGGAGGTGGAGGTTGCAGTGAGCTGAGATCATACCACTGCACTCCTGCCTGGGCAACAGAGTGATACTCTGTCTCAAAAAAAAAAAAAAGAAAAAAAAAAGATAAAGGACAGAAACCAAATCCTAGCCAGAGTCCTGGCTTGCAGCTGCAGCATCTCCAGGAGCATCACTCATTCAGTCTCTATGTACTTATCAGGAGCCTATTATGTGCCAGGCCCTCTTCCAGGCTCTGAGAATTCATCAGTGAATAAAACCAAAACTTCTGCACTCTCATGGCATAGAAATTCTTGTGGCAGGAGACAGTAAGCAACACACAAAGTAGATGGTACATCAGATGGTGAGAGGTGCTAAGGAGGAAAATAAGGCAGGAAGGGAGACAGGGTATGTTCTTATGTTGGAGGAGATCTGGTATTTTTTATATATTTTTAATGTATTTATTTATTTATTTTTGAGATGGAGTCTTGCTCTGTTGCCCAGGCTGGAATGCAGTGGCGTGATTTTGGCTCACTGCAACCTCTGCTTCCCGGATTCAAGTGATTCTCCTGCCTCAGCCTTCCAAGTAGCTGGGATTACAGGTGTGTGCCACCACGCCCAGCTAATTTTTGTATTTTTAGTAGAGACAAGGTTTCACCATGTTGGCCAGGCTGATCTTGAACTCCTGACCTCAAGTGATCCCCACGCCTCGGTCTCCTAAAGTGCTAGGATTACAGGTGTGAGCCACTGCACCCAGCTGTGGTATTTTTTAATAGGGTGCTCAGGGTAGGCCTCTTAGAGTAAGTCATGTGCACATCTGGGGAAAGGAGTCCAGGCAGAGGAAACAGCAGGTGCAAGGGCCCCGAGGCAGGAATGCTTGGTGTGTTTCAGGAGCTGCTGGCACTTAGCAACAAGTCCTCTTTTTCTAACTTCGCAGCTGCCCTTTGGGGCTCTGTGACACCACTGGCTTTGCTGAGGCCGACAATCTGAGCTAATCAGTGTTGGGACCTCCTGCCCACCTCATGCTTTATCAGGTGCTTCCCCTTGGACGTTCTCATAGACTCCTCCCCTCCATCCTCAGCCAGCAGAAGAGGAAGCGGAGACTCAGAGTGTTTTGGTGGTTTGCCCAAGGCCAAAGTGAGCAACACAACCCCGGGGGCCTGTCTGACACCTCTGGCACCCTTTCTCTGAAGCTGGGTCTCAGCAGTCCCTGCCTACCAAAGCCAGCCATAGGTGCTGGCATAGGAGAAACCAGGGCCCCAGAGGAAATCCTCCCTTGGGGCTGAGACTGCAGGGCCAAAATCCACGCCAGACTGGGAGCTGTGGGAAGGACACACACTGGAGGATTTTGGAGAATGGGACAAGCTCCCTGCAACCAATGCAGTGCCCCATGGTTTTGGGTTAGGGTGCTGTCCCTCTACGTGGGAGAGGCAAAACCTTCATTCCCATTGAGCCTGGGGCGTGGGTGGGGAAGGGCTTCGCCACTGGGGGCTTCGGCATTGGCCACTCCCTCCCCTCATCCCCGGACTCCATGGGAATCGGAGGAGAGTTCTGGAATGGGCAGTGGGGTGTGATGACTGTGGCAGACACTCTTTCCTCTTCACACTTAATCTTCACAACAAGCCCTGTGATGTGGGGCCTCTAGAGAGGTTAAGCCAGCTGGCGAGGGTCACAGAGCTAGGGAGAAGCAGGGAGGATTCAAACCCAGGCACCTCAGCTTCTATTCTCCTCTCTCCTTCTCCACACATCCCCACGACCTCCTGGGCTTTCAGCTGCCTGATGCCTCCTGTCGGCCTGTCTTTGTCATCTGATGACTCCTCCCACCTTCCAGTGGCTCTGCCTGACTCAGAACCAGAGTCCAGGCAGCTGCAGGAGCAGGACAGTTGGTTCACAGCCTGCAGGTCAGGAGCACTTGGTGAGAGCAGAGCTGCTTGCCCTTCTGATATTCACTTAGAGCTGTAAGTCCAGACTGCAAGTTTCCCTTTCATTTTTTAAAATTGTAATTTTTTTTTAAAGACAAAGTTTTGCTCTGTCACCCAAGCTGGAGTGCAGTGACTCAATCATGGCTCACTGCAGCCTTGACTTCCTGAGCCCAAGTGATCCTCCCATCTCAGCCTCCCGAATAGCTGGGACCACAGGTATCCACCACCATACCCAGCTAATTTTTTGATTTTTTGTAGAGATGGGGGTCTCACTATGTTGCCCAGGCTGGTCTTAAACTCCTGGCCTCAAGCGATTCTCCTGCCTCGGCCTCCCAGAGTGCTGGGATTATACAAGTGAGCCACTGCGCTTGACTCAAGCAGAGATTTTTGTCTTTTTCACCCACTGCTGTATCCCCAGGGCCTGAAACAGTGCCTGGCCCTCAAAAAATGTCTGTTGGATACATGAATGTGTGGCACCAGCATCGGTGTAACTGCCTCACTACTCAACCCCTGTGAATCCAGTCCTCGCCTAGGCTCCCATCCAGCTCTGCCAGCCCATGGCTGTGGCTTACTCTGCTGTGGAGAAGGCCAGGGTGAAGTTGTGCCGGCGCTTTGCGGGATCCAGCTCTGCGTAGTCAAAGGCGTCAGGGAAGAACTTGTGGATGAGGGCACAGAAGGCCATACCACTGCTCCAGCTGGAGGAGAAGTTCTGGATGTCCACATGCTATGGCAGGCAGGGCACAGAGGAGGCCTCAGTGAGGCTCAGCCAGATGGCCTGGACTTGGCCCCCTTCCCACCCTCCCACCCTTTGGGGTTTGCACCACTTGGACCCTCCCTGGACCCCTGCCCCACCCACGCAGCTCTGCCCCATGCCCACCTCGTATTTTTTTGTCATGGCTCGGCACCACTCCAAGAGCATGTTCTTGACACCACCAATGGCTGCCCCGGCTGCCTTAGTGTTGCGGAACAAGGCCGTGGGGCCGGAAGCTGCCCTGTGAGGGGAGAGGGGTGCAAGGCCAAGCCAGAGAGGCAGGAGGCCATGAAGGGCCCCACTGGGAGGATCCCCAGCCCCCAGGTGTCAGTCCTCCTGCCTTGGCCTGGGCTGTTCCCACTGCCCCTGAGGCCACCCTCCCACCAACCCAGGGTTCCTATGGGAAAGCCCAGCCCAGCCCCTGGCCTGTGTCCTACCCGCCAAACTTGTCCACGATGGCTTTGCGGTTCTGTGCCCGGGGCCCCCGGGGCCGAGCAGGGGCTGATACCCTGCGCTCTGGTGCCTTCTCCTTCTTCTCCCCTGAGGAAGGGGACTCAGGGGGACTCTGGGGCACGTCGCTGGGTGAAGACTCACTATATGGAGAAGTCCAAAGACGTGTGAGAGAGGCTGGGACCAGCACTGCAGGACACAGGGAGGGGGCTGTGGGGCTGGAGGGTGGGTGGCACTGCAGTCTAAGGGGGTGTGTGCAGCTGTGCCCAGCACTGGGAGGACATTGAGAAGGAATCGTGAGTCTCAGTCTAACTTGGGGGAGAATGTGGTCTGGTGAGGACATGTGGGTAGAGCTAGGACACCTCTGAGGTCTGACCTGAGTTTGGAACCTGGCTTTGCTTCTCTTTTTTTTTTTTTTGAGACAGAGCTTTGCTCTTGTTGCCCAGGCTGGAGTGCAGTGGTGTGATCTTGGCTCATTGCAACCTCCACCTCCCGGGTTCAAGCGATTCTCCTGCCTCAGCCTCCTGAGTAGCTGGGATTACAGGTGCCCGCCACCACACCCAGCTAATTTTTGTATTATTAGTAGAGATGGGATTGCACCATGTTGGCCAGGCTGGTCTCAAACACCTGACCTCAAGTGATCTACCCGCCTCAGCCTCCCAAAGTGCTGGGATTATAGGTGTGAGCCACTGCGCTTGGCATGGCTTTGCCTCTTATTTGCTGTGTGATCTTGGGACTGTCACATTGTTTGAGCCTTAGCTTCCTCATCTGTAAAATGAGGACAAGAATACCTACCTGCCCTATGTAAGAAGGTGAATGTAAAGCATCCAGCTGTGCCTGCTGGGTGACTATTCACTGGTTATCTTTCCCTAAGAAAGGGACAAGGAGGCCGGGCACAGTGGCTCATGCCTGTAATCCCAGCACTTTGGGAGGCCAAGGTGGGTGGATCACCTGAGGTCAGGAGTTCAAAACCAGCCTGGCCAACATGGTGAAACCCTGCCTCTAGTAAAAATACAAAAATTAGCCAGGCGTGGTGGCGCGCACATATAATCCCAGCTACTTGGAAGGCTGAGGCAGGAGAATCGCTTGAACCCGGGAGGCAGAGGTTGCAGTGACCTGAGATCGCACTATTGCACTCCAGCCTGGGCGACAGATCAAGACTCCATCTCAAAAAAAAAAAAAAAATGGGGGGAGGACAAGGAGGCAGATTTCAGCTCCAGATAATCCTTCTAATGACTGAAGTTGTGCAATGGCAAGCATAAGCCTCTTATTTTATCCAGCACCTGCCAGGGACCAGGCACTGGGCTAAAGTGCTTTGCACTTGTTACTCATTGAAGCCTGAGAATAATCCTACGAGGTAGATACAATTGCTATGCCCACTTCACAGATGAGAAGAGGTTCAGTGACATGGCCAAGGTCACACAGCTGGTACATGGCAGAACCATTGTCCCAACTCGGGCTTTCTGATCATGCTTTTTGGATGACTGGCACCATGGAAACATGTTCAGCTGAAAGATAAGGAGCTCCTGTGAAGTGTCAGGGATGCCACAGGGCAGACTTCAGCCATGGCATGGGAAGTGGACCAGGTATCCTTCGTGCTCCTTTCTGCCTCTGGTTTTTTGTTGTTGCTGTTGTTGTTGTTTTGAGAGGGAGTCTTGCTCTGTCGCCCAGGCTGCAGTGCAATGGCGCAATCTCGGCTCACTGCAACCTCCACCTCCTGGGTTCAAGTAATTATCCTGCCTCAGCCTCCCGAGTAGATGGGATTACAGGTGCCCACCACCACGCTCAGCTAATTTTTGTATTTTTGGTAGAGACAGGGTTTCACCATGTTGGCCAGGCTGGTCTCGAACTCATGACCTCAGGTAATCCACCCACCTCAGCCTCCAAGAGTGCCGGGATTACAGGCGTGAGCCACTGCAGCCGACCATGCCTCTGGCTTCTTTTGTTTCCTGGGCTCTGCCCTGGGATAGGAAGCTGAATGCCAGGAATCCTCGAATATCTTGAAATCAGGTGCTGGGGGAACCCAGACTGAGTTGATGGTGGACGCTGAGGGAAGCAGGAGGTAGGGGGAATTGGAGCTGGAGCCCCAGAGTTTGACATTACCTGGCTGAAGGACTGGTCTGTCCGGAAGCTACACAGTCTGGACCCAGCCCATCTGGAGGAAAGTGAAAGGAGGGAGGGAAGCTGGGGCTATCCATGGCATGCTTCTTGCGCCCCTCCCCCAGGTGGCCTCTGCAGCATCCCATGGGCTCTGGGCTCTCACTCACCTGTGCTGAGGTTGTGCCCCTCCCCAGTGGGGCTCTCAGGCCACTCCTCTGGGGAGCTGGGAATCACCCCTGCCCCTCCCTCTGGCTCTTTTTCCACGTCCTGCTCCTGCTCTTCGCTGGGACTGCCTGGCTCCTGGAATGAGCATGATCTGCGTGAGCTCATGGTCACACAGCACCTGCCCTGGCTTCATGAGGACTTCAGAAAGTTCTGAAAGGCAGCCTGGGACTACGGTGCTGCACTCCTTGTCCCCCCTCCCCCACCCTGGGCTCTGGAAATCATCAGGAGGAAAACTGGACTTTCCCAACTGACTGAAGCAGAGGGGGCTTGCTTCCAGAAGCAGGAGACGACAGAGCCTCCTTGCTCCTTTCCTGCCTCACTCACTGCCTCCTCTGCATCCTCCGCCTCCTCTTTTGCATCAGCCTCCTCTTTTGCACCATGTTTGGCCTCCTCTTTCCCATCGGGCTCCTTGGGTTCAGCCTTAGCCTCATCCTCCACAACAGCCTTCTGCGATTCAGCCTTGGCCTCTTCATCAGTAGCCTTCTCCTTGGGTTCAGTGCTGCACTCTTTCCTCTGGCCTGTCTCCTCCTGAGAGGCTGTCTTGGCGTCCTCCTCCTCAACTGTTGCCTTAGGTTCAGGCTTGTCTCTGTCATTGGCATCGGCTTTCTGCCCAGATTCAGGTTTGGCCTCTTTCTCCTCAGCCTTCTGCTTCTCAGAGGCCAGCGTGCTCTCCTTTTCCTCAGCCTCTTTGGGTTCAGATTTGGTCTCTTCTTTCCTGCCAGTCATCTCCTGAGAACCCACAGTGGTCTCTTCCTTCTCACCATCCTCCTTTTTAAGTTCAGCCTCAGCATCCTCTTTCCCACCAGCCTCCCTCTGAGATTCCACTTTGACCTCATCTAATCCATTTGCTTCCCCCTGGAGTTCTGCTGACATGCCGTCCTCGGCTGGTGCCTTTTCCTGCTTTCCTGACTCAGTGGGAGGCCCCTCATTGATGGCCTTTCCAGCTGTGCCTTTGGTCTCCTCTGCAGGGGCTCCACCTCCTGACATCTCAGGGTTGTCCGCAGCTGGGGAGACGGTGGTCCCATCCTCAGAGAGCTTCCCTTCCTTCTGCTCCATCTCTGGAAAGAGAAGACAAGCAGACCTGGTCATGCCCCAGCCCAGCATGAGGTGAAGACCCCACCCTCAGAGAGCTCTGGCCTGGGAGTCAGGAAGTCCGTGGTTCAGTCTTGGCTCCTACTTGGACATGGGGCCCAATCACGAAGGAGAGAGAAGTGCTTCCCCAAAGCTGGGATGGTTGGGCTACATTGACATGACGTTGGATGGTGTTCACCTGATGCCCCTCGGTAGGTTCTGGCTTTGGCTTTAAAGAACATTGAATCACATAATGCCTTTTCAGTCATGTTGCCTCTTTTTGATTAAGCCACTGAGGTGGTCACAATTTTATTGTATTATTTATTTTTTGAGACAAGGTCTCGCTCTGTCATCCAGGCTGGAGTGCAGGAGCACAATCTCAGGTCACTGCAACCTCTGCCTCCTGGGGTCAGGTGATCCTCCAACCTCAGCCTCCTGAGTAGCTGGGACTACAGGTGCTTACCACCACACCTGGCTAATTTTTGTGTGTGTGTGTGTGTGTGTGTGTGTGTGTTTTTTTTTTGTAGAGATGGGGTTTTGCCATGTTGCCCAGGCTGGTCTCAAACTCCTGAGCTCAAGCAATCCACCTGCCTCGGCCTCCCAAGGTTCTGGGATTGCAGGCATGAGCAGTGCCTGGTCACAGTTTTATACTGGCATCCTAGAACACCTATGGAACAATTGCTACTCTCCCCTGAGAGCCTAGGCAAGCAGAAGTATCTAGATAGAATTGAATAACACCATTTTGTTTCCATTGTATTTATTTTTACAGTTACTTTCTATCTCTGGTAAGTGATACTGAGTTTCCATTTCCAACAGTGATACAGTGTCTTTTAAAAATACATTTACTGAACTTAAAAATAAGTTGATTCAAAGGAAGTAATTCAGGAAACTGGAATATAGGCAGTGCAGATGTAGCAAAATTATAGAGGTGGTGTATAAAAATGGCTGAAATTTGGGAACCCCAGGGCCAACTGGTCTCTGGAGCTTTGCCAGCTCTACCAGCCTGTGGTTTTTGGAAAAGGTGGGCCTGGGCAAGGAAGCGTTTCCTTGAGTGAAGAATGGAGCCGTACTCTCCCTGGCCTCTGCTGAGCAATCTGACTCTCCAACTGCCCCCGGGAGCATGGGGGTAGATTATGACATCTTAACTCGGAGTTTCCTATTTAAGTACTGTATATACTGGAGGATCTACAAAAACAGGTGTGTGGGGGCCCCGGGTTAGCTCCTTCATGCTCCTGCCCTTTTTGGGGGGTGTAGTTACAAAGAAAACAATCCCCAAATAGGGCTCAGGGCATGACTCAGGCAGTAAGAAAAGTGGACACTCCTGTCACACACTAAAAATACCCCCTGCCCTTGGCAGTACCATCTTTCTCAGTGATAGTACCGAGGGCACCTGGGTAATTGGGCAGAGGACAGGAGGCAAGAAGACAGGGATAGGGCTTTTTTCCCACCACCCACTGGGGTCTTACCCAGAGTCCTGGGGTTCCTGAATTCGATGCCCTCACTATTTCCTAAAAGTAGGCTGGGATTTGTAAAGATGCTCACACTGTCCTCTGATTCCTGCTAGAGCCCCTTCCTGGTTCAGCGGCTCCAGCAATGTCTTAAAGTAAGAGGGAAGATGACGCCGGGCATGGTGGATCACACCTGTAATCCCAGCACTTTGGGAGCCCGTAGCGGGCAGATCACAAGGTCAGGAGTTCAAGACCAGCCTGGCCAATATGGTGAAACCCCATCTCTACTACAAATACAAAAATTAGCTGGGTGTGGTGGCAGACGCCTGTAATCCCAGCTACTTGGGAGGCTGAGGCAGGAGAATTGCTTGAACCCGGGAGGTGGAGGTTGCAGTGAGCCGAGATCGCGTCACTGCACTCCAGCCTGGGCAACAAAGCGAGACTCCGTCTCAAAAAAAAAAAAAGAGGGAAGATGAGCCAGGGGGATGGACGCACATCAGCAGAGATGCCGGGAGGTGTGAAGTTGTGGAGCTGGCTGTGACCTGCATCTTCCAGTCCCCACTGAGACCTGAGCAAGTAGTTTTCCCTCTCTGGGCCTCAGTTTCAACTGACAATGATGGGGTTCATCTGGATCAGGTTCTCCACATTGTGTTCTGTGGAAAACTAGGGTCTCCCGTGACATGGATAGGGTTTTCTGTGGGGTTGGGAGAAAGGATATTCTCTGGCTAAGGTTGCTCCACAAAAAAGCCTACTCTTTACCCTCTTAGAGATATACAGTTTCAGCCAGGCGCAGTGGCTCATGCCTATAATCTTAGCATTTTGGGAAGCCTAGGTGGGAGGATTACTTCGGCCCAAGAGTTCAAGACCAGCCTAGGCAACATATTAAATTCTGTCTCTATAGTAAGGAAAATAAAATTAAACAAAACAAAACAAAACAAAAACAGATATATAACTTCATTAGCATTTAAATAGATTTTAGAAACCAGATAGTCAAGAAACCTAAACCTTGCTTAAACTTCATTTAACTCACTTTTTTCCAAACCTATTTGACCATGACTTTTTTTTTTCCTCCCTTTGTTTTCTTTTCTTTTTGCTTTGATTTTCCCTGAGGAGCATCTACCACTCTCTCTAGCAGCAGAAGAAAGCATGGCAAATGCTGGTCTAACACAATCCCTTCCCCTCTTTCTCTCTGCTCTTGTTTGGAAGGTGACATGGACTAGCAGTGAAAATCATTGATTCTGGTGTCTTCCTGTGATGGGATCTCAGCTCCCATGGGTTACTAATTGTGTTAACCTTGAGCAAGCTATCCATCCTCTCTGTGTTTTGATTTCTGCAGACAACAATAGGTCCCATCCCATAGGGATGGTGGAGGATTAAGAAAGCCCATGCTTAGAAAATATCTGGAGCCAGACGTGGCGGCACATGCCTGTGGTCCCAGCCACTCAAGAGGCTGAGGCAGGAGGATCACCTGAGGCCAGGAGGTCAAGCAGTGCACTATAATGATGCCTATGAATAGCCACTACACTCCAGCCTGGGCAACAAAGTGAGACCTCAGCTCTTAAAAAAACAAAACAAAACAGGATTCAGAGGCATGCTTGGCATGAATGAGTACTCAGCACCCATCAGCTCGTATGATGTGGGTTGGCTGTGCCCAGCCCTGTGCCAGGGCAAGGTCCTGACCCAGCCTTGAGGGCATTTATCAGTGAGTCAAGGCAGAGAGAACTGAATGCCAGTAGGATGATAACAAGCCCTTTTTATACCTCAAAGTATGACACTATTTGGCTAAGACATAGCTGAGTGCTCCAGTCATCTTTTATTTTTAAGAGACAGGGTCTTACTCTGTTGCCCAGGCTGGAGTGCAGTGGCTCAATCATAGCTCACTGTGACCTCTACCTCCTGGACTCAACGGATCTTCCCACCTCAGCCTCCTGAGGAGCTGTGACCACAGATGTGCACCATCACACCTGGCTAATTTTTTGTTTTTTATTTTTTTTATAGAGATGGGGTCTCGCTATGTTTCCCAGGCTGGTCTCAAACTCTTGGCCTCAAGTGAACCTCCTGCCTCGGCCTCCTAAAGTGCTGAGTTTATAGGTATGAGCCACTGAGACTGGCCGCTCTAACCATCTTTCCTTCTGCCTACACGCTGCATACTTAGGGTGGTGGAGGGGAAGGGTAGGTGCACGCACACGGACACACACCTCGGCTATCCTGCGTGTTTATCACCTCAGCTTTCCACCCTCCAGGCTTGTCACAAATAGAAAAGGAGTGAAGATGCTCAGAATGCTGAGAAACCAGGACGCCACCACCCACCCCCAGCATTCACAGCCCTACAGCAGTTTACAGCTTATGCTGCGGAGGCCCTGCTTTCTCTTGGTCATTTCTTGCTCCGACCCTTCAGAATAGGTTATTGGCCCCATTAGGGAGCCAATGGGGATTTCAGGCTCAGGGAGTTGAAGTCCCTTGACTAAAGTTATAGGACAAGTGGCCTGGCTCTCTATCTAGAATCCAAGTATCCCAACTTCCACTCCAGAGCTCACATCAAATATATGCTCCCACTAGCTCCGCAGCCCAGTGTCCCTACAAAGGCCCTGGCCCAGAGTGGGGGCACCCCACCAGTTGGGAAGGGCAGTCAGATTCAGCCGAGGAGTTCCTCCCTCTTTCTTCTAGGTGCACAGTAGGCCCTTCATGAAAGTTTCTCTGCCCCCACCTTCCTTTCTTATTCTCTCCTTTCCTTCCTCCTTCCTTCCCCAGGAAGTCTCCAAACCATCCCTGTTTTGTGTCCAAAGCAGCACTGCAGATATCTCCCCTCCCTCTCTCTTCCTGTTTCTTCTGGCAGACCAGGAGGAAAGGGACCCAGGAGCCCAAGATCCAAACTCCCAGTAGTATAAACACTGGATGTTCTGTGGTGCGTCTGCCACCCACTGCAGCCTCATCTGTCATCTGGTTGTCCTAAGGCTTCCACCTTCCCCACTCAGCCAGGGGCCCTCCCTTGGAGAGGCCGACCTCAATTGCTTAGACTAGGGGTATCCAATCTTTTGGCTTCCTTGAGCCACACTGGTAGAAGTAGAAGTGTCTTGGGCCACATGTAAAATACGTTAACACTAACGATAGTGGATGAGCTAAAACAAAAATTGCAAAAAAAAAAAAAATCTCATAATGTTTTAAGAAAGTTTATGAATTCATGTTGGGCTACATTCAAAGCCATCCTGGGCCACAGGTAGCCTGTGGGCTGGACAGGCTTGGCTTAGACAGTCTACCCCCCAACCCAGTTTGACTCTTGAGACTCCCAAGGTCCCCTCCCCTGCTCTGTGGCCTCCTCGTGGATGGCCACTTGCAGTCTGCTCTGTAGGTGCTCTGGTGCAGGGCTGAGACCCCAGGCATCTAAAGAGAGTAGACATTGTGGTGGAGAGAATTAGAAAGGAGCCTGGATTTCTCCAAATGGGGGGCCCTCCTGGGAGGCTCTGGCCCTTGGACAGTGGGAGTGAGAATTGGCAGATGGGGAGGGACCCTTAGAAAGGGTGCCAGGGCTTCTCCTACCTGTGGGGCTTCTGCCTGTGGCTTGGGAGCTGTCTCTTTGCTCCAGCTGAGTGGCCTCACTCCCAGGCTGCCTTTAAGCCCCAGTGGCCTCTAGCCCCCAGCTCTTTGGTCCCGCCTCCCCCCTTCCTCTCCCTCTTCCACCCCACCCCCACTTCAAGAGTCTTGGGCTGCCTGAAGAGCATTGTTTACTGGCCTGTTGGTACAACACTTTACCCTAGACTGGGAGGCTCGGATTTCCCGTGGAAGATCTGACAGGTGGCACCTTTCAATCACGGCACGTCCCTTCCGCCCTGAGCCTGGCAGCATCCGTCCTGTGGTCATCTTTCTCCCCAGTGGACTCTCCTAACCCTAGGGACCTTGACAACCATCTTCAGGACTCATTTAGAGCATGGCCCTGGCCTCCACTGCTCATCCAGAGCCCAGGCGAGGCCTCTTGTGCTCCCTTCACACCCACCCCGCCACGTTCCTTACATAGCCCCTTTCCCTCGTCCTCAGACAAAAGCAGCTGCTTAAGGCTGGGCTAAGGAGGGGGCGAGTAGGGCAGCTGCCAACACAGGGGATGTGTCTTGGGGCTCACAGTTGACTGAGAGATTTGGAGGGGGAGGGGCAGAGAGGGCAAAAGTGATGGGACAAGCTGACGGATCACTGGACGGAGCCTGGAAAATACAAAACTCCTGAGTTCTATTTTGAGCTGAAGTGACAGGTACACAGTAGGCTCTGAACACATTTTTATACTGAACTGACATTTTGCTAAGAAAAAAACAAAACAAGCCTGGGCATGGTGGCTCATGCCTGTAATCCCAGCACTTTGGGCAGCCGAGGCGGGTGGATTGCTTGAAGCCAGGAGTTCAAGAACAGCATGGTCAACAGGGTGAAACCCTGTCTCTACTACAAATACAAAAATTGGCCGGGCTTGGTGGCGCATGCCTGTAATCTCAGCTACTTGGGAGGCTGAGGCACGAGAACTGCTTGAACCTGGGAGGCAGAGGTTGCAGCAAGTCACTGCACTCCAGCTTGGGTGACAGAGACTCCATCTCAAAAAAAAGTCTTCACTTTCTCTGTGTGTTTTACAATCTAAGAAAGGCACTACTTTTGGAGAATGGGTGCAGAGGACACTCCCACGAAGCTTGGGATCCCCCCCAGTCCTCCTACCCCAAGCCCCACCACTGGGCCACACTGGCCTCCTTCCTATTCCTTAAATAAATCCATCCCTTTTCAGACTCAGGACTGGTTTTTCCTTCTACTCTTTGTAAGACTGCCTCCCTCTCATTCTTCTGGACTTAGCTGAAATTTCATTCCCTCAGAGAGGTTTTCCATGACCTTCAATTCCTCTCCCTCATTTCAGCAGTTTTTATTGTCCTCATAATACTAAATCTAAAATTACCTTATTCATTTCCTTATTATCTGACTCTCTCACTAGGCTTTAAGCTCCATGAGGGCAGGGATTTTATCTACCATACTCATGGCTGTATGCCTAGATCCCAGCAGAATTGCCTGGCTCATATTAGGTACTTGATAAATACATACTGAATGAAATAACTAATTAATTAACAGAAATATGACAGGAACTTGGAGGTCTTGCCCGGGATGATCTGAAAGAGAGATCTTTCTGTGCATCTAGGTTTGGGTACTAGTCATGAAATAGTCCAATATTAATGGTTGCCAGCCGGCTCTAGTAATACTTGAAACCCGGCTGGGATTATAGGCATGAGCCACCATGCCCAGAGTATTTTGCTCTTTTCAATATCTAATGACAGTAGGATAAGAGAAATGAATTTAAACAAAAAACCAGCAAGCCAGAGAGAGATGTGGAAAAACTCGCCAATCTTGGGCAGATATACTCTGGATGGATGCTGTTTTGAGAATAAAGTGAAGAAGCATGGATAGAAGTGGGGAGAGCAGTCAGGAGACAAACTCAGTGACCCTGGTGCAGGATGGTGGTGGCTTGGACCACAGTATCAGCCATGGAGGTAAGAAGAAGTGATGGGAAACAGTAATAGTGCAGACAGTGATTAAGCCAGGGCCAGCTTTTTCTTCAAGTGAATAGAATGACGTAAGCCATTTCATCACAAGGGAGGTTACAGGAAACCTCTGTTTTTGTATTCTCTGCACCTCTCATGAGTGGTCAGGGCCCACTTGAAGTGATTCTAGATGAAAACTCTGCATCTCTTCTTCTGGGGCTGGGGTCCCACCCAAGAGGACAATACTGACCCACGATGAATGACAAATATACAACTCACCTTTGCAAGGTTGGGAAGGGGTAGAATGCAGGGTAGAATGAGGAGCCAGAGTTTCAGCATGGTGTTGACAGAGATCAGTAGCTTTGGATGACATATCTGGAGTCTAAGGATATCTTCAAAGTCTGAGGCTATCTAAACTGTCTTCTACAAGAAGCAATTCAACTGGGACCATTGGAGATTCCTACCTGTAGGTCTCCACATAGAGGAAAGACACAGTCTCATAGTAAATAATCATAATAACAATAGCATCATCATCAATAAGAGCAATGGTTTTCCAGAGGCTGAGCAGCTGGGGAGATGGAGAGTTGCTGTTCAATGGGTATACAATTTCAGTTATGCAAGATGAATAAGTTCTAGAAATCTGTGTACAATATGGTACATATAGTTAACAATACTATTTTGTGCACTTAAAAATTTGTTGGCCGGGCGCGGTGTATAAAGCACTTTGGGAGGCCAAGGCAGGTGGATCATGAGGTCAGGAGACTGAGACCATCCTGGCCAACATGGTGAAACCCCATCTCTACTAAAAACACAAAAATTAGCTGGGTGTGGTGGCATGCGCCTGTAGTCCCAGCTACTTGGGAGGCTGAGTCAGGAGAATCCCTTGAACCTGGGAGGCAGAGGCTGTAGTGAGCGGAGATCGTGCCACTATCCTCCAGTCTGGTGACAGAGCGAGACTCCGTTTAAAAAAATTTTTTTTGTTAAGCAGGGCCCAGTGCAGTGACTCATGCCTGTAATGCCAGTGCTTTGGGAGGCTGAGGCAGGAGGATCGCTTGAGGCCAGGAGTTTGAAACCAGCCTGGACAACATAGCAAGACCCTATCTCTACAAAAAATTTTAAAAACCACTCAGGCATGGTGGCTTGCGCCTGTAGTCCTAGCTATTCAGGAGGCTGAGATGGGAGGATTGCTTGAGCCCAGGAGTTTAAGCTAACAGTGAGCTATGATTGGGTCTCTGCACTCCAGGCTGAGCGACAGAGACCCTGTCTCAAGGAAAAAATAAATAAATAAAAGGGCTTTATCTGTTAGAGATAAAAATAGATGAAGAAAATATGGACAAATGTTAACAATTCCTAAGTCCTGGTGATGAATATATGGAAGCTCAATGTCCTGTTCTCTCTGCTTTTCTGTATGTTTTAAATATTCCATCTGGGCATGGGGTGGCTCATGCCTGTAATCCCAGCACTTTGAGAGGCCAAGACAGGAGGATTGTTTGAGCCCAGGAGTTTGAAACCAGCCTGGGAAACATGATGAGACCCTATCTCTTAAAAAAAAAAATTAGCCAGGCATGGTGGCTCATGCCTCTAGTTCCAGCTACTTAGGAGGCTGAGGTAAGAGGATTGCTTAAGCCAAGGAGTTCACGATTGCAGTGAGCACTGATCATACCATTGCACTCAAGCCTGGGTGACAAGGCAAGATCCTGCCTCAAAAATCCTAAGTAAAAATAAAAATAAATTTGCCCCAGTGAAAGTTTAAAAATGAAAAAGAATGAAAACAATGATTTATTTTTATTGAGCATCTACCATGGACTAGGTACTTTACTTACACAATCTTTTATATAAATATTTTTCTTTCTTTCTTTATGGCCAGCTCTTACTCATACTTGTATAATCTTATTTGTTTTCTTTTTTGTAGAGATTTTTAAAACTTTTTATTTAGAAATAATTATAGTTTCACAGGAAGTTGCATTAATAGTACAGAGAGGTCCTGTACGCCCTTTACCAACTTCCACTAAAGGTTAAATCTAACATAACTATATTCAATATCAAAGCCAGATAATTTATATTGGTACAATGTGTGTGTGTAGTAGTTCTATGACTTTTTTTTTCTTTCTTTTTTTTTTTTAGACCGAGTCTTGCTCTGTCGCCCAAGCTGGAGTGCAGTGGCACAATCTCGGCTCACTGCAACTTCTGCCTCCCGCCTCCCGGGTTCAAGCGATTCTCCTGTCTCGCCCTCCTGAGTAGCTGGGACTATAGGCGCATGCCACCACACCCGGCTGATTTTTTTTATTTTAGTAGAGACGGGGTTTCACCATGTTAACCAGGATGGTCTCGATCTCCTGACCTCGTGATCCACCCGCCTCGGCCTCCCAAAGTGTTGGGATTACAGGTGTGAGCCACCGCGCCTGGCTTTTTTTTTTTTTTTGAGACGGAGTCTCACTCTGTCGCCTGGGCTGGAGTGCAGTGGCACGATCTCGGCTCACTGCAACCTCCACCTCCCGGGTTCAAACGATTCTCCTGCCTCAGGCTCCTGAGTAGCTGGGGTTACAGGTGCCCGCCACTACCCCCAGCTAATTTTTTGTATTTTTAGTAGAGACGGAGTTTCACCAACAAGGCTGGTCTCGAACTCCTACCTTGTGATTCGCTCGCCTGGGCCTCCCACAGTGCTGGGATTACAGGCGTGAGCCACCGCACCCTGCCAGTTCTATGACATCTTATCACCTGTGTAGATTCTTGTAACCACCACCACAATCAGGATACAGAATTATCCATCAACACAAAGATCTCTCTTGTGCTACCCTTTACAGGTACACTTCTATCTCCCCATCAACCCTAACACTAGACAATCAGAAATCTCTTCTCCATCTCTATAATTTTGTGATTTTGAGAATGTTACTTAAATGAAATCATACAGTATGCAACCTTTCATAAGGCCCAGTAGATATTGCAAGATTCCTCTTGTAAGAAACCATCTCCTTTTCCCACGCAGTTTCTTAACTTTCCATAATGTTTCTTTTTTGCGGGGAGTGGGGGGTCGGAGTTTCACTCTTGTTGCCCAGGCTGGAGTGCAATGGTGCGATCTTGGCTCACTGCAACCTCTGCCTCCCGGGTTCAAGTGTTTCTCCTGCCTTAGCCTCCTGCTTAGCCTCTTGAGTAGCTGGGATTACAAGCACCCGTCACCACACCGGGCTACTTTTTTGTATTTTTAGTAGAGATGGGGTTTCACCAAGTTGGCCAGGCTGGTCTCGAACTCCTGACCTCAGGTGATCCACCCACCTCAGCCTCCCAAAGTGCTGGGATTACAGGCGTGAGCCACTGCACCCGGCCAATGTTGACTATATTTTCAAAGGCAAAAACCAAGGCAAGATATGTCCATCTGTACAAGAGTATCATAGCAGCATTATTGCATAATAGGCAAAAACTGGAAACAATCCAAACATCCACCAACGGGAGAATGGATAGATGAATTGTGGCATACTCATACAATCAAACACTAGACAGCAATAAAACAGAAGGAATAACAGATGCACACAACAATATGGAGGAAATCTTACAGGTACATTGAGCTAAAGAAGTCAGGCACAAAATAGAAAATAATGTATAATTCCATTTACACGAAGTTCAAGAACAAGGAAAACTAATTGATGGTGATAGAGGTCAGAATAGTGGTTAACTTCGAGAGGGGGTATTGATGGGGAAGGAACACAAGATAACTTTTTGGGGTGCAGGAAGTATTTTATATCTTGATCTGGATGGCGGTTATACAAATGTACATATATAGATACATATATATTTAATTAAGCTTAACATTCGTGTATTTTATGCACTTTATGAATGTTATACCCCAATCTTTAAAAATCAGGGCACAAGTTTGGCAAAGATGAGTCTTCAAAGCAGTAGAAAGGTCAATTGTTTAAAATTAGGATGGTCTTGGACAATTAGGGAAGCTTATGATGACCACACAGAAAATGTCTAGCCCACCTTTTCCAATGGGCAATGTGCCCTTGCGTCATTAATTTACATCTTGTAAATTTATTTTACCAGGAAATTGTGTGACAAATCAAGGGACTGAGTATTGTTTCCTTGTTTCCTTCTTTTTAGTGGGGAATGAGTGAATGGTGCAGTTTGAAGAACACATTAAGTCTTGAAAGTTGGAAAGTTCACCAGTACCCTTCTTTCCCTCACCCAAGATTAGCCCTGGTGGCAGCCGAAATTGCTTTTATTATCTCTTTGTGGCTGAGGACCTCTAACTGTTGAAGAAAACATATTTTACACGTCTTGTCTTTCTGCGAACAGGAAGCCTATCTCGCTTATCTTTGCAACCCCAGACGGGGCTTAGTGTGACCTACACACAGCAGTAATCGCACAACGTCCCGTGGAGCACTGCTTCTCAAATTTGGCTGTACATACGAATCACCTGGGGAATTTTAAATTGTATTGCTGCCTGAGGAATTTTAAACTGTACTCCCAGAGATTCTGATTTAATTGAAATGAGGTGAGTCCTGGGCACTGGGATGTTTAAAAACGTTCCAGGTGATTTTAACGCGAAACAAAAACAGAACCGCTGTTTGGGGGCGTTCTTCCTTCTCCACGCCTGATTTGCGCACAGGAGTCGGCTGTCTGGAACGGGGGTGAGGTTCACAGGTGTCTGTCGCCACGCCTCTTCCTACAGAACCAATAAACTGAAGCCGCTCGGTGACATCCCAAAGGACTTGAATTCTGATCGGGCTGCAGACGCTCTGCACCCCGCCCAAGCTTCTATGGTACTTTGGTGTCCTCTCTAGCACTGGCAAGTCGCCTTCCTCTTCGCCCGGCGCCAGCCGCTCCCTCTCTATGATCGCCGAGTTCCCGGCGCCGTCTCGTTGGTATTTAATTCCGGAAGCGAGTTTGAATCAAAGAAGAGGCGGGACTTTCCTCCCGGAAGTAACCCACGTGCTTCCGCTGGAGCCTCTCGGGAGGCGGGTAACGTTATAGTATTTGTCAGAAGTTGGGGTCTCCGTGGGCATTGTGATCCGTCCCAGGCAGTGGTAAGTGACACATGACCTCTGAATTCAATGTGGCCCTGATGATGGCGTCGCCATTTCAGAGGTGTAGCCTTTGGGCTGGGTCCCGGTCGCCTCTGTTCAGCGTATGATCCCATTCCCAGGGCCCTGGAGGTTCAGGTTCGTGGGTTAGAGAGTTCTCCTCCGGTCCTCGATCTCCTGAATAGAGGTGACCTCCAGGAACTGGGGCATCAGAGATCCGGGGCTCGATTTCCAGGCTCGCCATAGACGTCCTGTGCGACCTTGGGCTAGGCCTCAGTTTCCACATCCGTGAAATGGGGTGGTTAAGCTCACTGAGGTTAGTGGCCCGTGGTGGTCTGGCGCCCTGTGAGTCCTCTGTATCCTCTAGCCCCAGGGGTAGGAGAGTGAACGGCGGCGGTGGGTGCTGATGGTGATGTCTGCTCCCAGGATTAGGAGGCCAGAAGGAGATCCCTTCCACGGTGCTAGGCTGAGATGGATCCTCTCAGGGCCCAACAGCTGGCTGCGGAGCTGGAGGTGGAGATGATGGCCGATATGTACAACAGGTAAAGAGAACTATGTGCTACCCTGTCTTGGAAAATAAGTCTTGGTCACCCTTATCGAAGGTGAATGACTTATGACAAATTCCTTCCTGAATGTAGGGGAGCCTGAGGCCCATGCTTACCCTCCCCACACCCACCTTCAAGGTTGATCCTAATGTAGATGCAGTAAAGGGTCACTAGAATGAGTTGGGCATTTAGATGGGGATGGAACTGGCAATGCAGGAGCCAAGCAGGAAGAGAAACTCCAATCCAGGCTCTGGTTAGGTTCCAAGAAAAGCTGAGTATTTGCCTCTTGACAAATAGCACATAGCCAGCCCATTTAGTAGTTAACATTTTAAAACCCTTTATTCTGTGTCAGGCACTTGTTAATCTTCAAAATAATCCAGTGGGTTAATTTTATTAGTCCCGTCTTAAAATGAGGAAATTGATGATTCTAGAGGTTAAGTAACTTCCTTAGGGTCGGCAGCTGGTCAGTAACAATGCCAGAACTAGCACCTCAGTCTGATTCTGCAACTAGTGCTCATAACCATTTGGCAAATTTGGGAACAAATCCTGGCTCCACCAATCACCAGCAGTATAATTGGACATGTTACTTGCACTGTTTGACAATTGGTTTCCTCATTATGAAGAAGACATAATGATACCTACCTCATAGGACATCATAAATATTAAATCTAAAAATATATGAAAGCCCTTAGCCTCAAGCCCAACACTTAGTGAAATGTCTGCTATTTTTATTGGCTTAAGCTCTCTTGATTGGTTGGTTTATCCTGAAGGCTATAAATTAGAAGGATTTTTAAGTGTAGACTGTGAGGTCAGATGACCTGGCTTCATAACCCAGCTCTGTGTGATCCTTAGAAAATTACTGAGCCTCTGTTTGCCTTAATTTCCTCATCTGTAAAATGGGGATACATGTCTCTTAGGGTTATTGTAAGCATTGCATAACAGAATGCAGGTAAAGCACTTAGCAGGATGCCTGGCATGTAGCCAGTCCTCAACAAATGGTTTCTACTTAGTTAGTCATATACATGGACTTAGACAAGTTTCCTACTTGCAAGGACCTTCCAGTGGTTGAGGTGTAAACTGAGGATTTACACTGCTTTCTTGGGGGAGGTGAAATCAATATAGCAGGGCTGGAATGGTCAAGGTTCCTGGGATGTCACAGGATGCTGCTGACATGACCTTGCCCCTCCCTCCCTCCAGAATGACCAGTGCCTGCCACCGGAAGTGTGTGCCTCCTCACTACAAGGAAGCAGAGCTCTCCAAGGGCGAGTCTGTGTGCCTGGACCGATGTGTCTCTAAGTACCTGGACATCCATGAGCGGATGGGCAAAAAGTTGACAGAGTTGTCTATGCAGGATGAAGAGCTGATGAAGAGGGTGCAGCAGAGCTCTGGGCCTGCATGAGGTCCCTGTCAGTATACACCCTGGGGTGTACCCCACCCCTTCCCACTTTAATAAACGTGCTCCCTGTTGGGTGTCATCTGTGAAGACTGCCAGGCCTAGGCTCTCTGTAGAGAGTCTTCAAGATCCCGGAGTGGTAGCGCTGTCTCCTGGTGAAGGAGTATTTGTCACACTGGAATGTGACTGTGTGTGTATGTATGTGTATATATATATATATATATATATATATATATATAAACAAGTTTGTTGACACCTACTATGTGCAAAGCAGTGTGCTTGGCATTTGAGAGTAAAGAAAACAGACACAGCCCCTACCAGCAGAGGGAGATTAATGAGTGTTTAAGAGTAAGACAGGCCGGGCAAGGTGGCTCATGCCTGTAATCTCAGCACTTTGGGAGGCTGAGGTGGGTGGATCACTTGAGGTCAGGAGTTCAAGACCAGCCTGGCCAACATGGCAAAACCCCGTCTCTACTAAAAATACAAAAATTAGCTGGGTGTAGTGGCGGGTGCCTGTAATCCCAGCTACTCAGGAGGCTGAGGCAGGAGAATCGCTTGAACCCAGGAGGCGGAGGTTGCATGAGCTGAGATTGTGCCACTGTCCTCCAGCCTGGGCAACAGAGTGAGACTCCATCTCAAAAAAAAGTAAGACAGCTTAGGTTTGCCTGCTGTCTGCTGCTTTTTGTGTGGCCCTGCACCTGTCACTTTTGTGTGCTTTAGCTTCCGCATCTGTAAAATAGGGTTAGCCCCCTGACTAATCCTGTTTTACAGATGAGCAAGCTGAGGATTTAAGAAGTAAGTTGCTTGCTGGAGCAAGCTTGCTGGAGGTCACACAAGCAGAACAATACCATGGAGGCCAGACCTGACTGCTGCGTTTGCTGTCTCCAGATGGGACTGTGGTTGACACCAGTGCCACTGTGACAGCAGTACCTTCAAAGTGGGCCTTCCTGGTAGAAGTGTCTGGGATGTAACTAGGTCATTGGAGTAAAGGAGACAGAATAGAGGCAGTGAGTTTGGGGCTTGTGAGTGCAGGTTCAAGCCAGACTGCTTAACTTTGAGTTTCTACTGAAATTTTCTAGCAGTGTGATCTTGAGTAAGGCTTTTTAACTGCTCTGTGCCTCAATTACCCCATCATAAAATGGCAGTAAGGTTACCCACCTCATTAGGTAGTTGCAAAAATTAAACGTGTTAATAACCAAAGCACTTAGGAGAGTGCCTAGCATACATTGAGTATCCAATAACATTAGCTTTTTTCATTGCTAAGTTTGGTGGGAGGTGAAGATACCGGATGTACTGGAAAACTTCAAAGCCATTACTAGTCTTTAGGGTAGAAAGAAAGAAAGTTCCTTTCCAGGTACTGAAGTGCAGATTTTGGTCAACAGGTGGCGCCGTCTGCTCATGGTCAGCACTGCTGTGGACAATTCCGCACATTTTATCATTTGCCTATTCTTTGCTGGCCTTGTTCTTGAAAGAGAGGACAGGTGAGGAAAATCGATATTGTGCATACCCTCAGGTTTAGCAAGAAACATCAAGAATTCTCTGTTAGCACATAGCCAGAACATCTAGAAGGGGTGGTAGGAGTGGGGATTAGAGGTTCCAGCTGGAGGCAATGGCACTTGCAAAGGCTTTGTTGAAGTGGCGTAAGTGTGGAGGTGGAGCATTCAGGAAAGGAGAGCTTCAGCTTCAGTGTGGCTGGAGTGCTGGGTGTGAAGAGAGGTGAAGATGAGGCTTGGAGGCTGGGCAGATTTTGCTCCAAAAGAGCTTGGTGAACTGTGATAAGGAGTTTGGATTTTCTCCTACTAAGGACAACAGCAAACTATTGAAGAGTTTAAATCGTTCAGTGACAATGACACGTTTGCGTTTTGGTGGCTCACTCGAGCTGCCAGCCAGGTAGACAGTGGCAGAAGATGGAAGATAAAGCACTAAAGGGTGATGAGGCAGGAAGCCAGTGAGGAGAGAAAGGGGACGATGTGAGTGACAGTAAATCATTTGTTGGGTTGCTATTGTGTGCTAAGCTCTGTGCTAAATTCTTCACGTGTATTATTTCAGCTAATCCATCTAACAACTCTGTAAGGCAGGTACAATCGTTCCCAGCTGAAGAAGCTGAGGCTCTCAAAAGCTAGTAACTTGCCTAAGTTCATGCAGCATGCAAGTTGTCCAGCCAGGATTCTAACTTAGACACCAGAGGCCACTTTTAACCACTGCTCTAGGACTGGGGGAAATGGTCCCTAGTGAGATATGTGTCGAGTTTCATATTTCATTCAACAATATTGTTGGCCTGCTACATGTGAAGAGCTGTGGAAAGCGCCCAAAGTGAGTTAGATCCCTATGAGCAAGTGGGATGGGGGTGGAGTGGACAGTAGGAGGGCTGGAACACACATAAAAGGGTATAAGAAATAACAATTAGGCCGGCCAGGGGTGGTGGCTCACGCTTTTAATCCCAGCACTTTGGGAGGCCGAGGAGGGTGGATCACTTGAGGCCAGGAGTTTGAGACCAGCCCGGCCAACATGGTAAAACCCCATCTCTACTAAAAATGCAAAAATTAGCTGGGCTGGTGGTGCACGCCTGTAATCCCAGCTACTTGGGAGGCTGAGGCACGAGAATCACTTGAACCCAGGAGGCAGAGGTTACAGTGAACTGAGATTGCACCACTCTACTCCAGCCTGGGAGACAGAGTGTGACCCTGTCTCAAAAAAAGAAAACAAAACAAGTAGGTACTTTCTGCCATAGGGAGGATTCATAAACTGCTAGTCCTCAGGTGCATTTTTGCTTATCAGTTTTAAAAATCAGAGAATGTCTCAAAGAATTAGGATGTCAGCTTCTTTTGAAAATTTGGGCCAGAAGCGGTGGCTCACGCCTGTAATCCCAGCACTTTGGGAGGCTGAGGTGGGTAGATCACCCGAGGTCAGGAGTTGGAGACCAGCCTGACCAACATGGCGAAACCCCGTATCTACTAAAAATACAAAAATTAGCTGGGCTGGTGGTGCATGCCTTTAGTTCCAGCTACTCAGGATGCTGAGGCATGAGAATCACTTGAACCCGGGAGGCAGGGGTTACAGTGAAATGAGATTGCACCACTGCACTCTAGCCTGGGAGACAGAGCAAGACCCTGCCTCGAAAAAAAGAAAAAGAAAATTTGGAAGATCTGACAACAGTTGACCTGCATTCCTGCTCGGCAACAGCCTGATGGTGGATGGGCAGAGGCTCAGTTGTCTGCCAAACCTCCCATCACTGATGTCTTCCCTCGCTGTCATCATCTGCTTGACATGTAGGCATTTGGTGTGTGCCTTCTGCTCTGGGTGCCCAGATGAATTGGATGCTATATGAGAAAACATTCTGTAAATGTCTTGTGGTAGGCAACCTCAAAGATCACTGGGGCCTCCAATGATCCCTCCTTCCTGGTATTCATGCCTGTGTATAATCCTCTCCCTTGAGTGTGTACTACACCTGGATACTTGCTTCTAATAAACAGAACACAGCAAGGGTAATGGGATGCTACTTCTAAGGTTAAATTACAAGAGTGTAAAGTCTGTCTTGTTTGTTTCCCTCTCTTGATCTTCCTCTCATTCTCTCTCTCTCCCTCTCTCTCACTTTCTTACTGTCTTGTCCTTCCCTTTGTTTACTCTGATGAAGCAAGCTAGCAAGCATCCATGTTGTGAGCTGACCTATGAAGAGGCCCATGTGGTGGTAAGGAACTGAGGGCAGCCTCTACCCAGCAAGGAACTGAGTCACTCATCATATGGGTGAGCTTGGAGACAAATCCTTCCCCACTTGAGCTTTCAGATGACGGCAGCCCTGGCTGATGCTTTGCAGGCTTGTGAGAGACCCTGAGACAGAACACTCAGCTAAGCTATACCCTATCTCCTGAGATAGAGTATAATACATGTAGTTTTAAGCTACTATGTTTTGGGATAATTTGTTACTCAGCAATAGATAACCAATACATATACCATGTACATAACTGTTTCAGTTGTCTGAGACTATATTTAGTCATTTTACACCTACATCAAGAATGTGTCAGGCACCATTCCAGGTACTTGGAATACATCAATTAACAGAATAGGTAAAGAGGCCAGGCATAGGGCTCACATCTATAATCCCAGCACTTTGGGAGGCCCAGGTGGGAGGACTGCTTGAGCCCAGGAGTTGAGACCAGCCTGGGTAAAATAGTGAGACACTGTCTCAACTAAAAAAAAAAAAAATTAGTTGGGCACAGTGGCACATGCCTGTGGTGCCAGCTGCTCAGGAGGCTGAGGTGGGAAGATCGCTTGAGCCCAGGAGTTTGAAGCTCCAGTGAGCCACGGTCACAAAACTGCACTCTAGCCTGAGCAACAGAAAAAGACCCTGTCTCAATTAAAAAAAAAAAAAAAAAAAGGAAAGAAAGAAAAAAATAGGTAAAGATCCTTGATTCTTGCCCTCTTGGAACTTCTATTCTAGAGGGGGATGGTTTTTCACAGTAGAAGTCTGTGTTGACAGCGCTGTTTAAAGCTCCTTCAGCATCTGGGGAAAAGGTTCTTCTTTCAGATCTTAGGCCTCTTTGAAAATCTGACAAAAGTCACAGCCTGTCTCCTGAATGCACATAGAATTTTGCATGCAATTTTAGAGATTTTCTTTTTTTTTTTCTTTTTTATTTTGAGACAGAGTCTTGCTCTGTCACCCAGGCTGGAGTGCAGTGGTACAATCTCAGCTTACTGCATCCTCCGCCTCCCGGGTTCAAGCAATTCTCCTGTCCCAGCCTTCCAAGTAGCAGTATTACAGGTGCCTGCCACCATGCCCAGCTAATTTTTGTATTTTTAGTAGAGACAGGGTTTCACCTTATTGGTCAGGCTGATCTCAAACTCCTGACCTCAGATGATCCACCCGCCTTGGCCTCCCAAAGTGCGGGGATTACAAGCGTGAGCCACTGTGCCAGCCACAGTTTTAGAGATTTTCATAAGAGCTCTTGTGGGCTGACCTAAGAGGAGTCTTGTGACAAGCATCGTTTTAGGTGCTGGGGCAAAGAAGATAGAAAATCTAAACCAGTTGCGGTCAGGTACAGTGGCTCATGCCTGTAATCCCAGCATTTTGGGAGGCCAAGGCAGGAGGATCGCTTGAGGCCAGGAGTTTGAGGTCAGCCTGGGCAGCATAGTGAGACACTCATCTCTACCCGCCCCTCAAAAAAGAGATGTTCAGCAGGGTGTATAAAGGAATGTGTCCCATTGTCTTGGTGCTCAGGGAAGACTGCCTCCCAGAAGGTAATAGGTGAGTGAGATTTGAAGGATGGTTAGGAATTTGTCAGGCAGGAGGCATGGTGGGTGGTGAGTTCTGTGTTAAGTGGTGAGAGGATAGTGGTGAGGAAGGTGGGCAAAGGCCCTTGCCCTCTGAACTGTCAGAGGAACAAATATATGATGAGTTTTATCAAAGGGAAACTCAGATGTTATATAGGTTACATTGCAAAAGGATTCATTGCTGGAGTCAGGCTAGTTACTACAAGAGGTCAGGCACTTAAAGGAAATGATCATTAAGATCTGAAGTGTTGCCTGGGCACAGTGGCTCATGCTTGTAATCCCAGCACTTTAGGAGGCCGAGGAGGGTGGTCATTTGAGGCCAGGAGTTCGAGACCAGCCTGGCCAACATGGTGAAAACCCACCTCCACTGAAAATACAAAAATTAGCCGGGCGTGATGGTAGGTGCCTATAGTCTCAGCTACTCAGGACGCTAAGGCAGAAGAATTGCTTGAACCCGGCAGGCAGAGGTTGCAGTGAGCCGAGATAGATTGCACCATTGCACTCCAGCCTGGCAACAGAGCAAGACTGTCTCAAAAACAAACAAACAAACAAACAAACAAACAAAAGATCTAAAGGGTTAGTTGGCTAGGCTAGTGCAGAGAATGTTCCAGCCCAGGAAGAACTTGAGGTAGGAGAGAGCATGGAGTATTAATGGGTGTGAAGGAGGTTACCATGGCAAAGACACAGAGGGCAGAGGGCAGACCCAGATGGCACAGGACTCAGGGGCCATCATTGGGAGTTTGTGCATTTCCCCGAGGGTCACAGGAAGCCTTTCAAGGGATGTGGCCTGATCAAATCTACATCTCGATTAGTCCATTCTGATGGGCTATTGGGGTCATGTTGCGGGGGTAGGATTGGGAAGACCCGGTTAGAAAGGTTGCAGGAGTCCAGGCCTGAGCTGATGGTGATCTGGGCTTGGGGGATGGTAGTAGCTGGAGATGAGAAGTCTTTACGTGGTAGGACCCACAAGCTCGCTGATAGGCTGGATGTGGAGAGTGAGGTGGGGAGAAAGCCTGGGATGACTTGAGTTTCGTGTCTTAAGCCACTGGGTAGAAGAGGGTGGTGCTTTTATGATACGGGCAACAGTGGAAGCAAGCAAGTTAGGGAGGAGGAAGGTCAGTTTCGGTCGTTTGAGATTATTGCATACTCTTTATTGTCTCAGAAGATCCAATGTAATTAGTGTTTTACCTTTCCAGCTGCAACCTCACACCACAGGCTCTGCATCCTATGTGCTTTGTTCACACCAGCCCTTGATCAGCTCTCGGAATGTCTCCGCATCCTCCTGTTGTAAGATTTT
Source organism: Homo sapiens (assembly GCF_000001405.40). Taxonomy (NCBI): domain Eukaryota; kingdom Metazoa; phylum Chordata; class Mammalia; order Primates; family Hominidae; genus Homo; species Homo sapiens. Next base: position 57,522,157 of record NC_000011.10, on the reverse strand, counting down.
TCATTTGCTGTTTCCTCCTCTGGAGGATTGATAAATTCTACTGATTCTGACATGGAAAACTCTGAGCACAAGCATCACCCTGAAAGATTCCTCCCTGAGCCCCAGTCTAGATGAAATTCCCTTCTCTAAGCGTATGTTCTCATGGCACCATGTCTTTCTTCCATGGCGCTTCCTATAGATGATGTAACACTTGATTCATCTGTGACTCTCTCCTGCTGGGCTCTGTGTTCTCTGAGGGTAGGGTCTGTGTCTTATTCAGCATCGAATCCCTAGTGCCTGACACACGCAAAGGTTTTTTTTTTTTTTTGTTTTGTTTTTTTTAAATTGAGATATAATTCGCACACCATACAATTCAGTCTTTTAAAGAATACAATTTAGGCCGGGAGTGGTGGCTTACACCTGTAATCCTAGCACTTTGGGAGGCTGAGGTGGGCGGAGCACTTGAGTCCAGGAGTTCAAAATCAGCCTGGGCAACATAGCGAAACCCTGTCTCTACTAAAAATGCAAAAATTGTCCAGGCATGGTAGCACATGCTGTAGTGTCAGGTACTCAGGAGGCTGAGGCAGGAGGATTGCTTGAGCCTGGGAGGCAGAGAGATTGCAGTGAGCTGAGATCGTGCCACTGCACTCCAGCCTGGGTGACAGAGCGAGACCTTGTCTCAAAAAAAATAAAATATAATAAAGTATAAAATTCAGCATGTTGTATATTCACAAAGTTTTACAATGATCACCATTATCTAATTGTACAACATTTTCATTACCCCAAGAAGAAACCCCATACCATTAGCAGTCATTCCACATTTCCCATTATCTCCTCCCTCCAGTCTCTGGCAACCACTAATCTACTTTCTGTCTCTGTGGATTTGCCTATTCTGGGCACTTCATATAAATGCAGTCATACAATATGTGGTCTTTTGTGTCTGGTTTCTTTCACTTAGAATAACATTATCAAGGTTCATCCATGTTGTAGCATGTATCAGTACTTCCTTTTTATGGCCAAATAATATGACATTGTATGGGTATACCACATTTTGTTTCTCCGTTCATCAGCTGATGGACTGCTGGGATGTTTGCACTTTTTAGCTGTAATGAATAATACAGCTATAAATACTTGTATACACATTTTTGTGTTAACAAATATTCTCAATTCTCTTGGGTGTAGTATATTTAGGAGTGGAATTGCTGGGCTATAGTGGTAACTCTATGTTTAACTATTTGAGGACCTGCCAAACTGTTTTCCGAAATGGCTGCACCATTTTATGTACATTCTTCATGCAGAGATTTTTTTTTTTTTTTTGAGACAGAGTCTTGCTCTGTTGCTCAGGCTAGAGTGCAGTGGCACGATCTTGGCTCACTGCAGCCTCTGTCTCCTGGGTTCAAGCGTTTCTCCTGCCTCAGCCTCCTGAGTAGCTGGGATTACAGGCACATGCCACCACACCCAGCTAATTTTTGTATTTTTAGTAGAGACGGGGTTTCACCATGTTGGTCAGGCTGGTCTCAAACTCCTGACCTCAGGTGATCTGCCCACCTTGGCCTCCCAAAGTGCTGGGATTACAGGCGTGAGCCACTGTGCCCAGCCTAAATATTTATAATAGCTATTTGTTAGGCTAAATAATTCATTAAATAATGAATTGAATTGGATACTTTTATTTTCAGCACTTAACAGACTAGAAGAGTGAGGCTCATGAGATGGAGTGATTTGGACAAAATCACACAAATAATCAGCTGCAGAGCCAGGATTTAGACCCACCCTGTCTCAGTGCTCTTGTCCATTAAGCTGTGAAGCAGCCTCTAGCCAGGAGCCCACATGACAGCCAATGTGATAATGCTGTTATACTTAACCTATGAGTAGTGTCAGGAGAACAGAGTTTAGGAAGGAATTAGTTTTGGGGGTAGAGGAGAACGTTGATAAATCCTATTGATTCAGATATGGAAATATATCTCAGGTGTCTTTCCTCTTCTCTGTTTTTTATTATTTTATTTATTTATTTAGAGACAAAATCTTGCTCTGTTGCTCCAGGTGGAGTGCAGTGGCACGATCTCAGCTCACTGCTACCTCCGCCTCCCAGGCTTAAGTGATTCTCCCACCTCAGCCACCTGAGTAGCTGGGATGACAGGCATGCACCACCACTCCTGGCTATTTTGTTTGTTTGTTTTATATTTTTTGTAGAGACAGGGTTTTGCCATGTTGCCCAGGCTGGCCTTGAACTCCTGGGCTCAAGAGATCTGCCCGCGTTGGCCTCCCAAAGTGTTGGGATTATAGACCTGAGTCACCATGCCTGGCCTATTTTTTATTGTTTTAAATGGGAATTATTTTTGTTTGTTTGTTTCTTCTTGGTTTTTTCTTTATTTCTTCTTAAAACAAAACAGGATCCATGTGCAGAATGTGCAGGTTTGTCACATATGTATACGTGTGTCATGGTGGTTTGCTGCACCTATTGTCCCGTCCTCTAAGTTCCCTCCCCTTACCCCCCAACCCCCACTCCCCAACGGGCCCTAGTGTGTGATGTTCCCCTCTGTGTCCATGTGTTTTCAATGTTCAGCTCCTACTTATGAGTGAGAACATGCGGTGTTTGGTTTTCTGTTCCTGTGTTAGTTTGCTGAGGATGATGGCTTCCAGCTTCATCCATGTACCTGCAATGCAATGGCACGATCTCGGCTCACCGCAACCTCTGCCTCCCAGATTCAAGCTATTCTCCTGCCTCAGCCTCCTGAGTAGCTGGGATTACAGGCATGTACCACCACGCCTGGATAATTTTGTATTTTTAGTAGAGATGGGGTTTCTCCATGTTGGTGAGGCTGGTCTCAAACTCCTGACCTCAGGTGATCCGCCTGCCTCAACCTCCCGAAGTGATAAGATTACAGGAGTGAGCCACCATGCCTGGCCTCATTCCTTTTTATGGCTGCAAAATGTGAACTATTATGGTGGTCTCCTAACTGCTTTAAGGTCTCTGTCCTTTCCAATATATGCTCCATTAATTAAACACAAAAACCTGACGATAACGCTACCCTTCATTAAAAACAAACAAAACCAAAAGAAAACAAAATCCAGGAGTTTCCTGTTACCTACCCTGCAAGACTGAAAGTCCTTGGCCTCCCAGAGGTAATTCCAAACTGATTTTAGCCTACCTTTTCAGCTTCCTTTCCCACCATTCCCTTTTCATTTATTCAACAAATGTTGGCCGCAAGCTTATTAGGCGCCAGGCCCTGTGATAGGCAGCAGGCACACAAATCACCTACCACGTGGTGGTTCCTGCCCCCACAAGATGTACATCTCATGGGGCGGGATGGGGGCAGAAAACTAAGCTGATTATTCTAGATCAGTGTGGGGACTTCCATAGAGGTAAGCAGAGTATTTGGTGGGTATGTGGACAAGGCCCTGAATCCAGCCTAGAGTAGAGCTTCCAGAGAGAAGTGAAACTTGAGCTGAGTTGTGAAGGATGAGTACATTAGAAATGAAGAAGGAGGCTGAGCGCAGTGGTTCATGCCTGTAATCCCAACACTTTGGGTGGCCAAGGTGGGTGGATCACGTGAGGCCAAGAGTTCAAGACCAGCCTGGCCAACATGGTGAAACCCCATCTCTACTAAAAAAATACAAAAAATGGCCGAGTGCAGTGGCTCACACCTGTAATCCCAGCACCTTGGGAGGCCAACGTGGGCGGATCACGAGGTCAGGAGTTCGAGACCAGCCTGTCCAATATGGTGAAACCCCGCCTCTACTAAAAAATACAAAAATTAGCCAGGCATGGTGGTGCGCGCCTGTAGTCTCAGCTACTTGGGAGGCTGAGGCAGGAGAATCACTTGAACCCGGGAGGTGGAGCTTGCAGTGAGCCGAGATCACGCCACTGCACTCCAGCCTGGGCAACAGAGTGAGACTCTGTCTCAGGAAAAAAGAAAAGAAAAGAAAAAAATATCAGCTCACAGGTGGTGGTGTGCACCTGTAATCCCAGCTACTTGGGAGGCTGAGGCATGAGAATTGCTTGAACCTGGGAGGCAGAGGTTGCAGTGAGCTGAGATCGTGCCACTGTACTCCAACTCGGGCAACAGAGCTGGAATCTGTCAAAAAAAAAAAAAAAAGAAATGAAGGAAATCTGTCATTCCCACAAGAAGGAATAGCAGGTGCAAAGACTGGGAGGTGTGAAACCAGCTGACTGACTCTTCACTGCACATGTGCTGAGTGCCCCTTAGGTGAGGTGCTGTTCTGGGTGCTGGGATACACAGCAGTGAATGAACACACCAAATGAGGCCTGTGTCCTCATGCAGCAGACAGTCCAACTCCATGGAAATGTGGGTTGAGATGAGGAAGAGCAAGTGTTCCAGCCATGGGGGTCCATGGACCACTAGAGCCTCATGGAAAGGGTCCATGAAAACCTTGAAATGTGAATGTTGATGAGTGTGTGTGTCCATGTTCACACAAGCATTTTTGTCAAGAGTAGATCAATAACATATTTCTTCTTTTTTTTTTTTTTTTTGAGACAGGGTCTCTGTCACCCAGGCTGGAGTGCAGTGGCGAGATGTCGGCTCACTCCAGCTTCCTGGACCTCCCAGGCTCAGGGATCATCCTACTTCAGCCTCCCCAGTAACTGAGACTACAGGCACATGCCACCATGCTCAGCTGAATTTTTTGTAGAAATAGGGGTCTCACTATGTTGACCAAGCAGGTCTTGAACTCCTGGGCTCAAGTGATCCTCCTGCCTCAGCCTCCCAAAATGTTGGGATTACAGGCATGAGCCACTGCCACCGCGCCCACTGTCTTTTGTATTCTCAAAGGGATCCATGACTCTCCTAGCTTAGAAAGTTGACTCTAGGTCCCCCTGTGTAGAGCTGAGGAGTTTGACCTTGATCTGGAAGTTCTGGGAGGCAGTATTGCATTTTAAGAAGTTAAACCATCAGAGCCTGACATGTGCTTTGGCCACCGAGAACTCCTTGTGCCATTCCCACAGCTAAGCCTTTGCTCTTGCCATTCTCCTTCTGGGAGGAATGGAAGGAGCCGTACTTAAATGCCAGGCCGACCTGACTCTGCATCCTACCTCTAACCTTGCTCCAGCTTCAAGCCTGCAGTTTCTCCCTCTGTGAAAAGCTATGAGGTTTAAATGGGACCATGATGTCTTGAGGAATTAATAACAGTATTTTTATTTTGGAAAGTGCCCTGTCTATGGTAGCCATTAGTTCCTCTCTTGGCTTGGTGGCTCATCTGTTCAGGGGTTCCCTTTTATCTGAGGCCTTCTTGGAGCTTTCTGTAGTCATTCTTGTTTTGTTTTTGAGACAGAGTCTTACTCTGTCACCCAGGCTGGAGTGTAGTGGCATGATCTTGGCTCACTGCAGCCTCCATCTCTCCAGCTCAGTGATCCTCCCACTTCAGCCTGCTGGGTAGCTGAGACTGCAGGTGCACACCACCATGCCTGGCTATTTTTTTTTCTTTTTTGTAGAGACGGGGTTTCACCATGTTGTCCAGGTTGGTCTCGAACTCCTGAGCTCAAGCGATCCTCCTGCCTTGGCCTCCCAAAGTTCTGGGATTACAGGCATGAACCACCACACCTGGCCACCAGTATCACTCTTTTTTTAAAAAAATTTTATTTTTATTTTAAGTTCTGGGGTACATGTGCAGAATGTGCAGGTTTGTTACGTAGGTAAATGTATGCCGTGGTGGTTTATTGCACCTATCAACCCATCACCTAGGTATTAAGCTCAGCATGCATTAGCAGCACTCTTAACACACAATTAAACTCACATGTAATGAGATTACTTCTCATTACTCCACACCATAGTAGTCTATTTTACAGATGAGGATACTGAGGCTCAGGGAGGCTGAGAGATTTACCTGGAGTCAATCAATTGTTGATCTGGAAGCATCCGATCACCAGGTCTTCTGAAATAATGACAGCAGCAACAATTAACATTATGCTTACTATGCCAAATGCTATGCTTAGCATTTTACCTGCATCACAATCGCGATTCCTTTGGGCAGTTAGGTAGGTTCCATTTTAACCGAATTTAAAGAGGAGGAAGCTGAGGCTCAGAGAGGTAACTTGCCCTAGGTAACCCAGGGTAGTCAGTTAAAAAGTCAAGACTCAGACCTCGATCTGACTAACTCCAAAGAAACCCGTGCCACTCTGCCTCTCGGAAAACACTGCTTCCAGCTGCACAGTTCAAAACCCCACCCAAGGCGGCCCTGAATCGCGGTCAGTCGGCTTCAGCCGAATCGCACTTTGTTTTGAACAAGGATACAGAGGGCGCTGCCTGATGTTAGTCTGGGGGCTTGGGGGAGAAGATGGGGGTCCAGGGTGGAAATGTAGGTGCTGGGGCTGTGCCAGAGGGAGAGTGTCCGGGACCAGCGGGCGAGTCACGTGCGCGTGAAACTCGACCTAAGGGGAGGGGAAAAGAAGGGAGCCCCCGCCCCCACCTCGGGGCGCAGCTCCGGACGCGTGTAAATACAACTATCAACTCCGCAGATCCACTTCATCCAAGCCCAGCTTCGCAGACCTCTGGCGCCCGGCGGGTTCCCAGTTCCCCCGCTTCTTCCGAGGAGACAGCGGAGGCGAGGCCACCGGGCTGTCAGGCTGAAGCTCCGTGGCCGCCGGGTCCTGCACGCAGAGAAGACCCCAGCGCCGGCGCGGCTCAGGGCTGGGCCCACGGGACTCCGGACGCGCCGCGAAAGCGTTGCGCTCCCGGAGGCGTCCGCAGCTGCTGGCTGCTCATTTGCCGGTGACCGGAGGTGAGCAGCGTGGGCGGGGAGGGGGCGCGCGTAGGGTCTCCGGCTATGCGTCGGCTGAGAGACACCGAGGCCGGCTCCCGCCGACACTGCCAGGCTTCCCAAGGAAAGACCGTTACTTGCGCCCGCGGTCCCGCGGCACAGTGTCCCATCTCGCCAAGCGCGTCCTTCCCTTTTCTTTTCTCTGACCCCTCCGACTCTTCTCTTCCTCCCGGGTCCCCGCTCGCTGCACTTCCTCTGCTTAGAGCTGCGCGTTTGCCAGAGTTCCAGCGGACCTCCTGGAGCGCTTGAACCCAAAGCCCCGTTTCACAGATGAGAATACCGAGTCCCCCTGGAAGAAGTGACTGGTACTTCCTCCCCTCTCTCTGGGTCTTTCTTGCCCTTCTCCTCTCCGCTTTCCTCGGTCTCATCCCAGTTGTCGCTCCCCGCCCCCGCGCCGCCCGCGTTCCCTCTCCTCCCGCCGAGGCTGCAGCGGCCGCGGCGGGGGGAGCTGGGGCTCTTTCCCTCCCTTTGGTAAACACACCCGCCCGCCAGCCCATCCGCCACCGCTGCCCTTATAAAGTCAGCAGCCGCCAGACTTCCTGCCGAAGTCCGAGCCCCCTCCCGGGGCTGGAGGGGGGCAAGCGGGTTCCGAGGTGCAAAGCCTGGTGCCCCGAGCCCTGCGGAGTGAGTGAGGGGCGCGCGGGGGAGGAGGGAACCGAGGAGAGCCCGTCCTGGGTCTCCCTCCACGTGGCAGCTGTTGGCTTGGCCCGAGAGACTGTAGGGTCGTGGGTCACCTGATACGGAAAGGGGGAGGGCTTGCTGTCGCCCGGCCCCAGAGGGAAGGAGAGGTCTTGGAGGGGCAACTGGAAGATGGGGTCGTAGGGTAGCCTTGAACTTGCCCTTCTTCCTGCCAGCTTCTAGGGGTCTTTCCTGGCGCGAGAGTCCGGACATGGGCCCGCGGTGCTTCAGAGCGCGCTCTGCCCCTTGCTGTCCTCTGGGGACCTGGGCAGATGCGGACTTTCTCCCCAGCAGCCCGGCCCTGAGCGCCCTGGCCTGGGTGAGAGAACCCGGCAGCCTGCTAGGAAGCTGCAGCGCGCAGACAGGACCTTCCTTGTTTCCGATAGTGGCTCAGCGGGAGCCCCGTGCCGCGTGCACCTCTGGCACTGCTAGTGCGCGCGGAGCCAGCTCCTTGGCACCGGCTGGGAAGCCCAGGGCTCTATGGGGCCTCCATGAGGGGCTCCTCGCGGGCTGGCCCGAGAGGTCTCGGGTGCCACCATGATGCAGGACCCTTCCCTGGGGCCACTGGGGGGCCCTTCACCCAGCGCTCTGTTTCTGTGCAGGCTCGGGGCCAGCATGGCCCCCACGCTGCAACAGGCGTACCGGAGGCGCTGGTGGATGGCCTGCACGGCTGTGCTGGAGAACCTCTTCTTCTCTGCTGTACTCCTGGGCTGGGGCTCCCTGTTGATCATTCTGAAGAACGAGGGCTTCTATTCCAGCACGTGCCCAGGTATGCCTGAAAATGGGCTGGGTGGGCTGGGGGGAGGGATGGCAAAGGGGCAGGTGGAAGCCAGAAAAGGTTAGGTGGCCAGGTGGACAGAAAGCAGGGTCAGCAGTTGGACAGCCTCACTTCTCGACCTCTTCAAACTTCAGGGGGAGATTGGGTGGCACTCTGCCCACTGTTTCATTTATCTAATCCAGTGGTCACTGAATGCCAGGTGTCCTGCTGGTCATCCAGACCCTGGGACTAATAGGCAGAGTCCTAAGCCTCTGACAGCCTCAGGTCTAGAGCTCTTTGAAGGAGACGTGCTGGGAGAGGAATTTCTTAATAGGGCTATCATAAGACAAGGGAGAGCTGCACAAAGTGGAGTATGAATATAAAGGGCCCCACATCCTTCCCTTTTCAGGAGCTGGGAGCCCCCAGGTTTTCAAATTACTCATTTGGACAAAGTTACATAGCCTCATTTACTCTAGGAGGGCATTGTGGAGAGTCTCTGGTTTCCACTTCAATCACCTTGTGTGAGTGGCCCCGAAGCTGGGAGTGGGAATTCTAACACTCTTTGGGAGCAGTAACTACAGCCATAGGCTGTCTGCAGCTGCCTTGGGGCAGGGAGTTACCACTGCTGGTGTCTAGGACTTGCCTCTGATGGGTATCTTCCTATTCTGGGAAGGAGAGAGCTGTGCTGACAAGCTCCGCCTCAGGAGCTGGGTGGAAATGGAATTGGGCTCCCCTCTCTTTTTATCCCCTTTCCCCAACCTCTGTGTTGTGGAGTAAGCTTGGAAGGAAGTTTAGCTTGGATTTGAATCCCAGCTTCCATCACTTTTATCAGTTGGTGACTTCGGTGAGTTCCTTAAACATTGAGCTTCAGTTGCCTGGTCTTCAGAATGGGGATAATAATATCGATTCCGTGGGAGTGCTGTGAGAGTCTGCAGTGCTTAATAAATGTTAGTGTCCTTCTCGTTGCTCCTGGCTTCTCGTTTCAACTCCTTCCTGCACAGCACCTGATGTGGCTATGGAAGAAAACCGATTCCTTGAGGGGTGGAGATGGGGAGGTCTTGATCACTGCTCTGAACAGCGGCTGCTCCACCCCAGGATCTGCCGCATCCAGCCATGGTTATCTGTAAAGATGCAACAGATGGCACCGAGAGATGGCGACTCTCCCATGCCTCCTGGCCCCAATTATGGGGTGACAGGGGCTGGAGGAGGTGGGGTTGGCAGCCAGGCTGGGATGGCTGGGTGGGTTGGGAAGAAGAGGCCTGACATGAAATGATACACATAAGAGTGGCTGCAAGAACCAAGTGGAGGGCTATTAGGGACCCACATGGCATCTAAGTCCCCTATGAGTTTATCCTGGAGATAGGAGAGACCCTGCCTGCCCTTGACACCTGCCACTGTCCCCTATGTAACTTTTTTTTTTTTTTTTGAGACAGAGTCTCACTCTGTCACCCAGGCTGGAGTGCATTGGCATGATCTTCGCTCACTGCAACCTTCTCCCCCTGGGTTCACGCGAGCACGTCTGGCTAATTTTTGTATTTTTAGTAGAGACGGGCTTTCACCATGTTGGCCAGGCTGGTCTCGAACACCTGACCTCAAGTCACCCACCCGGCTCGGCCTCCCGCAGTGCTGGGATTATAGACATGAGCCACCACTCTTGGCCTACCCCTTGTGTAACTTCTTCCTGCCTTCTCCACCTGGTGCTGGTGGTGTTTCTTTAAAATCAACTTTCTTGAAGATTACATCATACATTTTGATGAGGTCTGACAAATTTATATGCCTCAGTACCCACCACACAATATTTAGAACCTCCTCAAACTCCTGCTTCTCTTTAGAGGGCTCATCCCTCCACCTGCATTTTTAAATATGTAAAATATGTAAAACAGCTTTATTAAGATATAATTTCCATGCCTCACAAGTCACCCATTTCAAGTATATAATTTAACAGTTTTAGTATGTTCAGAGTAGTGCAACCATCACCAGAGTCCATTTCAGAACAGTTTCTTTATCCCCAAAAGTAACTCTGTACCATTAGCAGTACTCACTCGCCTCACCCCCACCTCTGCCCCCAAGCACTAGGCAACCACTCATCTATTTCCTGTCATAGCTTTGCCTGTGATAAAAGTTAGATTTACCTATTCTGAACATTTCATTTAAATGGAATCTTGTAATATGTAGCCTTTTGTGATTGGCTGCTTTCACTTAGCATAATGTTTTTGAGGTTCATCCTTGTAGCATGTATCAGGACTTCTTTTTATTGCTGAGTAAATACTCCATTGTATGGATCAACCACCATTCTATTTATCCATTTGTCAGTTGATGGAGATTTGGGTTGTTTTCACATTTTGGCTATTATGAATAATGGTCTGGCTGGGTGTGGTGGCTCATCTGTAATCCAAGCTTATTTCAAGGCTAAGGCAGGAGGATCACTTGAGGCCAGGAGTTTGAATGTGCAGTGAGCTATGATTGTGCCACTATACTCCAGCCTGGGCCACAGAGTGAGACCCAAATGTTCTTCTGGACTTTTTTTTTTTAATTTTTTTGAGACAGGGTCTCTCACTCAGTGACCCAGGCTGGAGTGCAGAGGCACAATCACAGTTCACTGCAGCTTCAACCTCCTGGGCTCAAATGATCCTCCCACCTCAGCCTCCAGAATAGTTGGGACTACAGGCCCGCATCAACACATCCAGCTAATTAAAAAAAAATTTTTTTATAGAGACTGGGTCATGCTATGTTGCTGAGACTGGTCTCGAACTCCTGGGCTCAAGTGATCCTCCCTCCTGGGCCTCCCAAAGTGTTGGGATTATAGGTGTGAGCCACCCCGCCTAGCCCTTGTAAAGTTTTTAATGTCGAGGTATGCTTTCATTTTTCTTAGGAATTGCTGGTCAGTTGCAAGGGTAACTATGTTTAACATTTTGAGGAGCTACCAAATTGTTTTCCAAAGTGGCTACACTATTTCATATTCTTAAAAAAATTTTTTTTTTATTTTTGAGACAGAATTTCTCTCTTGTTGCCCAGGCTGGAGTGCAATGGCGCTATCTCAGCTCAGGGCAACCTCCACCTCCTGGGTTCAAGCGATTCTCCTGCCTTAGCCTCCCAGGTACAGGCGCCCGCCACCATGCTCGGCTAATTTTTGTATTTTTAGTAGAGATGGGGTTTCACCATGTTGTCCAGGCTGGTCTTGAAATCCTGCCTCAGGTGATCCACCCCCCTCGGCCTCCCAAAGTGCTGGAATTTACAGGCGTGAGCCACTGTGCCTGGCCTCCTTTACATTTTTTTAAATTTAATTTTAATTTTTTAATTTTTAATTTCTCATATATATATATTTTTAAGACTAGCCAAGTGAAGCAGTGGGAGTGGAAAAGGAACTGGTTTTGATCAATAGGTGTAAACACCACTGCACTGGGACCAGCCTATTTTACATTCCTGTTAGCAGTGATGAGGGTTCACTTTCTTTGTAGCCTCAACAATATGTGTCGTTGCCCATCTTTTTTTTTTTTTTTTTTTTTTTTTTTGAGATGGAGTCTCACTCTGTTGCCTAGGCTGGAATGCAATGGCATGATCTCAGCTCACTGCAACCTCCGCCTCCCAGGTTCAAGTGATTCTTGTGTCTCAGCCTCCTGAGTAGATGGGATTACAGGCGTCCACCACCACGCCCGGCTAATTTTTTGTATTTTCAGTAGAGATGGGGTTTCACCATGTTGGCCAGGTTGGTTTCGAACTCCTGACCTCAAGTGATCCGCCCACCTCGGCCTCCCAAAGTGCTGGGATTACAGGCATGAGCCACCGCGCCCGGCCTGCCCATCTTTTTTTTGTTATAGCCATCCTAGTGGATGTAAAGTTTTTTTGTGATTTTGATTTGTGTTTCCCTACTGATCAATGATGTTGAGCATCTTTTCCTGTGCTTATTGGCTTTTGGTATATCTTTGGAGAAAGGTCTATTCAGGTCCTTTGCCCACTTTAAAATTAGGTTATCTTTCTATTACTGAGATGTAAGAGTTCTTTATGTTCTAGATATAAGTCTCCTACATATGATTTGTAAAAATTTTCCTTCCATTATTGGGTTGTCTTTCACTTTCTTTTGGTGTCCTTTAGTGCACAACAGTTTTTAATATTGAAGTCCAATTTTCTATTTTTCTCTTTTGCCACTTGTATCTTGGTGTCATGTTTAAGGAACTATTGCCTAATCTCAGGTCACAAAGATTTACACCTGTGTTTCCTTCTTTCCTTCCTTCCTTCCTTCCTTCCTTCTTTCCCTCCCTCCCTCTCTCCCTCCCTCCCTCTCTCCCTCCCTCCCTCCTTCCCTTCCTCCCTCCCTCCCTCCTTCCTTCCTTCCTTCCTTCCTTCCTTCCTTCCTTCCTTCCTTCCTTCCTTCCTTTGTCCTTCTGACGGAATCTTGCTCTGTCACCCAGGCTGGAGTGTAGTGGCACGATCTTGGCTCACTGCAACCTCTGCCTCCTGGGTTCAAGCAATTCTCCTGCCTCAGCCTCCTGAGTAGCTGGGACTACAGGCACACACCACCATGCCCAGCTAATTTTTGTATTTTTAGTAGAGACGGGGTTTCACCACATTGGCCAGGATGGTTTCGATCTCCTGACCTCGTGATCCACCCGCCTTGGCCTCCCAAAGTGCTGGGATTGCAGGTGTGAGCCACCATGCCCGGCCTGTGTTTTCTTAGAGTTTTGTAGTTTTAGCTCTTATAGTTAGATCCTTGATCCATTTTGAGTTGATTTTGTATATAGTGTGAGATATCCACCTGGTGTTGTAAATTGCCCAGAAGTGGGTATGCTTCTAAATCTGGCTGTTAGGGATTACTAGAGGTGACCAAAGTGAATTTTTTCTTTGTTTCTTTTTTTTTTTGGAGACAGAGTCTCCGTCACCCAGGCTGGAGTGCAATGGCTTCATCTTGGCTCAGTGCAACCTCTGCCTTCTGGTTTCAAGCAGTTCTCCTGCCTCAGACTCCTGAGTAGCTGGTATTACAGGCGTGTACCACCATGCTTGGCTAATTTTTGTATTTTTAGTAAAGATGCAGTTTCACCTGTTGGCCAGGCTTTTCTGGAACTCCCGGCCTCAAGTGATCCATCTGCCTCTACCTCCCAAAGTGCTGGGATTACAGGTGGGAGCCACCGTGCCCAGTCCTTTTCTCAGAATTTATTTGTTTTTTTTTGTTTTGTTTCATTTTTGAGATAGGGTCTCACTCTGTCAGCTAGGCAGGAGTTCAGTGGTGTGATCATTGCTGCAGCCTTGAACTTCTGGACTCACGTGATCTTCCCACCTCAGCCTCCTGAGTAGCTAGGATTACAGGCATGTGCTTCCACACCTGGCTAATTTTTTAATTTTCTAGGACTTATTTGTCCATTCTTGCAAAGCAGGGTACAACATGCCTATCTCTACCTACCTCTCTTCCCTTCAAGGGACTCCAGCCAAAATCCTTGAGGCTCTCGGGCTGACTGTGGGTGCTGTTGCCTGATCTGCCTCAGTCATGCTGCATGATCAAAAGTGTCCGTTTTCTGCTTCTTGGAACTTTATTCACTTTGGGTGTCAGTCTTCCTCTGCAGTGTCCCAAGAACACAGAATTAGACCAGGAATCTGTGTTGCCATAGTGTGTGGAAAGAGGCAGACTTCCAACTCCGCTATGTGCTGTTGGGTGATTGAAGCTTAATTTTCTTTCTATCTTTCTTTCTTTTCTTTTCTTTTTTTTTTTTGGAGATGGAATCTCGCTCTGTTGCCCAGGCTGGAGTGCAGTGGTGCGATCTCACCTCACTGCAACCTCCGCCTCCCAGGTTCAAGCGATTCTCCTGCCTCAGCCTCCTGAGTAGCTGGGATTACAGGTGCATGCCACCATGCCCGGCTAATTTGTGTAATTTTAGTAGAAACAGTGTTTCACCATATTGGTCAGGCTGGTCTCGACCTCCTCACCTCAGGTGATCCACCCGCCTTGGCCTCCCAAAGTGTCGGGATTACAGGCGTGAGCCACCGTGCCTGGCACTTAATTTTCTTAATACCTCAATTACCCCATATGGTAAAATGGGACTAGTAATCCATACCTTATAGCGCTGTTGTGAAAATGAAATGAGGGTAAGCAGATAAAATTTCAGACTACGGATGGGATTGTTACTACATTCTGAACCTGGCTTTGCTGTTATTTGCTATGTGACCTTATCTTCTCTGGATCTCCATTCTTTCCAAGTCTATAAAACAAAGTGGACAATTGTCAACCTTTCTTCCAAAGAGCAATGATTTAAGGATCAAATGATGTCATTTAACAAAAATATGAAGAGCTCAACAAATGAGGAACTCATTATTATTATTACAATTATTATTATTTTAGAAATAGGGTCTTGTTCTCTTGCCTAGGCTGGAGTCCAGTGGTATAAACACAGCTCAATGCATCTTCAGCCTCCTGGATACAAGTGATCCTCATGTCTCATCCCCCTAAGTAGCTGGGACCACAGGCATGTACCACCACGCACGGCTAATTTTTTATTTTTTATTTTTATTTTTTGAGACAGTCTTGCTTTGTCGCCCAGACTGGAGTGCAGCAGCGCAATCACCGCTCACTGCAACCTCCGCCTCCTGGGTTCAAGTGATTCTGCTGCCTCAACCTCCCAAGTAGCTGGGATTACAGGCCTGTGCCACCATGCCCGGCTAATTTTTTTGTATTTTTGGTAAAGACGGGGTTTCACCATGTTGCCCAGGCTGATCTAGAACCCCTGGCCTCAAGTGATCCCCCTTTCTTGGCCTCCTAAAGTGCTAGGATTACAGGCGTGAGCCTCTGCACCTGGCCTCGGCTAATTTTTTATTTTTTGTAGAGACAGGTTCTCACTATGTTGCCAGGGCTGGTCTTGAACTCCTGGGCTCAAGTGATCTTCCCACCTCAGCCTCCCAAAGTGCTGAGATTACAGATGTGAGCCACTGTGCCTGGCCTGGAACTCATTATTGAAGCATTCACTAGTATCAACTTTGGGGTTACCTGGCCACATCCTCTGACCTACCTATAAGGGTATCACAGCTAACGGAGCCTCTGTTTCTCAGAATTTAGGCAGAAGCAGTTCAATTTATCACAAACTACTCTATATCCAGCATAAGTGCCCAAATAAAACAATTGCTAAAGTTCTTTAGGCATTTACTGTTTGTTAGTTAGATATTTAGTCCTCACTACAAATCTGTGATACAGGTATTATTTTTATTAACCCCATTTTATAGAAGAGAAACCTGAAGCTCAGAGATGCTAAGTAACTTGTGCAAGGTCACACAGCTAGTAAAGGGCAGAGTAAAGATTTAGTTTCACATTGGACTCCAGAACCTTTCTACTGGGACTCATGGGAATAGTGTGGATGTCCCTGACCTTCAGTGGCCCAGGGCTCTCCTGGGGGAATCCAGCCATAGACAAGACACCAGCGAGAGCCCAATCCTAAGATTTTGTTTGTTTGTTTTTGAGACAAGGTCTCACTCTGTCACCAGACTGGAGTGCAGTGGCATGATCAATGCTCACTGCAACCTTGATCTCCCAGGCTCAAGCAATCCTCCCACCTCAGCCTCCTGAGTAGCTTGGACTACAGGTGCACACCACCACACCTGACTAATTTTAAAATTTTATTTAATTAATTACTTACTATTATTTTTTGAGACAGGGTATCACTTTGTCACCCAAGCTGGACTGCAATGGTGTGGTCTCAGCTCATTGCGTCCTCCACCTCCCAGGTTCAAGTGATCCTCCCACCTCAGCCTCTGGAGTTGCAGGGACTGCAGGTGTGCGCCACTATGCTCAGCTAATGTTTTTATTTTTTGTATAGATGGGGTCTCACTATGTTGCCAGGGCTAGTCTCAAACTCTTGGACTCAAGCGATCCTCCTGTCTTGGCCTCCCAAAGTGCCGGGATTACAGGCATAAACCACCACACCCAACCCCTAAGGTGTTTTTGCTGAATGTGACCATGTCAGAGGCAGGAAAGGGAAGCATCATGGGGTTAGGAAAGGAACACTGAGCAGGGAGACAAAGAAAATGGGATCATTTTGTGAGTGTTCGCTGTGTGTGTATGTGTGACAATTCTCAGAGCCAGCCTCTCAGGTGGTTGAGACCACAGTCCCCATTTCCCAGATGAGATAATGGAGCCTCAGAGAGTTTCTGCAGCACAGCTAGTGGAATTAGAATTTGAACCCGGCTCTTCCAGACTCCAGGTGCTTCACAACCATCCCAAACCTAGTCATTTGCAGTTTACCTTCATGATTTTACCATTTCCCTTTGCCATAGCTAGTGTTATTTACTTAATAATTCCTTTTGAATCAGTCTGCTTAAAAAAAAATAGCTTCATTCTAAAGTGTAATATTCTTGGAATATCGGGTTTGCTGTTACCCACCCCCACACGTTATACATATACATGTATGTTTCTAATACATATATATGTACGTATATACGTGTATCGTTTTTTGTTATTTTTTTTGTTGTTGTTAGTTTTTTTTAGATGGAGTCTCTCTCTGTAGCCCAGGCTGGAGTGCAGTGGTGTGATTTCGGCTCACTGGAACCTCTGCCTCCTGGGTTCAAGCGATTCTCCTGCCTCAGCCTCTGGAGTAGCTGGGATTACAGGCACCCACCACTACACCCGGCTAATGTTTGTATTTTTAGTAGAGACAGGGTTTCACCATGTTGGCCAGGTGGGTCTTGAACTCCTGATCTCAAGTGATCCACCTGCTTTGGCTTCCCAAAGTGCTGGGATTATAGGTGCGAGCTACTGCGGCTGGCCAATGTATGTTTTTAATACACATTCAAATAACGAATAACTATGAAACCTGAAAAACTGCTCCATGTTACTTCCTGAACCCATCTTGAGTGCTCACATGCTGTGCATACCACATATTGGGAAACACTGCTTTCCCTGGCTTCCAAGCCCAGCTTAATCACTGTCCCATCCTATGCTTCGCTTTATTTGTCTATAAATGTTGGGGTTGGGGGTTGATGCCAAAGACCTTTTCTGTTGTCATTAACATGGACACAGCTCTAAGAGGTCTTGGCATCTTGGGCTGGCTCTCCTTTTAGTTCAGAATTTGGATTTTTATCCAACTACTCAGAGTGATCAAGCCTTCCTTATGAATGAACTCGTTGGTCAAACTCATAAAAGGCTGATCGATAAAACAGGAATGAATGTATGAATTGACACTAAGTCATTAGCATTTCACGGGAATGGATTCTCCGTTAGTGGAAGAGCACATGTCCTTTCTGGCACTGATGTGTGCTTGGGAAACTTACTGAGCTAACTGGCCCATGTAACACAGAGGCCCTTTGGTGCAGTGGAAAACTGTTGACTTTGGAGATTATCTTGAGTTTGAATCTGAGCCTGCCTGTAAGAAGCTGGCTAACTGAATTGCTTTGCTTCTTGGACCCTTACCATTTATAAAATGGGGACCATTGTACTCACCCTTTAGGGTTATTGCATGGATTAAATGGGATTCTCTATAGAAAATATTGGCACAAAGTAGGTGTAAATTTGCACGCTAGTGGGATTGTTTGTGAGGGAAATTGTCATTTGATTATCAAAGACTTAGGAGCAGGAACAGTGTCTAATTCAGGGACTGCAAATGGAAATGCCAGCTGAGGCCAGGCATTTGCTAATAATTGGGTAAAGCAGGGCAGGTGTAGAATAGCAATGTCTGGGAATTAAAAGAGAGGTGAGGACGTGTATGACCTTGAGAAGGCAAGCCCTGGCAAAAGGGGATGGCCTCCACTCAGCTACAGTCATGCCTAGATCTTCTAACTTTTTATTTTTATTTTTATTTTTTGAGACGGAGTCTTGCTCTGTCACCCAGGCTGGAGTGCAGTGGCGCGATCTCGGCTCACTGCAAGCTCCGCCTCCCGGGTTCACGCCATTCTCCTGCCTCAGCCTCCCAAGTAGCTGGGACTACGGGCGCCCACCACCACGCCCGGCTAATTTTTTTTTTGTATTTTTAGTAGAGATGGGGTTTCACCGTGTTAGCCAGGATGGTCTCGATCTCCTGACTTTGTGATTTACCCTCCTTGGCCTCCCAAAGTGCTGGGATTACAGGCTTGAGCCACCGCACCTGGCCGATCTTCTAACTTTTTAAAGAGAAGCAAGACATCTGGATTTTTATGTGATAACTCCTGATTTTAAACTGGCACCCAATTATAATTTACAACACTATAAGGGTCAACATTGCCAGCAGAGCAAAACATGGGTGGGGGCAACTGCTGGTCACCGGTGTGCAGCCTCTGGTCTAAAATCATCTTTGTATTTCTTCTTGCTTTACGCATTGTCCCAGCACAGTGCTGTTGTATAGTAAATATCCAGTAAGTGGGTGTAGAATGAATAAACCAATGCAGATAAACCTGTAGAGAGGCCGGGCACAGTTGCTCATGTCTGTAATCTCAGCACTTTGGGAGGCCCAGGCAGGCAGATCACTTGGGCCCAGGAGTTCGAGACCAGCCTGGGCAACAGTTGAAACCTCATCTCTACAAAAAATACAAAAAGTAGCCAGGTGTGGTGGCATGCACCTGTAGACACACCTACTCAGGAGGCTGAGGTGGGGGTATCACTTGAACTCGGGAGGTCAAGGCTACAGTGAGCTGGGAAGTCAAAGGTGCAGTGAGCTATAATTGCACCACTGCACTCCAGCCTGGGAGACAGAGTGAGACCCTGTCTCAAAAAAAAAAAAAAAAAAAACCTGTAGAGAAATGACAGTGATCATAAAGATCACTAAATTATAGGGCTAGCCTGATCCCCAAAGGCTGTGTGGTCCAACCCCTAAGTGCTTCCTGGAGGTGTCTGAGCACTTTCCCCACCTCCTTGGCAGCTGGTACTGAAGAAGACTCTCTGTTGTCCAGGACAGTTCCTTCCATGGCTGGTCAACACTCAGGATCTGCCAGGCCTTTGTGTTCTTCCTTATGTCAACACACAGATTCCTTTATCTTTACTCTTCTGCCAACTGCATGACCTTTGGATATGTAAAGTCAGGGGTCATTTTCACTACTGAGGGCAGATGTCCTCTACCACCCCCTAGTATCCAGGCATTATCACATCCCCTTGTCCCCTTGTTGGTTTTTTTGTTTCCTTTTTCTTTTCTTTTCTTTTCTTTTTTTTTTTTTTTGAGACAGGGCCTTGCTCTGTCACCCAGACTGGAGTGCAATGGTGTGATCATGGCTCACTGCAGCCTCGACCGCCCGGGCTCAAGCAATCCTCCCACCTCAGACTCCCAGGTAGCTGGAACTACAGACATGCATCGCCATGCTCGGCTGATTTTTAAAATTTGTTTTGTAAAGACAAGGTTTCCCAATGTTGCTCAGGCTGGTCTTGAACTCCTGGGCTCAAGAGATGCACCCACCTTGGCCTCCCAAAGTCCTGAGATTACAGGTGTGAGCTACTGCACCTGGCCTGGTTTGTTCTTTTAGCAGCACCTGTCACTCTAGAGCTGAGAACTTCCTGTCTCATGTAGTGTGGATGCCCAGCTCCTAGAGTACGTGCTTACCACATGACCCACCAGGAGGGTCAGCTACCCCTTCCTCAGATCCTTCAGGAGCACTTTCTCTGGGCCAGGCACTGTGCAAAGCTCTTTGTTTACTGTCTCCAATTTAATCCTCCTAAGGAGGTCGTGGGTTAGGCATTCTTTGGTCCGGTTTACAGACAAGAAGAAAGTTACTTGGTCAAGGTGCACAGCTAGTAAGGCTGGTGGTGGGAATTCAGACCCTGGTCTGTCTGCCTGCTCCAGGTGCACCCTGAGTTTGCCCTTGGCAGTGCTGCCAAGTGACAACTTGGAGGCCTGGGGGCAGCCACCTCATGACTCACTGAGCATTGAGTAAAGCGAAGCAGCCCTTTGTCTCCTATCACTAGCTTTTCTCCTTAACTTGTCACAACTCCAAGTTGGCAGTTTACCGTTAAGGACAAGTCCTCCAAGTGGACTTCTAGAGGGGACTGGAGGGCAGTGCCTGGTTCTCATTCTGTGCCTCAGCTTCATCACCTAGGGAACGGGATACTTTATTAACTGACTTATGGGGCTGTTGTGTTTAGAACAGTGCCTGGAGCATAGTTAAGTGCTCAATAAGTATTAGCTATTATTTTATCAGACTATCATTTATCGGGAAAGCTTCCTCTAAGTTTTAGTGTTCTTTCTAAATTTCTTTTTTTTATTTAGAGATGGGGTTTTACCATGTTGCCCAGGCTGGTCTCAAACTTGTAGGCTTAAGCGATCTGCCTGTCTCAGCCTCCCACAGTGGTGGGATTACAGGCATGAACTACCACGCCGGGCCATTTTAATGAATTCTTGTTATAGCCATTAGAGTACCACTCACTGCCTTTGCCTTTGCCTCTAGATATGGGGGCACTTCTTGTTGGGGGTCCACAACCCCCTAAGCTTGGACACTGAGTGCATATTACAACTTAGTAAATACTTTTATGTCCAGTATTTCATTTGAGCTAGTTGAAGCCTCAGGCTGTGTGTGCACAAGACTCTCCCAGGGTCAGGTACTAATGGCTGCCATTTCTGGAGCAGCCCCATCAGAGGAGATGTGACTCTAGGGTACCCCCAAAGGCACTTGGCATGGGATTTGAAAGCAGGCCGCCTGACTGTGGGCTGCTGTCTCCTGTGCCCAGCTGTTCCTGGTGTCATGTGCTGAGCCCTCCCTTCCCCCTCCTCAGCTGAGAGCAGCACCAACACCACCCAGGATGAGCAGCGCAGGTGGCCAGGCTGTGACCAGCAGGACGAGATGCTCAACCTGGGCTTCACCATTGGTTCCTTCGTGCTCAGCGCCACCACCCTGCCACTGGGGATCCTCATGGACCGCTTTGGCCCCCGACCCGTGCGGCTGGTTGGCAGGTGAGGTGGCTGGGCTATGGGGAACGGGAGGACAGGGACCGTGCTGCAGGGGGAGGGGAGGGGGGGTGCTCACAGGCCAACCCCTCGCCCTTCCCTGTGTCTCCACAGTGCCTGCTTCACTGCGTCCTGCACCCTCATGGCCCTGGCCTCCCGGGACGTGGAAGGTGAGTTGTCTGTCCTCTTGTGGCCCCACAAGAAAAGAATAGGTGGGATGAAGGCGGATGTTTACCCCAGCTCCCGCCCTTGGCTTCCCACAGCTCCCCAAATGCCCTCATCTGCTGCTTTCCCCTTTCCAGCTCTGTCTCCGTTGATATTCCTGGCGCTGTCCCTGAATGGCTTTGGTGGCATCTGCCTAACGTTCACTTCACTCACGGTGAGTGTCACAGGCCTGGCCTGGCAGCAGAGTTCCCCCGAGTGGGGTGAGGGCAGAGTGAGTGGGGTGAGGGCAGTATGAATGGGCTGGGGGAGGGGCCTGTGGACGCAGATCACTAGATCAAGTGAGTGTGTGAGAAACTGTGCAGGTGGCTGCAAAGAGCAGGTGTGAGGCTGTGTGTGTGTGGATGAGGCTGTGTGTCGGGGTGTATGTTAATGTGTGTGTTTGTGTGTACAGAGCCCATGAATGTCCATGGAGCTCTGTTCTAGGTCCTGGACTACAGCACAATCAGGACTGACCGAGTCATCCTCCCTGCTGGAGGTTACATTTTGGGGGTGAGGGGCACAGATAACCCAATAAACAAGTAAACTAATAAATTATGTCAGTCGTCATAGGTGCTGGGAAGAAAATAAAACTGGGTAACATGATCTTGAGGGGGAGGGAGCAGCTTGAGATAGCGTGTGCACGCTTGCCATGTCGTGGGAGAGTGGGTGTGTGACCCCGTCCCTGTGAAAGCCATGAGTTGGTAGGTGTGTTTGTGAGTGTACTAGGTTGAACCATATGAAATTGTCGACACCTCGTCGTGCACATGGCTTGACCTATTACATGTGGTGAGTGGTGTATGTGTGTTGCTCAAAGTGTGTTTATTTATGTGAGTGTGTAAACGCGTTAAAGGCTTAGGAGTGTTAAAGGCTTAGGGAGGTTGGAGGGGAAGGTTCCTGGCCGGGCTGGCTCGGACTGTTTATCTCTGAGAAGGGCTGCCTGACTGGGTGGTTTTGGCTGAATTTCACCTCTCCCCAGCAGCCGCCTTTAATTCCAACCGGGGACATTTCACAGCTCTAAAGGAAGGAAGCGGATCCCTTTCTCCCCGCCCCTCTGCGCAGCCCCTTCTCCCTGCTGTGCAACTTGGCCCAGGGCCCTAAATCCCTTCTCTCCGGCGCTTGACCTCAGACCCTCCCTGGCGGCCGGGTGGGGCTTGTCCAGCGGCTCCTCCCTGCTATGTCCCCGCCTCCTGTAATCTCCAGCCAATGGCAGGGTCCGGCGCTGGCACCGCCCCTCAGCCTCTCCCCGCTCCCTCTGGCCGGCCCCGCCCCCTGGGCCGCTGCTCTTGGCCCAGACTTGGACGAGGACGTCCCGTGCTGAGTCTTGCGGGCCCAGCTGCTGTTGCCACGCACGCTGCAAGGCCGCCAGCCCGGGGTTAGCCGGCCGGCCTCGCCTTACCCACGGTACTGGGCGCAGACAGCGTTTGTGGCCCCTTGGAGGGGAGGGGGCCCTGCCCCTCTCCAGGCCTGGCAGCCTTCCGTGGCGTCCTTGGCAGTGGTGCCTCACGGATGCAGGGTGCAGGAAAACCTCTGCCTGAGTGGGTAGAGGTTTTTCCTGAGCCAGCCACTTCAGGGGAAGGGGGAAGGATAATTTAGTTATATGTGTTTAAACACCATTTTTTTTTTTTTTGTTGAGACGGAGTCTCGCAGTGTCGCCCAGGCTGGAGTGCAGTGGCGCGATCTCGGCTCACTGCAACCTCTGCCTCCTAGGTTCAAGCAATTCTCCTGCCTCAGCCTCCCGAGTAGCTGGGACTACAGGTGCACGCCTCCACGCCCGGCTAATTTTTTCGTATTTTAGTGGAGACGGGGTTTCACCGTGTTGCTCAGGCTGGTCGCGAACTCCTGAGCTCAGGCAATCCACCCGCCTCGGCCTCCCAAAGTGCTGGGATTACAGGTGTGAGCCACTGCGCCCGGCCTAAACGCCTTTTTTACCAGAGCTGTTGAGGCCTCCCTTCAGAGTCTCAGTTTCCCCCTCTGTGGAGTGTGTTTAGGCTTTGTACGGATCCTAAGGTCCTTCTCAGCTGTGGGATCTAGTGACTTGGGGAGGATGGTGGGGCCAGAGGAGGGTGTGTGCGAAGGGCATCCTGACTTTGCCTTCCCCTGCCCTGAGGGCTTGGCTGAGGCAGGTGAGTGGAACACATGATCAATTAAATTCTCTCCTGGTGTGGGTTCTGACCCTGCTCTGCGTCAGAGCCACCTCCTCTGGAGACTGTCTGCCCTGGCTCAGTTCCCTCCCTTATTTCCACCCTCACCTCCCAGGATGTGATTTGTCCTGATTAGGCAGAAACTGGGCTGGGACGTCAACCGAGAGGGTTAAGAGGCACTGCCTATTACCGGGACACAGCCATGGTCACAGCCTTGGGTTAGGGCTGGGACAACGACAATGGGGAGAAAGCCATTAATGTGCTCTGTGAACTTGAGTACACTTTTCCTCCCTGGGTCTCAATTGTCTCATCTCAAATGGGTTGGACAAGATCACTGTTTCTTTCTTTTCTTTTCTTTTTTTTTGGGGGGTGGGGACATAGTCTCGCTCTGTCACCCAGGCTAAAGTGCAGTGGTGCGATCTCGGCTCACTGCAACCTCCACCTCCCAGGTTCAAGCGATTCTCCTGCCTCAGCCTCTGGAGTAGGTGGGATTACAGGCGCATGCCACCATGCCTAGCTAATTTTTGTATTTTTGGTGGAGATGGGGTTTCACCATGTTGTCCAGGCTGGTCTTGAACTCCTGACCTCAAGCTTCCCACCAGCTTCGGCTTCCCAAAGTGCTGGGATTACAGGCATGAGCCACTGCGCCCAGCCAAGATCAGTGTTTCTTAAGCACCTATTCCATGTGTTTTTCAGAGGTGTTACGTAACAAACTTGGGAAACCTGGAATTAAACAAAATTAACAAAATGTCTCTCTGAGGGGTGTCTGGGAGCCTTTTTGAAGCTAAAGGGCACTGTGACTGTGTAGGCAGGGGGCAGAGTACAGTTTCCCACATTGATTTTTCTGTTTGTTTTACCTTGGGGCTTTTCTGCTGCGTCTCCTGGGGCTATTGTATGGAGCAGGGCTGGGAATGCTGGGCAAGGGTCACGGTGTCCCCACCTCATGGGTGCTGCTTTCCCTCCTCAGCTGCCCAACATGTTTGGGAACCTGCGCTCCACGTTAATGGCCCTCATGATTGGCTCTTACGCCTCTTCTGCCATTACGTTCCCAGGAATCAAGGTATGAGGCCACCTGGGTTTTCTTTTTGTCTTGACACAAGAACCGGGTGGGGCCGAGTGAGCAGCAGCTAGTGCTGACCCACGGGTCTGACTTCTCCGCTCTCCTTTCTCTGTCATCATCCCAATGCAGGCCTTCCCCCTCTCTCCTGGGCCACAGCAAGCTTTCTCAGCTGGTCTCCCTGCCTCTGATTCTTTTTCTCTGTACTCTGTCACTCACGTGACTTCCAGAAAGATCTCAGATGGGGAACTGGCTCACACACTGCTGAAAAACCTTCAGTGGTTTAGCTTCACCTACAGAATCAAGTCCAGCCCCTTCACATGCGTTCAAGGTCCCTGACTCTCTGGCTTTATTCAGCCTTTGGGGCCACATTTTTCCACACCTTCCAGAGAGGATGGGTGGTTTGGTCCAAGGTCACAAAGTGAGTTTATGCCAGGCTGGATCCTGGACAGGTCAACCTGGTGTACCTCGAAGCCAGGGGACCAAAGTTTTAGCTCAGTGCAAGATGGGGGCCTCAATTTCCTCTGTCAAATATCAAAGGACCCTTTGACTGAGCCATGCCATGCTCCTCAACCTCCACGGTGGGCAGTACCAAACTGCATACCGTTTTGCACTTTACAAAGAGTACTAAAGAAGGTACTTTTGCTCAGTGTCTCCAAAGGAGTTTGAGAGAGCGCATGGGTGGGGGGGCCATCAGTTGTTCTGGTGGGCAGGCATGGAGGGTGGGCAGTTCTCCCTTCTTTTCAACTGAAGTAGTGTTTGAAGAGCCAGATCTTACCTCCACACATTTGGGGGTGTGGCCCTTTGAAGCTCTGTCCTGCCCCTAGGGAGGAAAAGGCACCAAGGTCCAAGACTGCAGAGAAAAAGGTTTGAGCAGGAGCCTGAGGGGAGAGCAGACATTAATTATCCTGGTCAGATGGTATGGGGAGGACAAGAGGACAGATGGTGCATCAGCTTCTTCCATAAGAAGGGCTGACACATTTGCACAGAATCTCATTCAATTGAGAACTTACCTGCCCTGGGGTTGAGAGCCCTTGGGCAGAGCACTTGCACCTCCCTCTCCCCAACCCCCCCAGTTGTTGCACGTGGGAGGACCTGGGAAAGGTGAGAAAAGGCTGAGCATGAGCAGTCTGGGTTTGCCTTTTCCCCTGGGGAATGTGCCAGGAAGGGGCAGGATAAACACGATTAGGCCCGGTAAACCTAGAGCACTAAGTTTCCTTTGTACGTACTATGAAATGGACATTTTTGTGCGAACATGAACATGAATGTTTGTGGAGTCATAGGCAAAAATGTATGTATTTTTTTAAGATAATGGAAATTTCAGAGATATTTTGAGCCAGTGGCCAGCAACTTCAGGCTTTGTGGAGACTATTTCATAGCTCTCTAGGGGGCCTCAAGTGAAAAAGAAAAAGGAATGATGGGTCTTCTGAGTCTGACTCTAAACTTCTGGTCTTGGTTTCCTCATCTGCAAATTGGGCACAAGGACAAGGGGAGAAGAGAACTTCTTTAAGGCCTCTGAGGCCTGGGATCTACCTTGGTGGGGTCTGGGGCCAGGCAGTCTCCCCCACGGGCCTGCCCCCTCCTCTCACAGCTGATCTACGATGCCGGTGTGGCCTTCGTGGTCATCATGTTCACCTGGTCTGGCCTGGCCTGCCTTATCTTTCTGAACTGCACCCTCAACTGGCCCATCGAAGCCTTTCCTGCCCCTGAGGAAGTCAATTACACGTGAGTGGCTGGAGTGGGCAGAGACTCTCCCTGGGGCAGAGAGGGCTGTGGTGATATGATAGACGGAATTAACTTTGGATTCAGAGAGACCTCGGCTTGGACCTCTGCTTGGCAAATCGCTTGAGCCCTCCAAGCTCTGCTTTCTCATCTGTACTATGAGCCTGTTCCTACCTACCCACAGGTCGCTTTTGTTTGTTTGTTTGTTTAGAGGCAGTGTCTTGCTCTGTCACTCAGGCTGGAGTGTAGTGTCTTGGTCCTGGCTCACTGCAACCTAAAACTGCTGGGCTCAAGCGAACCTCTCCCTCTGCCTCCCGAGGAGCTGGGGTTACAGGCACACACCACCATGCCCAGTTAATTTTTTTATTTTTTGTAGAGACAGGGCTTACTGTGTTACCTAGGCTGGTTTTGAACTCCTGGCCTTAAGGGATCCTCCCCCCTTGCCCTTCCAAAGTGTCCGATTACAGGCGTGAGCCACTGTGCCCAGCCTCCCATGGGTGTTTTTAAGTAATACAGTTGGCACATAACAGGTGGTCAAAACATGGTAAATATTTATTTATTTATTTATTTATTTTTGAGACAGAGTCTCATTCTGTCGCCCAGGCTGGAGTGCAGTGGCATGATTTCAGTGAACTGCAACCTCTGCCTCCTGAATAGCTGGGATTACAGGCACGCGCCACCACACCCAGCTAATTTTTGTATTTTTTAGTGGAGACGGGGTTTCACCATGTTGGCCAGGCTGGTCTTGAACTCCTGGCCTCAAGTGATCCGCCTGGCTCAGCCTCCCAAAGTGCTGGGATTGCAGGCGTGAGCCACCATGCTCAGCTCATGGTAACTATTTATGTGGGTGCAAAAGTAATTGTGGTTTTTGCCATTAAAAGTAATGGGCCAGGCGCAGTGGGTCATGCCTATAATCCCAGCACTTTGGGAGGCCGAAGAGGGTGGATCGCCTGAGGTCGGGAGTTCTAGACCAGCCTGACCAACATGGAGAAACACCGTCTCTACTAAAAATACAAAATTAGCTGGGTGTGGTGGTGCATGCCTGTAATCCCAGCTAGTCAGGAGGCTGAGGCAGGAGAATCACTTGAACCCTAGAGGCTGAGGTTGCGGTGAGCCGAGATCGTGCCATTGCACTCCAGCCTGGGCAACAAGATCAAAAACTCCGTCTCAAAAAAAAAAAAAAAGTAATGACAAATACTGTTTTCATCCTTTCTGGGTTTGGAGGAGATCTGAGTAGGAGGCACCTCAGCAATGGCACTCGATGCCATGTGGTCCCAAAAAGAGGGACATAAAAGAATCAAGCACCCCATCTTTTGTGGAGCCACCTGAATGCCAACTTTTTCCAGCCCCCTGTCAGTTCAGCAGAGGCAAGAGGTGATACTCCACACCAAGCACATAAGGTGACATTACAGAACTGACAGTTATGCCAGGCACTGTACTTAGCCCCTATACCATCCTCAAACAGCTGTATGATGTAGATTGGGTATTAACCCCATTAATAACAAAAGTACAGGGAACAAAGTGACTTTCCAAAGGTCATGCCATTCAAAGGAGGGTGAATCTTAGGTTGGACGCAGGCTGTCTGACTCTGGAGTCTGAGGTGTTAATGCTGCCTCCTCCATGGGAACAGCCCAAGTGAAAAACAGCTGATCCACTCTTCATTTACTTGGCATCTGTGCTAAGCTGGTCCCTGAGCCAAGCTCTGAGCAACAGAAACAGAAGCTCTGCATTAGGAGCTTGTGAGCATGTCAATGCCGGGTAAAGGAGTGCTGGAAACCGCTGGGATGGCCGCCGAGCACTAGGCCGTTGAAGGTGGGCTCTGTGTGACTGGTTCCTCTACACTCTGGCCTGGCTGCCTGCAGGAAGAAGATCAAGCTGAGTGGGCTGGCCCTGGACCACAAGGTGACAGGTGACCTCTTCTACACCCATGTGACCACCATGGGCCAGAGGCTCAGCCAGAAGGCCCCCAGCCTGGAGGACGGTTCGGATGCCTTCATGTCACCCCAGGATGTTCGGGGCACCTCAGAAAACCTTCCTGAGAGTGAGTGTCTGGTCAAGGTGCCGGCCTTGGGGGATAGTGATGGTGGGTCCTCATATTCAGTGAGCACTCATGGTTGAGTATTTATTCGCACCCCTCTTCAGTCCTTACAACACCCCATGATGTAGGTGGGGCATGCTCCTCATTTACAGATGGGCACATCAAAGCTCAGCTAACGCTGGGAAGTTCAGATTCAGGGTTACCCTGCTGGATTCCTGGGATTGGGGAGGGAGGAGCTTCCAAAATGGGGACAAGGTCTCTGGGCCTGTCGGGTAGCTGGTTTCCTCAGGGCCCCTTGCAACCTCTGAGCTTATTGCATCAGGTGCAGCCAGGCCCGTGAGCCTCCTGGCAGGGGTCCTCCACACCTGGCTGTCTTTTGCCCCCTGCTGGTCACAGGAGGAGCTGCAGCACCTGCCTGGGCTGCTTCTCAGGAGGGTACATGAAGATCCCAGGACCGCCAGCTCCATGATAAGTGGAAGGAGCTCCTTGGAGTCAGGAGCGGGAGTTGAGGAGTTTGAGTCCTGCTCTCCAGTTATAGGCTATGTGACTTGTGTAGATCACCTAACCTTGCTCTTGATTTCCTTACCTCTTAAACTAGCACTAAAAGCACCCCACAAACTGTAAAGTTAGTTGTGATGATTGAATGACACCATGGGTGTGGAAGCTCTTTGTAAAGTGCAAAACGGTGTGCAGTTTGAGGGTGGTTACCCCCAGTGCCGATTCTCAGAGGGCAACATGGCTAAGGGCACGAGCTGGAGTTAGGCTGACCTGCTGCTTCCAGCCCTGTGAGCTTGAGCAAGTCATTTAACTTCCTGAGCTGCAGTTTCCTCATCAGTAAAATGTGATAAGGATAGGGTTGTTGTAAGATTTTATTAAATGGGGTAATAAATGTCAAGTATGTAGCCCATAGTGAGTGCTTCAGAGTTTTTTTCTTTTGTTTCTTTCCCCCCCGCCCCGAGATGGAGCCTTACTCTGTTGCCCAGGCTGGAGTGCAGTGGCATGATCTTGGCTCACTGCAACCTCCGCCTCCCGGGTTCAAGCAATTCTCCTGCCTCAGCCTCCCAAATAGCTGGGACTACAGGCGTGCACCACCATGCTCGGCTAATTTTTGTATCTTTAGTAGAGACGGGGTTTCACCATGTTGGCCAGGCTGGTCTCGAACTCCTGACCTCATGATGCTCCTGCCTCAGCCTCCGAAAGTTTTGGGATTACAAGTGTGAGCCACCGTGCCCTGCCAGGTTTTTTTTTTTTTTTTTTTTTGTAAAATAGAGACAGGGTATTGCTGTTGCCTGGGCTGGAGTGCGGTAGTGCAATCATAGTTCACTGCAGCCTTGACCTCCTGGGCTCAAGTGATCCTCCTGCCTCAGCCTCCTGAGTAGCTGGGAATACAGGTGTGCACAACCATGCCTGGCTTATTTTTTTATATATATATATATATATATATATATATATATATATACACAAAATTATATATATTATATTATTATATATTATATTATATATTATATTATTTTTTATATATAAATTATATATATATTTATATTATATTTTATATATATATATATTTTTTAGAGATAGGGTCTTGCTATGTTGACCACCAGGCTGGTCTTGAACTCCTGGGCTCAAGCAATCCTCCTGCCTCAGCCTCCTGAGTAGCTGGGAATACAGGTGTGCACCACCATGCCTGGCTTATTTCATATATATATATTTTTATATATATGTATATTTATATATATAAATATATATATAATTTCTGTATATAAATAAATAAATAAATATATATATATATTTTTAGAGATAGGGTCTTGCTATGTTGACCACCAGGTCTTGAACTCCTGGGCTCAAGTGATCCTCCTACCTCTGCCTTTCAAAGTGTTGGGATTACAGGCGTGAGCCATGGCACCTAACTGAGTTATTTTTACCACACGAAGCATAGGACATACATCCAAAAATGTTCTGAGCTGAGCAAGAGCCTGGAGGCAAGTGAATCTGAACTTTCCCGTCTTTGAAGAAACCAGTCTCTCTCCAAAGTCACATAGTTAGTGTCACTCCCCCCAAGAACTGCATGAGCTGGGACAATCAGAGGGCAGTGGAAGGTCTGGGGCTCAGGGGCGCCCCCTGCTGTCTCCCCAGGGTCTGTCCCCTTACGCAAGAGCCTCTGCTCCCCCACTTTCCTGTGGAGCCTCCTCACCATGGGCATGACCCAGCTGCGGATCATCTTCTACATGGCTGCTGTGAACAAGATGCTGGAGTACCTTGTGACTGGTGGCCAGGAGCATGGTGAGGCACCGCTGAGGCCCCTGGGGGTTGGGGGCACAGGCGGGTCACCCTGGCTGAGCTCCCCTCACCATACGTTTCCCTACCCACAGAGACAAATGAACAGCAACAAAAGGTGGCAGAGACAGGTAGGGCTATGAAAGCAGGGCCCTGGCTCACGCCCACCCCACTGCAACCCGCTTCTCAGGGGGCGGGACTCCTCTAGGCCTGGGCCCACCCAGGTAACCCTTTTGTGGGATGTAAGAGTCTGGGTTCAGAGGAAGGCTATTTTGGTGCTCTCTGGCCTCCGCTGGAAGGGGTGATAGTGTCCACTGAGTGCCAGTTCCTGACCCCACTGCCCTTCCCATCCTGCCCAGTTGGGTTCTACTCCTCCGTCTTCGGGGCCATGCAGCTGTTGTGCCTTCTCACCTGCCCCCTCATTGGCTACATCATGGACTGGCGGATCAAGGACTGCGTGGACGCCCCAACTCAGGGCACTGTCCTCGGAGATGCCAGGTGACCTGCCTGTACAGGGATGGTGACAGCAAGTGGTCAGGCAGTGCTTTTCATTTTCTCTGTGCGTTTACATCCAGCAACTTGTTGCTTTCTCCCAAGAACCCTAGGAGATCAGGGGTACCTCCCCATTTTACAGATGAGGAAACTGAGGCTAGGAAGGGACCTGGCTTGCTTAATAATAAGAATAGCTAATGCAGAGTGCTGACTGTGCACTTGGCACCTTGCCTTGTTTAGTCCTACAACACCTCTTTGAGGTAGATGCGTTAATATCTTCATTTTGCAGTTGAGGAAACCGAGGTACAGGGTTGCACAGTTAGGTCATTCACCCAAGATCACACAGCTTTCAGTGGCAGCCTCCAGAACCTGTGTTATAAGGGTACACGCTAAAGTCTTGTTAGGGCTAGAATAGGTAGAGTTGGTATATTAGATATTTATTGCTGTATAACAAATCACCCCAAGGCTTGGCATTTTAAAACAACAAACACTTCTCATCTCATACAGTTTCTGACAGTCAGAAATCAGGGAGAGACTCAGCCGGCTGATTCTGAGTCACAGTCTCTCATGAAGACATAGTCAGGCTGTCAGCCAGGGCTGCAGTCATCTGAAGGGCTGACTGGGGTTGGAGAATCTATGTCAGTTCAATTACCCCCATGGCCTCTCCATAGGGCTGCTCAGGACACAGCACCTGCTTTCCCTTGAGCAAGAGGGCTAAGCGACAGAGACCCCGTATCTTCTCTCACATAATCTCAGACGTAGCATACCATCACTTCTGTTACGTTCTATTATAGGCACAGAGCAACCCTGATATACTGTGGAAGGAGACTGGACAAAGCAGGGGAATACCAGGAGGCAGGATCCTTGAGGGCTGTCTTGTTGGCTGGAGACCACCATTGAGGGTTTTTTTTTTTTTTTTTATTGAGACAGTCTTGCTCTGTCGCCCAGGCTGGAGTGCAGTGGCACGATCTCAGCTCACTGCAACCTCTGCCTCCCAGGTTCAAGCGATTCTCCTGCCTCAGCCTCCCGAGTAGCTGGGATTCACCATGGAGTCTTGAACCCAGATTCTGTGACTGCTTTTGCTCTTTTTGTGTTCATCCAAACAGTCCCTGTTTATCCTAAGAGGATGGGAGAAAGAGACTGGGAGAGAAGGAAATCCAGTGGCCTCCCTCCCTGCTAGCAGAGCCTGGCCCTGGCACTGAGCCTTCCTCCTCTACCCTCTGCTCCTAATGGTGAGGGTCCCCTAGCAGGGCCCTTCTGTCCAGGACACATGGGCCGCCTGTCCTCACCCCAGCCTACTGACCTCTCTCCTGGGCTGGCCTCAGTGCCCTTGATTGTGCCGGAGAGAGGAAGCGCTGGACAGTCAGGCCAAGCTGCTGTCCCCAGGAGGGCATCTGCTTATGTCTAGGGCAGGGACACCTTCCTGAGGACTTCTGATGAGAGACGGTGTGAGAGCTTCCCACTTCCCACCTTCCTTCCCATCCTTGGTTCTCAAACCTTCAAGTGTGCATGAGAATCACTTAGTGGGGGATATTTGTCCAAATGCAGATTTGCAGATATCCCCGCTGAGATTCTGAGGGCCGAGATGAGGCCTGTGAATCTGCATGTTAAGAAAGCACCCGCTTTGATGCGTGTGTCATTGGGTAGGGGAGCAACACTTTGAGAAACATGGAGCTAGAGAACGTGGGTTTCTATGGGTTTCCCATAGAAACATGGATTTCTGTGTTTTCTGCTGCCCTGACATCGAAGGCACATCTGAAGGGGGAGGGGCCAGGCCAAGAACCAGGGAGTCCTGGGAACGTAGAGGCAGCAGCCAGTGACTTCCCGTACTCCTCAGGGACGGGGTTGCTACCAAATCCATCAGACCACGCTACTGCAAGATCCAAAAGCTCACCAATGCCATCAGTGCCTTCACCCTGACCAACCTGCTGCTTGTGGGTTTTGGCATCACCTGTCTCATCAACAACTTACACCTCCAGGTACCCACCTTCATCCTTCCCCTCTCCCTGCCTCCCGAGGCTCCTCCAAAGGGATGGTCCATCCAGCACCTGCCTTCCAGGAAGCGCAGTTCTGGTCTTCTGATCTGGATCTATTTTCCGGGTTCTCCAGGAAGTGTTTCTAGTAGATTGGGTTGGCGAGGGGGTGGGAATTGAGGCCCAGTTGGCCTCTTCGCCCTACCCCTCCTTCCTCCAGCCTCCACACACTCTCCTAACCTCTTCACTCTCTCTTTTTGGTTTTAGTTTGTGACCTTTGTCCTGCACACCATTGTTCGAGGTTTCTTCCACTCAGCCTGTGGGAGTCTCTATGCTGCAGTGTGAGTCTGTTGGGCTGAAATGCCTTCCTGAGCTTTGCAACCGTGATCAGAGAACCCCAGGGAAGGGTTGGGAGGGCCCCAGGCATCCCCTAATGCACCTCTCTCTGAGACCCTCTGATGGCAGGGAGCTCACTTCCTTAAAGGCAGCCTATCCTGCTGTAATTGACTCCCCCTGTTGGAGTCTTCCCTTAGAGGAAGCTGAAATACCTGGCTTGATGACACTTTGGTTCTATGTCTGCTGTTTGAAACGGCCCCCAGAATGGCCTCCCCTCCATGCCCACCCTGAAGAAATTTCCCAAGGGCAGCCATTTGCCTTATAATTTTCCTCTTCATGTTGGACAGTCCCCACTTGCATCTCTCTCCTGGTTTCCCCTGCTGGGCGCTGCTGAGGGACTCTCCCCTGTGTATGTGATGGAGTAACAGGACATTACAATAATGATGACAAAATGACAACCATTATCAAGTGCTCCGTTGGTGCAGGCAGCAGGCAGGATCCTTGACCATCACTCCCTGAGTTCAGCCTCACTGCAGCGGTCTCGGCAGAGGGCAGCTCTCTTTCCTTCATCTGCTCAAGCCAGAACCCTGGAGTTTCCTTGATGTTTCTCTCCCTCACACTCCATGTTCACTCCGTCCTCAGTACAGCCAGCAGCAGCTTCTACACACCCCAAATCTGACCCTTCTTGTCACCTCCACTGCTGCCTCTCCAGTCCTAGCCACCAACATCTCTAGCCTGGATTATTGTGGCAGCCTTTAGTCTCCCACATCTGCCCTGGCCCCGCTGTCTCAGTCTATTTTTAACACAGGGGCTGCAGTCACCTGTCAGGACATAAGTCTCTTCACATCACTCTGTGGTGTCCTGTCTCATCTGTCTCAGAGTAAAAGCCAAAGGCTTTACTATGGCCTAAAAAGCCCTGCAAGCTCTGGCCCCAGCACTTCACTCCCCTCTAGCTCCCCCTCCTCCATTGTTCACTCTGCCACAGCCACAGTGCTTCCTAGTGCTCCGGAAGTCTCAAGTGTGTTCCCTGCTTGGCATCTTTGCATGTACTAGTCCCTGTTTCTAGAACATTCTTCTCCAGATATCTGCAAGGTGCCCAATCTTACCTTCTCTCCTTCTTCAGGTCTTTCCCTGACTGTCCTCTTCTCAGTGAGGCCTCCCTTGGCTGTCCCATGTACAATTGCAACCTCCCTACTGCCCGCTTCTCTGCTTGGTTTTTCTCAGCGTTTATCACTAACACTCTGCCTATCTCTTGCTTATTGTCTGACCGCCACCTGCTCCATGGGAATGCCACCTCCTCGATGGCAGGAATCTGTTGACTTGCTTGATCGTGGTATCTCCAGCACCTAGAGCAGTGCCTGGCACATAGTAGGTTCTCAGCTAAATGTTTGTTGACAGAATACAGTGGACAGTCCTGCGAGGTCAATGCCATCCCTGTTATTAGTGGAGGAAGTGGGGCTCAGGGAGTTTGAGCCACTTGCCAATATCACACATACAGGAGGTGTGAGAACCCAGCTCAGTGGCCCTGAAGTTGGAGCATTTGCCCTCAAGGCTGGGGACCAAAGAGCCCATGCAAAGAGCCCGAACGCTTAAGCACCACCCTGCCTGGCCAGCGGGGACCATGGTGGGGAGGGGATAGGAGAGGTGCTGGCCTGGGCTGGAGAGGGCCACACACCCCTGATACTCCCCGTCTCGTGGACAGGTTCCCATCCAACCACTTTGGGACGCTGACAGGCCTGCAGTCCCTCATCAGTGCTGTGTTCGCCTTGCTTCAGCAGCCACTTTTCATGGCGATGGTGGGACCCCTGAAAGGAGAGCCCTTCTGGGTGAGAGCGAGGGTTGGTGTGGGGGGAGCAGGAGCCACTCTCCTGGGGGCAGGGGTAGGGCCTTGTATGTGGTGCCATCCCTCACTCATCTCAGCCAGAGGCACCTCAGAGGTCTCTAATCTGCAGGTTTCCAAGTTGTCTGCCTTTTAGAACCCCTCACGGAGTGTTAAAAATACAGATTCCCCAGTCCCCTGAATCAGGATATCTCAGCCTGACTGTAGGAGTCTGTTTTTGTTTTTAATTTATTGTTATTTTATTTATTTATTTATTTTTATTTTTATTTTTTGAGACGGAGTCTCATTCTGTTGCCCAGGCTGGAGTGCAGTGGTGCGATCTCGGCTCACTGCAAGCTCCGCCTCCCGGGTTCATGCCATTCTCCTGCCTCAGCCTCTCAAGTAGCTGGGACCACAGGCGCCCACCACCACGCCCAGCTAATTTTTTTTTTTTTTTTGGATTTTTAGTAGAGACGGGGTTTCACCATGCTAGCCAGGATGGCCTCGATCTCCCGACCTCGTGATCTGCCCTCCTCAGCCTCCCAAAGTGCTGGGATTACATGCCTTAGCCACCGCGCCCGGCCCTATTGTTTTTTTTTTTTTGTAGAGAAGGTGTCTTGTTCTGTTGCCCAGTCTGGAGTGCAGTGGTAAAATCACAGCTCACTGCAGCCTCTGATTCCTGGGCTCAAGCGATCCTCCGGCCCCAGCCTTCTGAGTAGCTGCAACCACAGGTGATGGCTACCATACCTGGCTAATTTTTTAAAAAAAAATTTTGTACAGATAAACAGGGTCTTGCCATGTTGCACAGGCTAGTCTTAAACTCCTGGCCTCAAATGATCTTCTCACCTTGGCCTCCCAGAGTGCTGGGGTTACAGGCGTGAGCCACAGTGCCTGACCTCCTAGGAGTCTGTTTTTAGTAAACTCCAGGTGCTTTGTGAAGTGGCCAGTCCTGACTCTTGGGCCTGTGTTCAGGCACCATTGGTCCAATCCAGTTCTACCTAGTGTGGGATCCTGTCTCCAGCACCCCTGAAAGGGGACCCTTCCCTCTTAGCTTAGATACCCTCAGTGGTAGGGCACCCACTCCTGCACGAGGCAGCCCTGCTGCTGTTAGTAAGTCTTTTCCTTACATTGAACTCATCTGCCTCCCTGACGCTGATCTTTCATCTGCCCTGTGGGGCCACCCACACGTAAACCCTCCTCCCAAAGAATTGTGATGAAATAACTGCTTCTATTTACCAAGCACTCACTATGTGCTAAGCATGATGCATACTTTTTTTTAACTTACATCTTCGCCACAACAGCCCTGAGAAGGAGGCACTCAGTAAGAATTGCCATTATTTGCCCAAAGTCACACAGTGAGTAATGCAGAGTGGGATGTGAACCGAGTCAGAGCCCGCGTGTCCTGGGCCTTCCAAGCCTTCTGTCCACCAGGCTGTGCATCCCAGTTCCTTGAACTGTGTCTGAGAGCCTCCTCTCGCCACCCTGAACGGGATCCCATTGGTTAACATCTCCAAAGGTCAGAGGGGTGAGCCCAGAAGGCCCCATTTCGGGAGCAGCCTGACCAGCCCAGACTCCTACAGTGCTGTGCCTTCCTCATACCTACCTAGTGAGTGCCATATGGTGTGGGCACCCACCAGGCCCTGCCACTTGTTATACCTGAGAAGTCTCATCTCAGCCACTTTGCAGAATTGCTGAACATTAAGTGAGATACTGGTGGAACAATGACTACACATAATAAGTACTAGCTGTATTTATTCTGGCTCAGGACCTGGAGAAAAATGGCCGCCTTCTCCTCCCTGTGGGAGGCTAAGGGCAGATGACTACCTACTTGACTCTGTTTCTCTCTCCTTGCCCTAAAGGTGAATCTGGGCCTCCTGCTATTCTCACTCCTGGGATTCCTGTTGCCTTCCTACCTCTTCTATTACCGTGCCCGGCTCCAGCAGGAGTACGCCGCCAATGGGATGGGCCCACTGAAGGTGCTTAGCGGCTCTGAGGTGACCGCATAGACTTCTCAGACCAAGGGACCTGGATGACAGGCAATCAAGGCCTGAGCAACCAAAAGGAGTGCCCCATATGGCTTTTCTACCTGTAACATGCACATAGAGCCATGGCCGTAGATTTATAAATACCAAGAGAAGTTCTATTTTTGTAAAGACTGCAAAAAGGAGGAAAAAAAACCTTCAAAAACGCCCCCTAAGTCAACGCTCCATTGACTGAAGACAGTCCCTATCCTAGAGGGGTTGAGCCTTCTTCCTCCTTGGGTTGGAGGAGACCAGGGTGCCTCTTATCTCCTTCTAGCGGTCTGCCTCCTGGTACCTCTTGGGGGGATCGGCAAACAGGCTACCCCTGAGGTCCCATGTGCCATGAGTGTGCACACATGCATGTGTCTGTGTATGTGTGAATGTGAGAGAGACACAGCCCTCCTTTCAGAAGGAAAGGGGCCTGAGGTGCCAGCTGTGTCCTGGGTTAGGGGTTGGGGGTCGGCCCCTTCCAGGGCCAGGAGGGCAGGTTCCCTCTCTGGTGCTGCTGCTTGCAAGTCTTAGAGGAAATAAAAAGGGAAGTGAGAGACTGGCTGGTGTGCGCCTGTCTTTGGCGGTTGGTGGGGGGTGTCTTCCCACACCCCCATCCTTCTTCACCCAGGCTCAGCTGGGCATTAACTAGGACGCTTGGCATGCCAGCCCGTTCGCCTCTGGCTGTCTGGCTCACCTCCCTGTTCCCAACCATGCCCTGCCCTTAGTGCTTGGAGGGAGTCCAGCTCCTGCCCCCTACTTCCCAGGATTTGGGGTACATCCAGGAAGCTGGCTTTTCTCCATACAGAGGATTAGGACAGAATGCTTTAGAAAGAATGCTAAGGTATGACTCAAACTTCCCACCATAGCATCCCTAGGGCCTGCCGAAAGTAACACTTTTTTGGAGTCTCCTATTTTATCTTAAAACTTTATGCAAATTTTGAGCTTCCTTGTTATACTATATTTACATTTACCTTTAACATTAAAGTGAGGCTTTAAAGTAAATAAATAAATAACGTGAAGCTTTAAAATTATCTATATCAAGAGAAGACACCATCAGTGAGGACAAGAGATCCTGCAGAAAGACATACCTTATTTATCCAGCCCTGCACCTGCTTGTGCCTCTGGGACATAAGCCCTGGAGGTTAGAGCAAGTCCCCAAATGAAGGGAAAACTAACATTGGTTTAGGATCTGTCTGTTCTACACAGCTATCTCATTTTATCCAAACTATAGCCTAAGAGGTTGGTGTTGTCATTCTTTCTTGTCGCTGTAGGAAACAAGCCCAGAGAGGTTAAGGCACACACCCAAGGGCACACAGTGTTAGGTGGTGGAGCTCAATTTGGAACCTCGGCAGTCTGTGGAAAGGATAGCTCTGCAGAAAGGAGGTCCCAAGCTTCTTTCCGGTTCTCAGCTGCTCCTGGGGCCAAGAGTGACCTCAGAGGCCTTGGCCATCTCCCCCACCTCCAAAGGTTGGCTCTGTAAGACAGCATTCCAGCTAAGCCATTTTCCCTCCCTTTGTCTTTGTTTCTCTTGAGAAGTTAATAAGAGAGACTGTCCCCTCCGTTTTCAGATAGGAAAACCTGTCCTCAGGGGTCTGGAGACTTGGCAAAGTCACATCGCAGATCCCTGCTGCTCTGAGCCCAGACTCCCGACTTCCAACACTGACTTTTTTTGTTTTTGTAAAGTACAAAATCAGAATTGGCTAGCACCCACCAGCGGGTTCGGCTGGCTTTCAGTAGGCTTGCCGGGGTCTCTGCACTCTGTGTCCGGGATCCTCAATTTGCGAATAGTCTGGGGAGGCTGAGCGCGAGCCAGGAGCGGACCCGGGGGTGGGGGTAAGCGCCACGTGCGCGCCAGGTCCTTGGTGTGCCCGGCAGGCGGCGCTGCGTGGCTGCGGCTGGCTCCGAGGGTGCGGGGGGCGGCGACCCGGGAGGGAAAACCCCTGCCTCTTCCCGGGGCTTGCTCTGCCCGTCCTTTAAACTCGCCCTACACCCTCCCCGACTCCCGTCCTTGCAAGCGTTATCTGCAGCCTCACCGGCCCTCGCAACGGTGGTGGTGGTTGGTGGGGGGTCTCGAAGCTTGCCTCTGGCCAGCCGGACCCCGGTGGGAGATGGAGGCAGAAATTCCGGCCTCCTAGGAGAAGGGCGTCTGCTCACTCCCCCACTCCCCGGGGCTTGGGGAGGGGGCTGGGCAGGGGCGGAAGCGAGCTGGAGCCGTGTTTGTCGCGGCGCTGCGGAGTGGAACAGATGGCTGGGGAGGGGAGAGGGTGCGTGGCGGGGAGGAGGAGGGGTGCGGGGGCCGGAGGATAGGGAACGAGGAATTTCGAAGCCTGGAGTCTCCCAGGAGAAGCCCCCCTCCCCGTCTTTTCCCAGAAAGGGGGGCATATATGCGCCTGCCTTTTTCCCGGAGAGCCCTGGCCTCTGCCCTGTGGCAGACCCTGCCGCGCAATCCTCTGCCCCAGGGCGCGCCCCTCACCCCCAAACCCCCGCCGCGGGACGGGGTGGCGGGGTCAGGACCGCCAGGAGCGGCCCGGGTCGCGAGGGTTAATGGGGCCGCCCTCCCAGGGGCGAGGAGGCGGCGGGAAACGGGCTCGGGGTGGGGAACGAGTTCTGGGATCGCAAATAGCAAAGGAAAAACATGTTAATTGGAGCTTTATGCAGATGAGCTAGGACTGGGGACTGTGGGGTAGAAGGAGGGACAAGGTCGGACCTCGAGGAGCGTTGGTGGGCTCTGGCCGGGGGAGTGATGGACGCCTATCCAGGTATCTGCGTGTTGAGCCTCCCGGGAAGGCCGCTGGTGCCCGGGGATGAGAGGCTTCCTCTCTGACCCACCCCCCAGAAACAAGGTTGGGGGCTCTCCAGGGTCTCCACGTCCTCGGTCTCAGATTGCCACGAAGAGAGGGCGGGGTGCACCCTGCAAGTGTCTGCTTCGGTTTCTGGCTGCTGACCTGTCTCACCTTGGCTGTGGCCCCCTCCTCCCCGGTCTGGCTTGGTCTCCACTCACTTTGCCTCCTCTATCTGTTACTCCCCACACCTGGCATCACCCTTTCCACTCGGTATTGTCTGAAACCTTCCCCAAGTGTGACCCCTTCCCCCTTTGCATTTTCCTTTCTGCCCCCCACAGAACCACTCCACCTTTGAGGCGTGTCTCAAACTTTGGAGTGCTTCATAACCCACCTCCGCTTGCTAAAATGCAGATTCCAGGGCCCCCTTAGCTATCTGATTCAGCAGATCTGAGGGGCTCAGGAATCAGCTTCCTACTTAAATCAGATGCAAAAGGCCCTTATTTTATAGAAACACTGGGCAAGGGATTGGTGGGCTGGAAAGATTGGGTAAGTCTCCTTTGACAGCCCCCACCCCTTCCTCAGTGCTCACCTCTCCACACAGGAGAATTGAAACTTTCACCAAGTGCAGTCCTCTCTGCTTCTGTATGATGATACCAGGCGTGGAGAAGATGGAGGGAAGGAAGGAAGGAAGGAAGGAAGGAAGGAAGGA
This sequence comes from Homo sapiens, assembly GCF_000001405.40. Taxonomy (NCBI): domain Eukaryota; kingdom Metazoa; phylum Chordata; class Mammalia; order Primates; family Hominidae; genus Homo; species Homo sapiens. The sequence continues at coordinate 57,481,597 of NC_000011.10, read as the reverse complement.
AGGAAGGGAGGGAGGGAGGGAGGGAGGGAGGGAGGGAGGGAGGGAGGGAGGGAGGGATGAAGGAATGAGTCTGTGCCTGGCTCTTCTCTCTCTGAGCAGGGTCTTCCCTTCCTCTCTCCACTGCCCACTTCCCTCCCCTCTGCTAGGGCTTCGCCATCTATCCTCCTCTCTCACTCCACCAGCCTTGCACACTTTCTTATTTCTCTGCCACCTCCTCACCTGAAGTTTCTACAAAGGCCAAAGGATCTTGAGGTGGGGAGTTTGGGCCTGAAGAGAAAGGGGAGAACCAACCAAAGTTCCTACCTTCGAAGCAATAGCCAGAGACATCTTTGGGGTTGGAAGAAAAGCTGGAAGAGGGAGGCAGAACTTGAGGAAAGAGAATAATAACAGCAAGCATGTAGGTCACTTTGCCATGGGCTATTGCACTGAGTCCCCACAACAAATTGATTTAGGCTGGCACTATTGTCCCCAGCTTACAAAACAAAAACAAACCCACAGAACTCTAATGTTCAGAGAGGTTAAGTAACTTGCCCAAGGTCACACAGCTTACTAGTGGGAACATAACTAGGTCATTTACCCTTCTACTGTCCCAAAACCGTTTCTCCAGAGGCCACTGAATATCTGTCCCAGGCCTGCCCTCCTGCAGGGGCAATGGGGTTGGAGAAGGGCATCATGTACAGAGGTGAAAGGAGATGCTCAGTTTTCAGAACATCTGACAAGTCTATCTGGAAGCATTAAAAATTCATATAGAAACCTGACCCCAGCTGGACCTTGGGCCTGCCACCTGGTCTATCCCTGGCCTCCTGGACTCTCAGAGTCTGTTGGGAAATTTCCCTTCCACAGTGTCCTGAGAGTCCCAAGTCTGTATTTCATTGGAGAGGAGTTCCTCTCGGATTAGGGATCGAAAATTGGGAGCCCGCAGCTAGGGAAACAGGGCTGAGAACCGTCCCCCCCCTACTCTGGGTGTAAGAACCTTAGAGGCTTAAGGGCTTATAAACCTTATCATCTGGTGTCCTAGTCCTCTCCCCAGGCGGTTAGATGCTCATTCTCTGTTCTAGACGACTGAAGCCTGGCTGTGCTTCCCAAGGTGGCCAGTCGGGGGCAGCCGTCTGCTTGGAGGGAGCCAGAGCCTGAGCCTCTGTCTGCTGCTTTGAAGAACCCCTGTATATGGTCAGAGAGGTGCAGTCTTGGCCTTGGGAAAGGGCTCTGGAGTCTGAGATCTGAGGAGGGGGAAGAGGTTTCCTACTTCAGGAGAGACTGAGAAATTTTAGGGGGGCACTCAAAGTCGGTTGGTGGGTTTCACATACATGATAACTGGTGGCCAGTATGATACAAACGTTCTAGCTGGAGTGAAGGTTTGGGATGAGATTGTGAGAGAAAAGGCTAGAAAAGCAGTTGGTACCAGACTCTGAGGGATCTTTGATGCTCTGCTAAGGTGTTTTACCTTTACCCTATAGGCATTAGGAAGCCATTACAGGCTCCTGAGTGACATCATAACATATGCAAATTTTGATCAGATGAATCTGGTCACCACGGTATGGCTGGGTGGGAGGGAGGGAGAGATTCCATGTAGGAAACCAGCGAGGAGGTTATCGCAGTTTTCTTTTATATTCCAGGCATGAGGTAATGAGTAGCTGGAGCAGGGAGGTGGTGGGGAGAATGGGAAGGAAGGGATAGACTGTGGCTGGGTGGGGGACTGGGTAACTGAATAGATGCAGGAAATTAGAGAAAGGGAGGAGTTAATTACAACTAGGCTGGGTGTCTGGCAGACGAAAATGCAGAATGGGGGTACACTCAGAATGTGGGAGGTGAATGAATTTTGCTTTTTTCAGGGGATAGAGGAATCTCAGACAAATCCCTTCCTTTCTATGGCCTCAGTTTCCCCATCAGAGCATTGGTGGGGGTTGGGCTGGATGGCCTTGAACATCCCTCCTATCTCAGGGTGTGTGGGTCAAGGTGGTGAATCTGGGTTGTTTGGAGAGTTTGGGGGTCTGCGCATGTGAGATCGCTGGAGGTGATCTCTGCTGGGTCCTGATTGAGTGGGTGTGCATGTCAGTGTGCATGTCAGAATTTAGGGGACACCTGCCTGTTTGTGGGACCCGTGGGTGGTTGGTGTGCTTGCACGTGCTACATGGCTCTGCTTGGTGCGAGTGTGTGTGAGAGCTCGGGAGTGTGGGTGTGCACGTGATGGGCGTCCGTGGGTCTGTCTGGGCTGGTGGTGGGAGGGGTGGGGGTTGGTGGAGAGTGGCTTTGCTTCAGGCTTCTTCCTGAGGCTCACACACTCCTCTTGCTTTCACTGTTCTGAAATAGCATCTGGACCGATGGCCCATGAATATTTCACAATGATAATTCTATGACCTGGACAGCCTGCCTCTAATTTACCAGCAGCTCCCCTCCCCCTGCCCAGGCCCCAGCAGCCCCTCCTCCACCAGAGCTCTTGTCTGGCTGTCCCTCCAATCCAACCCATTAACCTCCTCACAGCCAGCCTGACACAAGCCCCTGCAAGACCCCAGACTCCGAGCTCCCTGGGTTTCTGACCAGCTGCTCTCACTCTCCCCCAGCCCACCCCACACCCTTAACCGGAGTCTACCTGCCTCAGGCTTAGATGCTGATTTCTTCTCCTTTCTTCTCTTCTTCTCAAGATCATTTGACCTCCCTAGCCAGAATCACAGAACCTCAGCCTGCTTCCTCAAGCCCTAGCATCTAGGCCCCCTCTATCTTTCTATTCCCACCTCCCAAGCTAGATTTTTTTTTTTTTTTTTTTTTTTTTTTTTAGACAGAGTCTCTGTCACCCAGGCTGGAGTGATTCTTGTGCCTCAGCCTCCTGAGTACCTGGGACTATAGGCACCCGCCGTCACGCCTGGCTAATTTTTTTGAATTTTTAGTAGAGACGGGGTTTCTGCCATGTTGGCCAGGCTGGTCTTGAACTCCTGACCTCAAGTGATCTGTCCACCTCAGCCTCCCAGAGTGCTGGGATTACAGACGTTGAGACATCACACCCCACTCCAAACTAGATTCTTAAAAAAACATTTTTAAGAGACTCAGTCTCGATATGTTGTCCAGGCTAGTCTCAAATTCTTGGCCTCAAGTGATCCTCCCACGTCAGCCTCCCAATTAGCTGGGATTACAGGTGCAAGCGACCACACCCTGCCCAAGCTAGATTCTTAGCTCCAAATTCAAACTACCAAACTTCTCTCCAAGTGCTCAGTCTGATGAGACTCACCCCTAAATCCCAACCCAAGTCCTTCTTAGCCTGAGCTCTTCCCAGTCCCCAGCCTCTCTTCCACACACCAGAAAGATGAAGGTTCTGATTGTACCTCAAGCCAGTAATGCATCCCAATTTGGGATTCCTGTCCCTCTGATCACCCGAGTTCCTCGGTCCCTCTTCTAGCCTGTTTGGAAACCTGCTTCTCTGACCTGGTTCATCCCTGATGGCTTCTACCTCACAGGAGCTGAGAGAGAGACCACATACCCACAGGGTTGCTGTGTGCAGGTGTGTACGCTGTGCACTGCACAAGGGCACTTAGCCAAGGAGGCAAGTGTACGCGGAAACCCAGCCTTGGTCTCTGTTTGCTAAGGTGTTTGCTCTGGCATGGGGCTGTGTTTCCCTGAGGGAGCAGTGCCTTGTTCACATTTACCCAAAGCCATGTTGGGGCTGTCTGTGACCAGGAGTGTGTATGTGACTCCTCCTTGCAGGAGAACTGCTCTTGTTTCCTGAAGGAACAGGGTCTGGAAGAGGGCTGTTAACCAGACAGCAGGTCTTCCCCAGGCTTAGTTCCTCAGGCGCCAGACCACTCAGGGTTGGCTGCAGCTCTTCCCCTGGACAAATGAAGAGAAGAGGTGCCACCAGCACCCACTCTTGGCTGCCACACTGCGCCTCACCTAGAATGCAGGGCTTCAGCTCCTCCTCATGGCGGGGGAGCGCACACCACCTCCAGCCACCAGGAAGCTCTTTGATGGCGGGGGACGGCTCCCCTTCTCCAACCCTCCTGGCCCTGCAATCCTTACATTCTGAGACCTCATCCCGCTTTCGGGGTCCCAAGTCAACAAATCTTACAGTAGATAAAATAATAGAATTTTTTAATAAATTTTTTTTCCCAAACAACTTCTTTTGATCTTCACCACGCAGGGGCCACAGTGGAGAGGAAAGTTCTCTCCAGGTGCCCTAAAAAGTGTCCAGGGTAGACTTAGGAGAAAAGTATTCCTCCAGTGTCAGGAGGTTGAGGGGACTAGGGTAAGCAGGGGTCAGGGTCAGCCTGGCCCTGACTGAGGCATCCCCCAAAGGGTCCTGGGTGGGGCTCCCTGGGGGAGCTTCCAAAGGCTCTGCTGGTGGAAGACGCTCTGCAGACAAAAGCCCCTCTGGTGTCCGCTGTGGGCCCTTAGGAGTGCGGGTCAGCGGCTGCCTGGGGGGCCCCACCCCAGCCTTGGGATGGGGAAGAGTTAATGGCCAGAACTGGGGAGGGCAGGGCTGAGCCACCACACACGCCCTCTTGGGGCTGCCACAAGTCAGGACAGCCCAGGGGGCAGGCAAGGAGAGGCGGCCTGCTCCCCGGGGAGGAGAGGAGCTGGGAGGGGAAAGGGAGGCAGCAAGGCCAGGGAAGGTGGGGCGACTGGGGCCGGAGCCGCAGCCCCGGGTGGACGGGAAGCGGGGATCGGACACTGGCCTCTTCGATCTCAGCACCGCAGTCAGAGGTGGTGGGGCACCAGGAGCAGGAGGCAAAGCAGAGGGCTGGGGAGCCCGGCCGAGAGCGCAGGGCCTCGGGAGTCCGGGGGCGCCTGGCAGGCAGCGCCGGGGCACATCTGCTCCCCTCGCTGGTCCTCACCCCCGTAGCCCCCCCAGTAGTCGTCCTCAGTAGGCGCGTCCCCGCCCTGGCGCCCCCGCGAGTCTTCGGCAGGCAGATCTCGGTAGAGGGTGGAGGGATCGGCTGGGGGCGCCCCGGCCTCGGCCACCCCGTACAGGTGGTTGGAGGAGCTGTTGCCGCGGGCGCGGCTGCCCGGCCGCGTGGGTGCCGCGGGCGGACACGCCTGGAAGTCGGCCTCGCGGAGCGCGCGCAGGTCTCGGCCCTGGCGCTCCGGGGGGGTGGCGCAGGTCACGTCGGAGCTGGACACGCGCGCGCGCTGGAACCAGGCCCAGAGCGGCCGCGCGCGGCAGTCGCACGCCCAGGGGTTAGCGTTGAGCCGCAGGAACTCGAGCGAGGGCAGGTCGGCGAGCGCCTCGCCGGGCAGCGAGGCCAGGCTGTTGTTGAACAGGTAGAGGATGGTGAGGCGGCTGAGGCCGCGGAAGGCCGCGCGGTGCACGCCCTGCAGCCGGTTCCCGTGCAGCAGCAGCCGGTCCAGGCTGCCCAGGCCGCGAAACACGTGCTCTGTGAGCAGCCGCAGGCGGTTCCCGTGGAGGAAGAGGTGGCTCAGGTTGGCCAGGTCCGCGAACAAGTCATCCTGGGTGGGGTGGAGTGGGGCACAGAAGAAGAGAATGGGCCTGAGGTAGGGTGCAGACCCCGCTGGGGCCTTGGCCGGGGGAGGGAAGGGGGTGCACCGTGGCAGAAGAGAAAGGGTTGACCTTTTGATTCATAGCATCCTGGATTTGGATTCTGCCTCCTCTAACCTATTTGCTGTGGAAAAAGTGGTATTGGTGAGGTCAGTGGTTCCTAAACTTTCGGGTGTATTAGGATCCCCTGCGGATCTCTGAGCGGGGTGGGGCGGGGGGCAGAGTTTCTAATTCAGGAGGTTTGGGGTGGAGCCTGGGAATCCCCATGTCTACAGGTTCCCCAGGGAAGCCAGTGTGGCCATTGGCAGGACCACAGTTTGAGTTTCAGAACTTCTGGTTTGGTGAAGTATGGAGACTGGGGAGCCAGCCTTTCTGATTTCAAATCTTGGATCTGTCATTAACTGATGCCACCGTGGGCAAGTCACTCAGGATATCTGTGACTCAGTTTCCTCATCTGTATAATGTAGAGATTAAATGAAGCAGCATGTATGAAGGTGCTTAGAACACCTTTCCTTGTGGAGTTCTATGAGTTCCATGAGTTAGCCATTATTCTTTTTTTTTTTTTAATTTTTGTTTTTGTTTTTGTTTGTTAGCCATTATTCTTAACTTGGCCAAGCCAGTCATCTCTCTGTGCCTGTTTCCTCATCTGTAAAATGGGGATGAGTATACCTACTTCCTGGGTTTGTTCTGAGGATTCCAGAGGATGGTTCACATAAAGATCATATGAGGGAAGTGCTGGACACGTGCCCAGCACACAGGGATTTGGTCCAATTATGAAGCCCACAGGCTCAGCACTTAGAGCCCTAGTTCAAAATCCAGCTTGCCTTTTCCCTAGCTGTGTTATTTTAGGCAAGTTTTAACCTCATGGAGTCTCAGGTTCCTCAGTATGTACAATATTCCTTATTATGTATAACCCCCTCAGCAGGCTAAAGGAGGGTTGGATGATAAATGCTGTTAAGGGTACAGTATCTGGCAGGTGCATAGTCAACCATCAATAAATGGTGGCTACTATGACAATAGGGGCTCAGTAACAATTGGGTCCTGTCCCTTTTCTTTAAAAGAGGAGCTCCCTGGGGGAACCAAAGTACTGCTACTAGGCTGGGTATTGGGGTGAGGGGCATCAGCTCCACCCCCAGAGGCGGCAGGGGAGGAGAGGAAGGAAGCCACATTGCATTACTACTCCCCTTAGAGGCGCTGTCCCACCTGCCTGGTGCTAGGGAGTCACCTAATCAGGCCACATTAGTGCAGAAAGGACCTTGGAACTATGGTTCAGAATTAACAGCGGGGGGCGGCGGGTGTGTGTGGCCCACGGCCAGTGGGGATTCCTGGACTCTGCATTATAACCAGCTCACCAGGGGATTCTGATGATCAGCTGACTTGGGAGCTAATGCCTTGGCACCCATCAGCCCAGCTCACTTTTTTAGAGGAGAGCACTGGGGCTCAAAGAGATAAGGGCTTGCCAGAGAGGGAAGCAGGACTTCAGCTCCCTGACCTCACTGCCTTGAGGTCCTCCCCTCTTGTGCAGGGCATCACTGTGGTCAGCAGGTTCCAGGAGGTCTGGGTCTCAGAACAGGAGCATCCACTCTGCTCAGGCCAGTTCACCCAGGGGGCCTGTTCCCTGACTGTGGCACTCCCTCCCTCACTGCCTGGGGAGACGCTTTCCTCCCCATGCCTGCCACCCAGGAGCCTGGTCGGAGGCCTCAGGTTGGGGGAGGGCATTGACTCCCAGCCTACACCCACAGCCTCCACCTTCCTGTGCTCCTGCCTGTTCTCGCCCCCTCCCATCTGGCTTCCGCCCTCTTCGCTACAGGAACTGAGCGTGCCAAGAGCCCTCCTCTTGGCCACATTGAGATCCGTCCCCCTCAACCTTCTCGGCTGCCTCTGACACCACCATTCTCCGCCCCCTGCTGCCACCACCCCAAATCCTGGCTCAGGCCTCCAGCTGGCTCCTTGCACCTCCCTGGCCTCAGCCTGACTCACCATGGCCTGGTGCTCTTGTTCTCTTCCAGGCCCATCCAGGGGGTAGGCTTGGAATCCCTGCCACTCAAAACACCTAAATGGGGTTCCTCTTTTTATGAAGTGTCAGCAAGAGTAGGACACACCCAGAGATGTATGGTCAGAGGATCGATAAGGGGCCGGGGGTTGGGGGAGAGTGAGCAGGGGTAATCCACATTTTGGGGGACCTCGGGAGGTCAGAAGAGTAGACCAAAGTTCCAGAGATCCTAGGGAATTCAGGTGCCTTTGACCCACAGCCCCAGGTTTTGGCCCACAGAATTTCTTGATTCTAACCTCCTCTCCTCTCCTTTTGTTTCTCTGCAAAAAGTCCTGCCCCTCCCTTCTCTGAGCCTCTGCCTTGGGGTCCATTGCCTCCTCCCCCCATCCAAGCTGTTGCCAAATCCCGTTGCCACTTCCTTGAATGTAGCTTTCAAATCCGGTCCTTCCTCTCTCCACTGTTAAAACCGTTCTCTATGCATTAATAAGCTCTTGACTTTCACAGCCCTAGCCCTCCCCCCGCCCCTCCCTATCTCCCCTCCCTATCTCCCCTCCCTCTGGGCTGAGAGCCTCTGCTAAAGTCATCCTCTTCCATTTCAAAAACCACATTTCCCTTGCCTCCCCACTGGCCGGTTCACAGCTCTCTGCATCCATTTGGAATCTTAACACAGCATCCCTGCCTGCTTCCCTGACAGCATCCTGTTCTTAACCTTGCCTCCCTCCAAACTCCCAGCTCTTGGCTCTGACACTAATCAAATGAGCTGCTTGGCTGTGTGACCTTGCGCAGCTCCAAGCACCTCTCTGGGCCTGGGTCTTTTCATCTGTGAAACAAGGGACTTAGGATAGGTGATCTTTAAGATCCCATCTGCATCTGATTTTTATGAATTGGTGAGTTCTGGGATGTGCCTCATTCATTCCACAGAGCTGTACCGAGTGTCTACTCTGTGCCAGGCACCCCCGCTTACAGAGCTCATCAGTCTAGGATGGGTATCATCGTCATCATCGGCGTCAGCATTGTCAAGCAGGTAACTGATTGAGCTCTTACCATGTGCCAAGCTCTGTGCTACACAGATCCTATATAGTAACTTAATTGTCACAACCCTATGAGGTGGATACTATTATTATCTCCATTTCAGAGATTACGAGATGGAGCCTCAGAGAAGTGAAGTGACTCGCCTAGGGTCCAACAGCTAATATGCAGTGGAACGTGGCTTCCAACTCCAGAGACCTCTGAACAACTGCACTCTGGAGTCAGACAGACCTGGGCCAATTCTAGGTCATGTTCCTTACTAGCTGGGTGACCTTGGACTGTGCTTTTATTTTGCTGAGCTTCAGTTGGTGTCCTCCCTGGTGTTAATGGATAGCTACCATTCATTGGATACTCACTTTGTACCAGACATTGGGCTGTGAGCTCAGTAGTATCTCCTTTAATCCTCACAACCCCTGCTCGCCAAGGTACAGGTTATCCCCATTTCACAGATGGGTCCATCGAGGCTCAGAGTGGTTAAATAACTTGCACAAAGCCATAGAGCAAATTAGAGGTGTGGCTGGAATTCAAACTGAGATCTGATCTGCTTGAGCATAAAGACTATTTTTAAACCATTCAGGCCAGCTGTGTACGGTGGCTCATGCCTGTAATCCCAGCACTTTGGGAGGCCGAGGCGGGTGGATTGCTTAAGTTCAGGAGTTTGAGACCAGCCTGGGCAACATGGTGAAACCCCGTCTCTATAAAATAGAAAAATTAGCTGGACATGGTGGCACATGTCTGTAGTTCCAGCTACTGGGGAGGCTAAGATGGGGGAATTGTTTGACCCCAGGAGGTGAGGCTGCAGTGAGCCAAGATTGCGCCACTGCACTCCAGCTGGGTGACATAGTGAGACTGTCTCAAAAACAAAAACAAAACAAAACAAAACAAACAAAAACCATGCAGGCCACTGTAATGACTGAAAGAGAAAACAAGTGTCGGCGGGTGCGGTGGCTCACACCTGTAATCCAACACTTTGGGAGGCCAAGGTGGGCAGATCACCTGTGGTCAGGAGTTCAAGACCAGCCTGGCCGACATGGTGAAACCCCGTCTCTACTAAAAATACAAAAATTAGCCAGGCATGGTAGCACATGCCTGTAATCCCAGCTACTTGGGAGGCTGAGGCAGGAGAATCGCTTGAACCTGGGAGGCAGAGGTTGCAGTGAGCCGAGATCGTGCCACTGCACTCCAGCCTGAGCAAGAGAGCGAGACTTCGTCTCAAAAAAAAAAAAGAAAGAAAACAAGTGTCTTTATCATCTGGCTACACTTGAGTAGGGAATATGCTCTGGGAGAACAGGGCCACTGTTTCTGTTCTCTCCTGAATCCCTGGCACCTGGAACATTGCCTGGCATGTGGTAGATACTCAGTAAATATCTGTTGATGAATGAACTCACCTGGCACAGTGCCTGGCCCTTCCCCATTCTGAAAAGCTGTGGTCCTCTGGTGGAGTTTCCTCCAAAGCTCCCCTTTGGGGCAGGCCTGGCTCCATCTTGGGTCACACCTGCACCCTGCGGATCTCACCCCAGCCCATGTTTCCTCACCTGCCTGTGGCATCTCCCAGCCCAGCCCTACCAGGCAGTTCACAGGCAGAGGCTGTGTTTTCCATCTCCTCTATAAAAGGCCAGGTGTGAAGTTGCTTCCTTCCCATGATGCCTGGTACCATTCATGCCAGGGGCGTAGAGAACAAACACTTCCCATTTCAGAAGACCCCAATGTCCACCTGAGGTCCCCTCTGCCCAAGCCTTTGCTGACCTCAGGTCCTGATTGCTGTTGTTGGCCTGAGAGTCAATGGAGGATGGGGTCATAATAACATGATTTCTTCAGCACTGAACTATGGGCTTTTTTTTTTTTTTCCTTTTTTGAGACAGAGTCTTGCTCTGTCACCCAGGCTGGAGTATAGTAGCACGATCTCAGCTCACTGCAACCTCCACCTCCCAGGTTCAAGTGATTCTCCTGCCTTAGCCTCCCTAGTGGCTGGGATTACAGACACCTGCCACCCCGCCTGCCTAATTTTTGTATTTTTAGTAGAGACAGGGTTTCACCATATTGGCCAGGCTGGTCTCGAACTCCTGACTTCAAGTGATCCACCCACCTTGGCCTCCCGAAGTGCTGGGATTGCAGACATGGGCCACCACACCAGGCCTGAACTATGGGCTTTCTATACACTAACTCGTTTCCTATTTACAGCCATTCTTGGTGGAAGGTATTATTTTCATTATTCCCAGTTTGCAGATAAAGTAAGTGAGGTTCAGAGAGGGTTAGCAACCTGCTTAAAGTTAAATAAGTCAGAAAATAGTAGATCGGGGATTCAAGCTCAGGCCCTCTGACTCCAAATTCCTCCTAAATAACTAATATATATTGATAAGGAGATTTTGAAAGCATTAAATGCATGATCAATTTGTAGTAGTATTTGATCTCAGTATTAGTAGTAGTAGTAGTAGTAATTATTATTATAGTGCCCATATGTGCTAAATGCCTTACATTTTAATCCTTGTGCTAAATGCCTTACATTTTAATCCTTACAAAACTTCTTAAATAAGGATTATTATTGGCTGGGCATGGTGGCTCACACCTGTAATCCCAGCACTTTGGGAGGCCGAGGTGAGTGGATCACCTGAGGTCAGGAGTTCAAGACCAGCCTGGCCAACATGGTGAAACCCGTCTCTACTAAAAATACAAAAAATAGCTGGGTGTAGTGACACATGCCTGTAATCTTAGTTACTCAGGAGGCTGAGGCAGGAAAATCACTTGAGCCTGGGAGGCAGAGGTTGCAGTGAGCCGAGATCGCACTACTGCACTCCAGCCTGGGCGATAGAGTGGGACGTCGTCTCAAAAAAAAAAGATTATTATTAAGTACTATCCTGATTGCCATTTTAGAGATGAGGAAATGGAGACTGAGAGAGGTTAAGTAATTTGTCCAAAGTCATATATATAGGAGCCAGGATTTGAACCTAGGTCTTGCTGAGTCCAAACTGTGTGCTTTCAAAAATGAGCCTGCTCAATTGTACTCCAGAGTACTGTCCCCTTGTAGCCAGACCATGAGGTTCAAGCGCCAGCTCTTCCTGGGTGTGTGGCCTCAGGAACATTCATTCCATGTCCCTAGTGCCCCTAACTGTCCCTATCACCAGGTTGTTGTGAGGCTCAACATGATGGTGAGAAGACATAAGCCTCCGGTCACACCGACAATGGTTGAAAAGATTTATGATTGGAGGTGACTATATCTCTATAGGGTCTTCAGGGCCCCCAGCCTCAGCTTCTCCATTGTTAACAAGGAGGTGAAAATAATCTCCCAACTGGGCTGTAGAAATGAGATGAGGTGGCTGAGTGCACTTCATAAACTGTGAGGTGCAATTTCTGGGACTCACTCATGACCTTAGTATAATCCTTGAAGTTGACCCACATCTTCAGGATGGAGTCCAAGTTGGGCCACTTCACTGAAACCAATGTTAAATAAGGCTCGTTTCTTTTTTTAAAATAGTATTTTAACAAGCATTTATATAGCACTTACCGTATGCCAAGCACTATTCTAAGTGCTTTACAAATTATTCATGCATTTAATGCTTTCAAAATCCCTAGGAGATGGGTGCTCTTGCTACCCCATTGTACAGATGAGAAAACTGAGGTCTGAGGAGGTAAAAAAAAAAAATGTCACACGCTTGTAAATGGCAGAGTGGATACCTATAAAGTGCTTGGCACTGTGGCTGACCCTGTGTACCCACTAAGTGGTGGCGGCTACTGCTATTACTGTCACTATTTAGGCAACAATAAGAATAATATAAGACATATTTTTCCAATATACCGTGCATTTTACTTCTTTCCCTCCTCATGGGAATGGTATCTCTGTGAAGGCAGGGGGTTTGGTCTGTTCTGTTCACTACTGTATTCTTAGCATCTAGCTCGTAGTGGGTGCTCAGTATGTTTGTTAGGTTGTTATGGCTATTGTTATTATCATTAGCATCATCAGCACTGACCTGATTTTCCAACTAGCAGATTGATAACTAGTTAGGCACTAGCCCTGGATGAGGCAGAGGAAGCACGTTCCAGGTTCAAGTAGGGAGAGGGCAGAATTTGGATATTTTCACCCCCTTCCAGCCGGAGGCTCTGTAGCCAAGGGAAGATTTTCTCTCAGGGTGGTTTGGAGGGTGTGTTATTGCTTCCTGGGGAAATGGAGTGGGATGATTTGCGTGTCAAACAGTCAGCATAACAACAATAAACAATAATTAGATCAATAATAATAACAATGAATAACAATTACTGGTATTCCTTCCATTTTCAGAGCATCCATTCTCCAGCTGCATAACAGAGATTTACCCTTTTCTTTCTTCCCCTGCATTGAGATGACAGGTTTGGAAAATGGGAATCTAGAAGGGGTGTGGGCTTCTCCCGTCCCATTGCCCAGTGAATTGGAGAGAAGCGCAACTTTCTGTGGGATGCCAGTGGCTGTGGCTCTGCCTTCTCTCTCTACTTCACCGTGATGTGGGCAGACTTGAGGGTGGGTGAGAAAAACAGCTGCAAAGGCCTTTGGGCAGGGGACCCTGGGGGAAGGCAGAGTGCCCTGAAGGCAAACACGTGAGATCACAGAAAGAGACAGATACACACACGCAGACAGACATGGGGGTGTATGCGGAGTGGGTGTGTGAAGGGAGACAGACAGAAGAGGCAGAAGACAGATGGGGGAGGCAAGTTAGTGAGAGAGGCAGTGATGGATGGAAAGGGATAGACAGACAGACAGGCAGAGGCAGAGAGGTGAAGGTTGTGGAGTTAGAGGGAGAGAGAGAGAGAGGAACAGCAAGGGACCTAAACAGGTAGAGAGGCAGAAGGGAAAAAGTAAAGCCCCTGGAGAATGTAAGAGAGAAAAGAGACATAGACAGAGAGAAATGGAGATGCTGAGGCAGGAAGGGTGGCCTGGGGAGAGAGGAGGGACGCACGCCAGGGTCGGGGAGCAGAGGGGCCCACAGAGAGAGGAAACCAGAAAGGGGCTGAGGGTGGGGGCAGGGCAGGCTCACCTGTAGGTGGAGCAGGCTGTTCTCCTGGAGGTAGAGGTACTGCAGGCTGACCAGGCCTCGGAAGATGTTGCCGGGCAGGCTGCTGAGCTGGCAGCGGTACAAATGCAGCGACTGCAGCCGCTCCAGGCCCTGGAAGGTGTCGGGCTCCAGCGAGCGCAGGTGCCGGTTGTCACCGAGGTCCAGCTCCTCCAGGGCTTGCAAGTGGCGGAAAGTGCCCGGGTAGATGGTGGAGAGGTTGTTGGAGAAGAGCCACAGGGTGAGCAGGTTGGACCCAAAGGTGCCTGGCCGCAGCGTGCGGATGAGGTTGTTCTGCAGGAAGAGTCGCTGAGTGCTGGGTGGCAGGGACAGCGGCACAGAGGAGAAGTTGTTGGCCTGGCAGCTCACGGTGGGCGGGGATGAGTAGCAGGTGCAGAGCATGGGGCAGCTGGGGGCCGCCAGGGGCAGGGCCAGGAGCATCAGCAGGAGGCAGGCCGAGGCGGGAGCTGTGGGGAGGGGAAGCAGAACTTACTAGGTGGGCTTCCAGGGCAGGAGTGCCAGCTGGGGGCCAGCCCCCCAACTTGGTAAAAGGCCTAGACCCGGCTGAATATGGTGGCTCACACCTGTAATCCCAGCACTTTGGGAGGCCAAGGCAGGAGGATTGCTTGAGGCCAGGAGTTTGAGACTATCCTGGGCAACATAGGGAGATCCCTGTCTTTACAAGAAAAAAAAAAAAATTAGCCAGGCATGGTGGCATGTGCCTGTAGTCCCAACTACTTGGGAGGCTGAGGCAGGAGGATCGCTTGAACCCAGGAGTTTGAGGCTGTAGTGAGCAACGATCACACCCTTGCACTCCAGCCTGGGCAACACAACAAGACCCTGTTTCAGGGGAAAAAATAGAAAATAAAAATAAAGGCCTAGAGCCCTGGTGCTCCCATGTCTGGGGGCTCAGGGGACAACGTTATAGCCTCAAGTGGCCTGGCCACTTCCACTTTCTGAGGCTTCTCATATATTAAAAAATAATGCCAAAAGGCCATTGTAGAAAGCACTGCAAATTGGTTGAAGAATGATCATCTCTTCATTCCTGTTTTCACTATTGCATGTTTGACCTTGTCTAGAGATTAATGTCAAAAGACTAACGTCAGGGTTTCTCTGCCTCAGTATTGACAGTTGGGCCGGATAGTTCCTCGTTGTGGGGGCAGCCCTATATAAGGCATTTAGCAGCATCTCTGTCTTCTACCCACTAGATGCCAGCAGCACCCTGCCTCCAGTTGTGACAACCAAAATGTCTCCAGACATTGCCAAATGTCCCCTGGGGGGCAAAGTCACCCCATTGGAGAATGACTGGAAGTAACTTGGGACCCTTTGGAGATCTGAGGCCCGTGTGAAATGGACTCACTCTGGGGTCTGGTCTTGCCAGCCCACTGGTGCCCAGTGCCCTTACTTTCCTGTACTTTTCGCCCTTGCAGAGTCAGAGCCTCTTTGTGCCGGGAGGGGCCTTAAGGGTCGGGTCTCTAAGTGAGGCCACCAGCCAGTCCTAGGAACTATGCAGAATTCCTGGGGGGACAGCCTGGGAATCTGCATTTTACACCCCAGGCTCTCCTCATTCGCAGTTACTTAAAAACTTCTTTCTTTTTTTCTTTTGGAGACAGGGTCTTGCTCCATCGCCCAGGCTGGAGTGCAGTGGTACGATCACAGCTTATTGCAGCTTGGATCACTTGGGCTCAAGCAATCCTCCTGCCTCAGCTTCCTGAGGAGCTGGGACCACAGGCCCGTGCCACTGCACCCAGCTAATTTTTTAAAAATTTTTGGCCGGGCGCGGTGGCTCACGCCTGTAATCCCAGCACTTTGGGAGTCTGAGGCGGGTGGATCACGAGGTCAGGAGATCGAGACCATCCTGGCTAACACGGTGAAACCCCGTCTCTACTAAAAATACAAAAAAAAAATTTAGCCGGGCATGGTGGCGGGCGCCTGTAGTCCCAGCTACTTGGGAGGCTGAGACACGATAATGGTGTGAACCTGGGAGGCGGAGCTTGCAGTGAGCCGAGATCGCACCACTGCACTCCAGCCTGGGTGACACAGCGAGACTCTGTATCAAAAAAAAAAAAAAAAAAAAAAAAAAAATTGTAGGCATGGGGTCTTGCTATGTTGCTCAGTCTGGTCTCAAACTCCTGGCCTCAAACAATCCTCCCACCTTGGCCTCCCAAAGTGTTGGGATTTCAGGCATAAGCTACCGCATCCAGCCAAAGCTTTTTTTTTTTTTTCCCCCAAAGTAACTTTTGAAGGTTGGATATGATCCATCCTTATTATGATACTGATGGAAAAGCAGGCCCAGAGAGCCTGGGGGCTAGAGAGTGGAGTGCAGGTGTCTGTACTCATATTTTAATAGGGGTGCAGGGCCTCCCATCATCCCTGGCCTTTGCCGTCACTATAGCTGATAAAGTTCTAGGCCGGAACTAGCTTGACCTCTACACTTTCTTATGATTTCCAGGTGACTCCTGGGATTTTCTTCTGGCAGTTTTGCCTGGGGAAAAAGGGAGCCTGCACCCCCAAAGCCAGGCAGTCATTCCCTGGGCACACAGTGACTGAACACCTTCTGCTTCAAGCAACGTCCTAGGCTTTTGAAGGCAGAGGGGAGGAAGACTTGTTTCTGCACTCTGACATCCTGGGGCTCCTTGGGGTTCAGAGACCCTGGGAGAGACTGAGGGGTTGGTGATTTTGAGTGTGGGGTCTCCAAGGCTGCAAATTGCACTTGCTTAGTGGTGGTTTTGTGTGTGTTGTGTCACGCTCCTGAGGTTGCCGTGTGCGTGAATGTGTGTATGTATCTGTGATTTTGGGTAGTGGCGTGAGCCAGGTGCTCACCAAATGCAGTGCTGCTCAGCCAGGTGTGCACGCATGGGACTGACAGGCCCCGAGTGTGGCGCTGGCATCCCAGCTGCCCTGGTGTTCCTCCTCCAGAGGGGGGAGCACACAGGTGCGGGGTGGAAGATCCACACTCCCAGTGTGCTGCTCCTCGCTTTTGGGCCCCACCGTGAGTGTCCCCGGCCCCTCCTGGCGCTGCGTCGGTGCTGCGTCGGTGCGTGCTGGCTGTCCTCCGCGTGTGTGTGAGCGCCGGGCCCCGTGCGTGTGTAGGCTGGGTGTGATGTAATACTCAGTGACACAGCGGCTGCTGTTCCATTCGTTCACACCACCTCCGCGTTTCTCGGCCCTTCTCACCCCTCCCCCGTGCGGCGTTTCACGATTACTTTCTCCTCCCGAGTTTCTTAGACCCACGTGGGGTGGAGGAGCAATGTCTCTCACCCCTCATCTGAACCAGGCAGAGGTGGAGTGTGGAAGCACAGTGGGGACCCTGAGTGGGTTTCATGAGGGTTGAGGTTTGGGGCTTAGAACTGGAGATTTCAAAGCCGCAAAGGTCCCCTCGATTCCTCTGGTTCAAGCATCAGTTCTACTGAGGTGATGACTGGAGCTCAGAGAGAGCAAGCGACTTACCCAAGGTCACACAGCAAAGTGTTGGCAGGGAAAGGGCCAGAAAAGTCTCTTGATGCCCAGCCAGGGCACTTCCCTTCCTATCAGAGTCACCCTCTGATCTCCACTTCCCTAAGGACTTGACACCAAAAGAAGCCAAATCCTTCTCTGATCCCTTAATCCTACCCCTTATCCACAAGCTCACCAGAGTGTGAGCCCTGATGGCCGCTAGCCCCTGGAGGATTACAGAGCTTTCCCCCAGCCTCCGGACTGACCGCTGCCCCAGGAGAGACAGAGGGAAGGATGTGCAATCTCAGAGGCAAGGCCCATTCCCCTGGCATCAGGGTTCCTTCCGGCCTTGAGGGTAAACTCTGCAGGAGCTGGCAAGGGTGCCTACTCCTCTTTCTCTCCCTAGACTCTCCTGCTCCCCACCTGCCCACATTAGACTACTTCTCTTCTCTTTCCCCACTCTCCTTCCATCTTGTTCCCATGTCTCCCCCAACCAGGGCTCACCTCCCCCAGCCCATGATAGTGGTCCCTGCAGGCTCTCTGAAGAGCGACCCCGTGCTGGGGGCTCCTCCATAACAGCTGCTGCATAACAGTGACTCTGTTGCCATTTCTGGCCCTTGCCACTGCCGTGCAAAGCAGCTGTAACCCAAGGAGCTCATCCATAATTCACGCAGCGGCTCTCACTGGAGGCAAGGAGGAGGGGAGGGGAGGGGGCTCTGGGCTTCACTGCCCCAGGCCTGCTGGGGCTGGAGCGAGCACTCCAGGGCAGAGGTGGTGGGACTGGGGGGTTGGGGGACTAGAGAGCTGTGCCTTTCCCTCTCTCCCCCGCCCTCAGTCCCTGCCCTGCCCAGTGTGTGCCCTTTTCTTTCTTGCCACGTCCCTTCCCCACCCCCTGTTCTCACTCCTCCTCAGCACCACCACTCCTTCCCTCCAGGCCCAGGCCTCCTGTCTCTCCCGAGGACCACGGCTCCACTCCTGGCCTTCATTTTGTGAATTCCCGGTGGAGACTGGGGCAAGATGCACAGAGTATCAGAGCTGGAAAGGGGGATACCTCGGTGGCCACCTAGAGCCGACCCCTCACATCATAGGTAACACCATTGAGGGCTGGGGAGGGGAAGTGTGAGTTTCTGAGCACCCCAGGCCTCCTGACCAGGTCTCTACAGCTCGCCTTCATTGTCTTTCTCAGAAGCCTTCATTTCATCCCTCCACTACTTCATGGACAGAGGAAAGCCCTTTGTAGCAGCCTCCCCCACCCTCTCTGCTCACCCCCTCCTCTAAAGTCAGCAGGGGATGGCTAGAGCTGCAGGGGAGAGTACAGCAGGGTAGGAGGAAACCAAGAAGCACCTATTTTGTCCTAGGCACTGCATTTGTACAGGTTAACTTCTTTATACATTGAACACAACACACATAATCCCCTGGAGGTCAATATTGTGGCCCCCAATTTGCAGATGAAGGAAGGGAGCCCCAGAAACATGACACAGTGGCCTCAGGTCATGCAGCTAGTACAAGGTGGAACCCAGATTGGAAAAGAGGGACATCAAGCCCATGTCAGAGAGACACTCTGATCTTTCTTTAAGAGGTGGCCACATCCTCCGCAGAAACCACGCCTGAATGTGTGAGACACTGCCCTTGAGGTAAAGACAGGAGAGAAATTGCACCCAGGTGCCTAGGGCTGGGCCAGCCACAATGCTGAGTCTGTTTGGCTATTCAGGGTCAAGGCAAGGAAGGGACTCCAGCTCTCTCTGCAACTTTCACCTCCTAGGCTTCCAGTTGCGGTTGTTCTAGAGTAGTGATTACATGTGGGAGTCAAGAAGAGATGACCCCTGTCCAGAATATATGGCCAGAACTGACCAGGGGAGGGAGCCAAGAGAGGCCAGAACATGGTATTGATCCCGGAAGGCTGAAGTGTCCAGAGCCAAAAGTATCTGTTCACTGAGGGACCACTGTCCAGGACTCTGGCTATCAAACCTTGGAGTACCAAGGCTCAGAAACAAAGTTCTCAGCCCACAGGCCACTCTTTGGGCCGGAGGCCCCTGTAGAAGAAGGAACTTGAGGAGAAGAAAACTGGACCCAAAGTAGGGGGCAGGATCCAGGCTACCCACCCACAGGGCAGAGTCGCTGGTGCAGAGTGGTCCCAGGAAAGGATGCTCCCTGGAAAGGCAGCAGAGGCCTCTCGCTCTGGAAGGAGGGGCACAGGGTCCCAGACGAGAAGCAAGGGCTCCACACCCAACGGGCTGCTTCAGGGAAGGGCTGGGGCCTGCGGGCAGATGCTGAGGGGGCAGGGGCTGAGGAGGTGGGAGCTGAGGAGTGGGATGGAGGTGGTGGTGATGCCAGTGACGCAGGGGCCTGGGGAGGCACTGACGCGGGTGACGGAGGTTTAGAGCTGCTGCAAACAGCTTCTCACTCTGCCAGAATGTAACACCCCAAAATAAGCAGCCACCGTGGTGGCGGCAGCGGCTGCAGAATCCAACGTCCAGGCCGGATAAATAAATGGCAGCACAGGAGCCAGCCTGTTTGCCCACCCTCGGAGGCTGTCACTCCCCTTCCAAAGTCCTCACCCTCTGTCCCTCACAGCCACCCCCAGGGCCCTGAGCTCAAAGCACCCCCCATCTGGCCCACCAGCCACTCCCTGAGAGAAGAAATGTGGCAGGCAGGCGCTTTGGGAATGGAGGGCTTCCCACGTGGAAGTGGTTACCAGAAGCCTCTTTGTCTCATCCCTGGGCAGCACCCCCAATCCCCAGTCCCTCTCTCTCAGCCTTTCTCTTCCTCCTCCTCTTCCCTCCTCTCCAGCCCCTCTCCCATCCATGGTTCCCTGTCTCCAACCCTCTTCGCCGGTTCCTGATACCCCTTCTCTAGTCACCATCCCCATCCTTCTCTGGTTTCTGATCTTTCCATTCTCCTTTTCCATTCCAGTCCCCAGGGTCCCAGTCCTGATTCTCTTTCCCGCTACCTCCATCCCAGGATTCTGGGTCCCTGTCCATAGTCTTCTTCCCATCCCTCCCCTGATCTGGTCTTTCCTCTCCTTCCCTCTTCCTTGGTCTTCACCTGGGTCCCACTTCCCTCCACGCTTTTCCCATCTAACCTTTATTCCTTCTCCCCCTCCCCCGCTCCATCTCCCTCCTCCTTTGAGCTTCCCTCACCACTTTCTCCATCTTTGAGTTCTCCTTCCTATCCCTCTCCCCCTGACCCCTCCCCACCCCACCCCCAGTCTCTGGCCCACACCCTTATCTGTCACTCAATCAGTAGAACTATCCTCTTTCTAGCGCCCTCCATCTCTCCTACCAGAGAGGGCCACTTGGATTTCCCTCTGCGCCTCCTACCTCCCCAGACAGCCCCCTACCCACATCTCCTGTCTTCCCAGGTGGCCAGAAAGTGCTGAGGCACCGGGCAGGAGGAGTTGCTGAGTCGGCGCTTCCCCAGCCGGCCCGAGTCCTCAGCGTCCCCCGGAGCAGGTGGAGCGGGGACAGCGGAACCTGAGCCTCCCTCCCCGCTCCGGGCCGGGTCCACCTGCCCCCTGCGTCCCACCTCGGTCACGAGCTCCTCGCACGCGCCCGCGGGCTCCCAGCCAAGTGCCCTCCTGCTGAGAACAGCCCTGGCGGCGGGGGCGCGGCCCCAGCGCTGAGCTTTTCCCCTTCCCCAGGTTACCCCACCTCCCCAACTGCCCCACCCTCAATCCCTGAAAGAGGGGACGCCCTGCTTCTCTCCCCAGGATGCCCTCCGCTCTCCCGCCGCTGGCGTTCTTACCTTGCAGCAGGCGCCTGAGCCCGGGCAGCATCTTGTCTCGATGCTCGGGGGAGGGGGCAGCGGGGGGAGGGCGCTCCCACTCGCTCCCTGAGCCCGCCGGATGCACGGCGGGGACCCCGCGGGGCTCCGGGAGGGCCCGGGAGTCCCCGGGCTGCGTGGCCGGGCCGCGGCGCTCTACCCTGCGCCGCCCGGGCTGCGGGCCTCGGGAGGAGCCATCGGCCCCGACGGGACGGGGCGGGGCGCGACGGGGCGGGGAAGGCTGGGGCTGGCCGTCGACGCCCAGCGCCCGCGCCCCGCTAGCTGCGCTGTCCGCTCGAGAGTCCGTCAGTCCGTCTGTCCGTGTGCCCAGGCTGCTAGCCGAGGGAGAGTGGGGACAGCGAGGAAGCTCTTCCCAACCACCCCCACTCCTTCCCGCACTCGCTGGCTCCTCCCTCGTTTGCTGGCTTGCCGACTTAACCCTTTCTCGACCACTAGGAGGCGGGAGCGGCTTTCTAACCCCCTCCACCCCGCCCCCCTCCCCCCCGCTTAAGCGACCCGGAGGACTGTGTTCGATCGTCCTCGCGGCGCCACTCTTCTAGAGAAATCCCTTCTTGGGGGAATGCGGTAGTTTAGAGGAACGCCGTGGACTTGTCCTGTTCCCCCCTCCCAACTTTCCAGGAGAAGATGAGCTTCTGGGTCACCCCCTCCCCCGCCCCCAGCCGCGTCCCTCGCGCCAGTGTCCCAGCCTCCAGCATTTCTGTCCCCTGGGACAGCTCCAAGATTCCACTTTTCCTTCCACTCCCAGACCTCAAGCCCAGTGTGCGACTATAAGAATAGTATATGCAAGAGTTTGTGCGTGCAAGATCGAGTGCATATGAGCGTGCACGTGCGCGCAAGGATGCTTGTGCAGGTGTGACTCAGGATGCTTGCCCGTTACCCTTTGTACGGGCTTGGGGAAGCGGGGGGGGGGGCACGTGAGTGTGCACACGGGTGAGCCGCTGAAAGTCCGCCAGCGTGCATGTCTGAGCTGGTGGGAAACGTGAGGCTGTGCGAGGTTTTGCGCTTGCGATCTTGGGGATGGGTGGAAAGAAATATGTGCCCGGTGTGTGTATGCCCCTTAGTGCATTTACAAGCGGGTGCGAGATGGGCGCGCGTGCGAGTGTGTGCGTTTTTTTGTGTATGTATGATGTGTCCGGGAGGGGAGACCTTATCTCCCGCGGGGGTGCAGGAGAGGACCCAAAGCTGGGGAGAAGACTGTTGGCTTCGCGTGAACTTCCTCTACCCCCTTTTAAAGAGGGGCGGATTATGGTCTCACTGGAGCCCCTCTGGCCCTTCATGGCCTGGTCACAGGCGGTATCAGCAGACCCATCACCTAGGCACTTCCCTACAAAGGCTGCAGGGCGGTTGACCCAGGTCTTGACTCGGCCCGGCGCGTCCGCGGAGCCGCCCCGGCGTAGGATAGGCTCGGGGCCCTCGGGGGAGCCGCTTCGGGTACGGTGGCCAGGCAGCGCTGGCGGGGTTGGGGCTGCTGGAGCCTCAGGTGCGGCGGTGCCGGGGCTGCTGAGCCCCCTGGGCTGCCGCTCCCGCGAGCACAGAAGCCCCTCGCCCCGCTGCCCGCGCCGCGGCTCCTCCTTTCCTATCCGTGCCAGGGTCCAATGCAGTGCCTGGCATACAGTCGGCTCTTGATAAATGTTGGTCTTATTCTTCCCATTCATTCTCTGCTCCCTCCACGGTCTCTCGTTCTTCTCGCGTTCTCATTCGATTTCTCTGGTTTTCTCCCCCGACTCTTACTCATATTTCGTGGTCTCTGTCTCTCTGTTCCCTCCCTCCCTCACTCTCTCTCGGACCTTTTCTGTCTCTACTCGTCTGTTTCCCTGCCCGGTCTTCTGTCTTTCTCACTGTCTCTCTGTGTCTTCGTCTCTCTCCTCCTCCCCGCGGGGCTCCCTGCGTCTCTGTCTCTCGTCTCTGTGTGTCTCGGTGTCTCTGCCTCCCTTTCTCTCCCCCTCTTCCCCAGTTTCATTCCCAGGCTCCCGGCCCGTGGGCACCTCGGCTCTCGGGTGCCCCCTGCTGGTTCCATTTTCGGACCTTCTCGGCCCCCCAGCTCCTCTCTGTGCCCCTAAATTTCCTTTCCCGCCCCTCTCGTTTTCGGATCAGGTAGAAACAGAAAGAAAAGTCTCTGGGGCTCCCGTCTTCCCTCACCCAGGGCTCCCCCTATTTCCAGGAGGCAGGACAGGACCCTGCGTTTCCCCAGGACCCACCCCGACTAGGGCCTGCGCCTGGGGGGAGGGCCTGGAGGCGGCGGCGGGGAGGGAGTGTTGGGGGTAGCAGGGTGGGGTTTGGCGTCCTTCCCCGGAATGAGCCGCGGCACAATCTGTCGCTGGGTTTGTTTGCCGAGCTGCCTCCGGAGCGCAGTGGGGCTGGCTCCCGGGGAGCGAAATATCACAAGATGCGGAGACAGACGCTGAGGGGCGGGTGGGCGGCGGGCTGACTCAGGTGTGCTGTCATCGGTTCCCGGGGCCCGCGCTCTTCGGGGAGGGGTGGGAGGGGACCCCGGGCCCCCAAGGCAGGCGGAACCCCGAAGCTGGGGGGGAGCTCCTCCTCCTGGGACGAGCTGCGAGGAAAGGGAAGCCCCGTCCGGGAATCCCTGGCTCCAGGCAGTCGCAGCCCCTCTGCTCATCCCCGCCCCTTATACAGGTGTCACGGTTTCCCATAATTATCTGCTGACTCACCCCCTCCACCCCCAACTAGACTACCAGCTTTTTGAGGGCAGGGAACTCGTGTCATCCATTGTCGTGTTTCCAGCAGGTGCCCACTGAAGACTTTTAGGTGGCTGGCTGGTGGGTGGGTGGCTGGCTGGTCTCATTTTACAGTAGGTGCCACAATGCATTTGGTCTTCTCTGTAGAGCACTCTGACCCCTCTTACCTCCCCCCATCCACATTTGCTGTCCCCACCCCACCTAGCTCCGGTTAGGGTTGGGGGGAGGGGGGACGAATTGGAAATTTGAGTCTGGAGATCAGAGTTCTCCAGGTGACCCTAGACAATGTACTCCCCTTCCTTGTGCCTCAGTTTCCTCATCTGTACGGTGAGGCTACCCGGTCATCGCGAGGCTGCATTAAGTCTCCAGGCACCCCAGGCATGAGAAAGTGCTTGGTAAAATGAGGTGTGTTGGTGTGTGGAGGGGTGGTAGGTAGCTAATGTCGTTACTATTTTGGCAGTAATTCTTTGGTGGCAATGATTGTCCCAGTAGAATCAGACACATCATGCCTGAACATGAGTTGGGCTTCTGCAGTTAGACATTTTGAGATCGAGGACTCGGCCTCTGGCTGGACTCTTGGACACTGGGCTGGAGGCTTGGCCGGGCTTTGGTGTGCTGGGTCTTCAAGCCTTGGCCGCAGTGCTGGCCCGCCCTCTGGTGGCTCTAGGTGGATCTGCAGCCCCACGGGAAGCCAAGATCTCTGGAGATGGGCTCAGCGTCGGATTTTCCCTGAGAAGGAGGAGGACACCCGCCCCCGCCCACCCCATTGTCTGGAGAACAGCTGGCTTTGGAAAGGAGACCAGGTAGAAGGAGGGGTTTATTGGCACAGACTGGATGAGTCTGGACTTCCGAGTTCTCACTTACTAACAGCGCAGCTACTCTCAATGTGCCACCCAAGATCCCCCTTCCCTCTGGGCATACCCACCGAGTGAGTCCACAGAACCTCCCTGGCTCTTCCCTTCACCTCTTTGTCACCTTCACTGTGTAGAACACTTGGCGGTTAGTGTACGAGGTCCGGTGGCTCAATGGGCGAGAGCACAGGCTTTGATGGGTTTGTGCCCTGGCTCTGAAGCTCTCTAGCTAGGGAGGGGACCTTGGGCAAGTCGCTTACCTTTTCAAACCCCAGTTTTCCTATTCAGAAGATGGGAGGGGCTGGGCATGGTGGCTCGTGTTGGTAATCCCAGCAATTTGGGAGGCTGAGGCGGGCGGATTGCTTAAGACTAGGAGTTCAAGACCAGCCCTGTCGACTTAGCGAGACCCCTGCCTCAAAATTAACCAGTCAGTCAATCAATCAATCAATCAATAAAAGAAATTGGGGGGTGGTGACACTAGTTCCTAGCTCAAGTTTGAGGCCATCCCTGGTGACTTAGAAGGACCTTGTCTCAAAATAAATAAATAAATGAATAGATAGATAAATACATAGATAAATAAATAAATAAGATGGGAGGAAGAAGGACGATACTTGTTCCCAGCTCATAGAGTTGTTTGAGGCTTAAAAGAAACAAAGCATGAAAGAACATAACAGAGTAGCTGACCCTGTATTTGGTAAATGCTGATAATATTATTTTTACTTTTATCCTAGTGACTACCTGGAGAAATAGGCATTGCAGTCTAGAGGCAGAAAGAAAAATGATGATCTGCTGTCATTTATTTATTTATTTTGAGACAGTGTGTCATTCTGTCTCACTCTGTCATCCAGGCTGGTGTGCAGTGGCATGATCCTGGCTCACCGCAACCTCCGCCTCCCAGGCTCAAGCAGTCCTCCCACCTCAGCCTCCCAAGTAGCTGGGACTACAGGCAGACACCACCACGCCTGGCTAATTTTGGTAGAGGTGGGGGTCTCACTATGTTTCCCAGGCTGGTCTCGAACTCCTGGAATCAAGCAATCTGCCTGCCTTGGCCTCCCAAAGTGCTGGGATTGCAGGTGTGAACCACTGCACCCAGCACCTGTGGTCTCATAAGGAGTGAGTGGCAGAGCCAGGTCTGGGGGTCAGTTCTTAGATATGACTTCCTACCCACGTGTACTACCCCTCGGATGACCTTCACAGTTCCACCCTACCTGGCACTTGCTAGGGCTGCCCACTGTGGTAAAAGGAATCCTGGTCCAAATTAAAAGTCCTGAGTTCTAGCCTGGTCTCTGCCTCCGAATGGCTGAGTAACTGGGACAGACCTCTCCTCTGTGGGCTTCAGTGTCCCATCATTGAAGGGAATATCTTGGACTCCATGTTCTAGAGAGTCCTGCAAAGCTACATCTTCGTATCATCCAGGTGTCTCTGTGACTCCCAAACTAGAAGCTACCAAAAATGGAGCCTCTCAGCTAGATCCCATGCTGCCTCCACTTTCCCAGCTCTGGGCACGTGATGTGGGCCCTGGGGGAAAATCAGATTTTCTAGGGATTCCTTCAGACCCCACCCTGGGCTCCTCAGCTCTCCCACTGGTCACCAGGCCTGCTCCTGAGCCAGTCAATGGAGACACGTGCTGCCTACTGTGCTGGGAGGTGGAGGGACGGGGCTGCACTTGTCACCCAGAACCCTTCCACAGTGAGTTCCACACCTTGTTCTGCCTGGCCTGAGGGGAACAGGGCTCCTGTCCAGGCCCTTTCTAAAACAGGCAAGAAAACCTAAATTAGTATAAAGGGCAAGGTTGTCAGAACATGTTTTTCTCTTTCCCTGTCTCATTTTTAGGGTCCCTGTCCATGTATTGTATGTATGTATGTATGTATGTATGTATGTATGTATGTATGTATGTGTGTATTTATTTATTTTGAGATGCAGTCTTGCTCTGTCACCCAGGCTGGAATGCAATGGTGAGATCTTGGCTCACTGCAAACTCTGCCTCCCGGGTTCAAGCAATTCTCCTGCCTCAGCCTCCCAAGTAGCTGGGACTACAGGTGCACGCCACCACACCCGGCCAATTTTTGTATTTTTGGTAGAGATGAGGTTTCACCAGGCTGATCTCAAACTCCTGACCTTGTGATCCATCCTCCTCGGCCTCCCAAAGTGCTGGGGTTACAAGTGTGAGCCACCAGGCCTGGCCTATTATTTATAGTACAACGGGTATATATTAAGCCCTTGCTTCATGTCATGAACTTACGTGTGCTGGCTGATGTAGAGTAACTCTAGCGGGGAGAGTCTATTAATGTCCCCTTCTTACAGATGGAGAAACAGGCTCAGAGAGGTAGTGCTGCTCTTAGATCTGGTCAAAAAGAGTCCTTCCCTGAGCCCTGTGCTTTAGAGGGCTCTGCTTTGGCCCTCATCTAGCCAGTTTCCCTCCATGGGGGCAAGAAGTCCCTAAGACCAAGGAATGTGCCTCCCAGAAGCTGCATCTCTCTTCTAGACCACACTTAGGTTATCCTGGACCCTGGAATCTCAAAAAGCCCAAGTGGACTTCCCGGCCCTTTGTGGGCTTCTTCTCTGAACTACCTTTCTGCCAGTGCATGAACCCATGGCCAAAGGGTGGCCAAGGGGCAGATGTTTGGAGAGGGTGTGGTTGGGCCTTAGACATGTTGGTTGGATATTCATGTGCATGGACATGAGGCCCCTTGTTGTCTGAGATGGAGCTGTGGTTGGGAAGTGGAGGGAAGCTGCGTGTGTTTTGTTTTTTTTTGAGATGGAGTTTCGCTCTTGTTGCCCAGGCTGGAGTGCAATGGCACGATCTTGGCTCACTTCAACCTCTGCCTCCTGGGTTCAAGCAATTCTCCTGCCTCAGCCTCCCAAGTAGCTGGGATTACAGGCGTGTACCACCATGCCTGGCTAATTTTGTATTTTTAGTAGAAACGGGGTTTCACCATGTTGGTCAGGCTGGTCTCGAACTTCTGTCCTCAAGTGATCCACCCACCTCAGCCTCCCAAAGTGCTGGGATTACAGGCGTGAGCCACCGGGCCTGGCTGCTGGCTGTATTTCTGTATAGAACTTCAAGGAGCTGGATCATTCTAAATTTGAACCTAGATTTCAAAGGTGAGGTTCCTTTCCAAGTGCAAGATTGATGCTTGCAGTTGGGAGGCTAGGGATGCCTTGGGGGCAGAGGTTGCCCGGCTTGCACTAGTGGGGTGGTGCCTCCCAGGCTGTGGTACCAGTGCCTCCCTTTGCACTCCAGCCCTGCCCCTGCAAGTGTTAGGGGCAGCTGGGTGGAGAGGTCACATAACTTCATCAAAGGTTACATGACTTAAAAGCTGCAAAGCCAGGCTATGAACTCAAGTCTGGGTGAATCTTTTCTTCTTTAATGAAGCTCCACACCAGTCTTAACCAGAAGTCAGAATTTTAGCTCCCTGGAGTTCTCTTGGTTAGAAAGTTGAGTCCCATTGTTTCTTGGAGTTACCTTCCAGTGAAGAGAGCCTCCCTATCCCACTTGACTCTGAACTTGCTGAGTTCAGGGTCCATGTTGTCTTTGGCTTTGTTTATTTTGTGCACCTGGCACAGCCCTGCAGAGTAGGTGCTCAGCAAATGTTGCTGACCTATCAGAAACACAGTCTACTGTGGGAGGTGCTAATCAAACAATCATGGTGCAAGGTGCTATGGGTAACATCTGTGTTCAGCAGAGTGGGTAAAGTCTAGGATGGAGGTGGGGTTGGGGAAGCATTGGGAAGCCCTGCCTAGAGTGGCCGTGAGATTAGTTGCTGTAGACTCTCTTAATTTGAGAACCCTCTATCATGGGGCAAGAGACTCTGATGATTCCCTGTTGCATTTTGCACAACTCTCCAACCCTCCCCCATTTCCTTATAGGCACCGTTGGGGATGGCATCCCTTCATTAGGTGATCCCATGTGAACAACGCTTTTCTCATTTCTGCAGTAAGTGAACAGGACAGAACAATTCCTTTCCCCTTAAATTCTGTGGGTTGAAGCCACTAGATTTGCAAGGGAGAGTGAGTACATGTATGTGGGGTATTGTAGGAGGTGGGGCAAATGGAAGTGCCGCAAGCTCTAATATGGGGGACACATGGAGCCTCCTGCTACTGGTAGTGGGGGACTCAGGCCGTTGCCCCAGTTCAGGCCCCCACTATAGGATCAAACACAGTAGGCCAGTGACACATATCTCTGCCTCTCAGCCCATTTTCTCCAATTAATTTAATCTGTCCAGGGTGTAGTTTTGATCATGCATTCCCCTGCTCAGGAGCCTCAGTGGCCAAATCTGGCTGGAAGCAATTAATGTCTATTGACTCTGAAGTGCTCGCTCACATTTATAAAACAAGCCTCAAGACTTCAACAGATAAACAGGTGAAGGAAGTGGATGACTACTTCACCCAAGAGGGTATGCAGAGAGTAAACAAATACTTGGAAAATAGTTCAACCTGTTAATGATCAAAGAGATAGAAATGAAAGCCGTGTGAGGATAGCATTTCATACTTATTAAATTAGCAGAAGTTTATAAACACCATCACCCAGCACTGGCAAGGTTGGATGACGTCTGTGTTCCTACATCTCTGGGAGCAGTGTGCAAAACTCTGGAAAACAATCTAGTAAAATATAACAAGAGCCTTGAAAATATTATTACTTTTTGACTGACTAATCTCACTGCTGGGATTTGATCTTAAGAATATAATGCAATAGACAAAAAAAAGCTCCAGGCATGACCCTGGCATTATCCTCCATTTCCCCAGACAGTGAAATGGTTAAGAAAACTGCAGTTAACATAGTCAATGCAATATTATGCAGCCACAAAATGATAATTATAAAGAATATGCAGAAACATGGAGACCGGTTTATAACATCATATTTGTTTATAAAAGTCAGGATAAAAGAATTTGCATGAACACTGATTGCGACCATGTAAAGTAAGTATTCATGTTGACAAAGTCTGGAGAATATGCAAAATTGAAAATTATTGAAGGTTGGGAGAATGATGGGTGGTTTTCCTTTTACTTGAAGAATGTTCTTTGTTAATGTTGGAAAATTATTTTCACAACATAATGAGTTCTGTAAAAACAAATCCTCTTTTATTGCTTATAGAATAAAGTCAAGATGCTTTAGCCTGTGCTCACTGTGATGATTACAATGATCACATTTATTAGGTACACTTACTACATTCCAAAGAGAGAAGTGAGCACGTTGCACAGGTGATTTATTACTATTATTATTCTTTTCTTTCTTTCTTTCTTTTTTTTGAGACAGGGTCTCACTATGTTGCGCAGGCTGGTCTCAAACTCCTGGGCTCAAGCAGTCCTCCTAGCTCGGCCTCCTGAGTAGCTGGGATTACAGGCTCATGCTACCATGCACAATAAAATCTTGTGATTTTACTGAGAGCTCCTTCGGAGATTCTGGCAGGACAGAACAGGTGCTCATATACCCTTGACTGAAGAATGGTCCTCCTCTATCAGGAAAGGTCTTCCTCTTTGACCAAGTGTGCAGTTTCGGGAGGAATGCATGCGGAGTGGTGAGGGAGAAAGGGGACACCTGCCCAGCCAGCCTGATCAGCCGAATCAACTCTGGAGATCAGTGGGGTGACAGGTGTCACAGCCAGATCATCCTCACATGTTGTGATTTTATTGAATCTTCACAACAACTCTGTGAGATAAAAACAAACATTATCTTCAATTTACAGACTAGACATCTGAGATTCAGCGAGGTTAGCCCTCCTGCCTAATTTTACACAGTTAGCAAAAAAGCTGGGTTTCAACCCCAGCCTGTGTAATTGCAGAATTTGAGCTGAATTCTGGAATTGGCATTGTATGTTGATGTTTAAAGAACTTCAGTCATTAATGTATCGCTATCATGATTTTGGGGATAGCTGTGGCTCACACATTATGTACTATGACTTAGTAATTTTAAAATTTAAATCAACTCAATTTTTAAACATGTGAATGCCTACTTTAGCATTTTTTGTAAAAGCAAGAATCCCCTTGGAATCATTCATTAAATATGTTGGTTTTGTTTTTCAGTGCGCGATAAAATGAAAACATTAACAGTATAAAGGAGTCATACGAGATCGTTTTGTACACCCCCCTTTGGGAAAAACTGAACTGCCTTATGCTCCAGCCTCCCATTCCGGTCTTATCAGCACCTGCCTGGTCTGTCTCCCAGACCTTTCCCAGCCTCACTCTGCTGGGGAAGCTCAGACCACCCTATACCTCCAGTTGCCCTCAGTCTCTGCCCTTCCCCAGGTCTTGCCTGAGCCAAATCCAGATCAAAGCCATTAGTGGACAAAGAGGACACAGATTCAGAAGGCTGCCCACTACAACAATGAATTTCCAGTTATTAAACTCCTACTGTGTGCCAGGCATTATTCCAGAAGCTTTATATACATTATCTCTATTGGCTTTTTATAATGACCCTTGAAGTGGGTATGATTTTTACTTCTATTTTATATGTTAAGAAAGTGAGGCACACAGGGGTTAAGGCATTTGCTTATCACACGATGGGTAAGTAACAGCCAGGGTTCAAGGCTAGTACTGTTGAGCCCCAAAGTCCTTTCTCTTACCACTCTGCTTTTCAGTCTTTTTATTTTTATTTATTTTATTTAATTTATTTCTTTTAGAAACATGGTCTTCCTCTGTTGCCTAGGCTGGAGAGTGCAGTGGTGCAGTCGTAGGCTCACTGCAGCCTCAAACTCCTGGGCTCAAGCAATCCTCCTGCATCAGCCTCCCAAGTAGCTGGGACTATAAGCATGCATCACCACGCCTGGCTAATTCGTTTTTATTTTTATTTTTTGTGGAGACAGAGTCTCGCTATGTTGCCCAGGCTGATCTTGAACTCCTGGCCTCAAGCTATCCTCCCACCCTGGCCTGCCAAATTGCTGGGATTACAGATGTGAGCCACCGTGCCCAGCCCTCTCTTTACTGATACATTATATTTGTACATATTTATGGGATACGTGTGATATTTTGTTACATATATAGAATGTATAATGTTCGACAGGGTATTTAGGATATCTATCACCTCAAGCATTTATCATTTCTCCCATCCAAATACTAACCAGGTTCAACCCTGCTTAGCTTCCAAGAACAAACAAGATCTGGCACATTCAGGGTGGCATGGCCGCAGACAAGCATTTATTATTTCTATGTGTTGGAATATTTTAAGTCCTCCATTCTAGCTATTTTGAAATATACAATACATTGTTGTTAACTATAGTCACCCTCCTCTGCTATCGAACATTAGAACTTATTACTTCTATCTAATTGTATGTTTGCACCCACTAACTAACCTCTCTTTCTCCCCCCCCACCCCCAGGCTTATTAATGACGAGGGTTATATAACGGCCAACAGCTTCCTCCACCATGCACTCCAAAGTGGGCCCATAAATTTTTCATCTCTCCAGGGTGTGGGGAAAAAAGGCACTCTCATTCATTACAGGTCGGGGTGTTAATTGGTACGACCACTTTGGAAGACAATTTGACAAATATCTATTAAATGTAAAATGCATATCCTCTTTGACCCAGAAATTCTCATTTTAGGAGTTTATCCTGCAATTATTCTAGAAATGTTCAAAAAGACATTTACAGATGGATAGTCAATGCAACCTTGTTTGTAAGTTTCATATGATGCTGAAGACATAACTTAAATATTATCAATAGGAGATTGGTTACACAAATTTTAGAACATCCACCTACAGCCATCAAAAAGAATAAAGAAGGTCTATACATTCCTTTTTTTTTTTTATTGAGACAGAGTCTCGCTTTGTTGCCTACCCTGGAGTGCAGTGGCGTGATCTCGGCTTACTGCAACATCTGCCTCCCAGGTTCAAGCAATTCTCCTGCCTCAGCCTCCCAAGTAGCTGGGATTACAGGCGCCTGCCACCACACCTGGCTAATTTTTGTATTTTTAGTAGAAATGGGGGTTTCACCATGATGGCCAGGCTGGTTTCGAACTCCTGACCTCAAGTGATCCACCCATCTCAGCCTCCCAAAATGCTGGGATTACAGATGTGAGCCACTGTGCCTGGCCAGGTCTATATGTTCTTATATTGAGCAGTACCAGAGATACCAAGTTAATAAAATAATGTACAGAACAATTTAATAATATGCTACTATTGATGTCAAAAGCTTGTGGGATGAAATATAGATATAATAATTATACACATATGCCAATGCATGCATGGATATCTCTGGAAGAACATGGAGGACACGGGTAACAACAGCTGCCCAGAATCATGTATCGGAAGGACTCTGGTTGAGAGGGCAGGGCTGGGGAATGGTTTGCCGCAGGGTTTGCCCAGCCATCAGACTGTCCTCGAGACTCAGGCTAATTTGAGGAGTGTGGGAATATGAGTAACAGAGGTCATGGAGAATCCTAACTTCTCCCAGTGCCACCTTCACCCACATGTCCACACCAGCCCCACAGGCACTTCCCGATGGATGAAATCTGGTTGTTTAAAAGGTGTGTGGGGCCTGGCATGGTGGCTCATGCCTGTAATCCCAGCACTTTGGGAGGCCGAGGCGGGTGGATCACCTGAGGTCGGGAGTTTGAGACCAGCTTGGCCAACATGGCAAAACCCTGTCTCTACCAAAAATACAAAAATTAGCCGGACGTGGTGGCGCATGCCTGAAATCCCAGCTACTTGGGAGGTGGAGGCAGAAGAATCGCTTGAACCCGGGAGGCGGAGGTTGCAGTGAGCTGAGATATCGCACCACTGCACTCCAGCTTGGGCAACAAGAGCCAAACTCCGTCTCAAAAAAAAAAAAAAAAAAGGGTGTGTGGCACCTCTGTCCACCAACTCTCTTTTGCTCTTCTGCTTCGGCTCTGGCCATGTGACACGCCTACTCCTGCTTCACCTTCTGCCATGAGTAAAACTTCCTGAGGCCTCCCAGAAGCTGAGCAGATGCTGGCGCCATGCTTTCTGTATAGCCTGCAGAACCATGAGCCTCAGGCTAATTTGAGAGGTTTGGGAATATGAGTAACAGAGATCATGGAGAATTCTAACTTCTCCCAGTGTTGCCTCTCACCGACATGACCACATCAGCCCCGCTAGGCACTCCGTTAATGGGTAGGAGGCTTGCTTGCTTGCTTGCTTGCTTTTTCTTTCTTTCTTTCTTTCCTTCTTTCTTTCTTTCTTTCTTTCTTTCTTTCTTTCTTTCTTTCTTTCTTTCTTTCCTTCTTTCTTTCTCTTTCTTTTTCTCTTTCTTTCTCTTTCTTTCTTTCTCTCTTTCTCTCTTTCCCTTCCTTCTTTTTCTTCTTTCTTTCTCTTTCTCTCTCTCTTTCCCTTCCTTCTTTTCTTTTCCTTCTTTCTTTCTTTTCTCTTTCTTTCTTTCCCTTCCTTCCTTTCTTTTCTTCCTTTCTTTCTCTTTGTTTCTTCCTTTCTCTTTCTCTCTTTCCCTTCCTTCTTGTCTTTTCTTTTCCTTCTTTCTTTCTTTTTTCTTTCTTCTTTCTTCTCCTCCTCCTCCTTCTTTTTCTTCTTCTTCTCTCTCTGACTCTCTCTCTGTCTCTCTCTCTTTCTTCTTTTTTTTTTTGAGATGGAGTCTGGCTCTGTTGCCCAGGCTGGAGTGCAGTGGTACAATCTCGGCTTACTGCAACCTCTGCCTCCCAGGTTCAAGCATTTCTCCTGCCTCAGCCTCCCGAGTAGCTGGGATTACAGGCGCCCGCACCACACCTGGCTAATTTTTGTATTTTTAGTAGAGACAGGGTTTCGCCATGTTGGCCAGGCTGGTCTAGAACTCCCAACCTCAGGTGATCCACCCACCTCAGCCTCCCAAAGTACTGGGATTACAGGCGTGAGACACCGTGCCCAGCCAGGAGGCTTATTTTCTTGATAAATTACCCAGTCTCAGGTATTTCTCTACAGCGATGCAAGAACAGCCTAATACATCCAGGCTCAGCATCAGTGGACCCAGGTGGGAGAGCTTAAGATGTCAAGGTCTGAATGCCGCTTCCACACACCTTTGGGACCTAGGTACTCCCTCTCTTTTTCTTTTTTCAGTAGAAGATGTTATCTTCTCCTTTCTCTGACCAGTAGTTGGTGATGGTTTCAGAGATAGTTTTTCAGTCAAGATATATTTCAGTGGCTTCACTGAGCCCAAGTTCCCTCGCCTCTCTAGGACTTTATTTCCTTGTTTCTAGAAGAGGGATAACACATATTTTCTAAGGTGGTTGTGAGATTAAGGGAGCTGGTACCGGGTGGTGCATAAGGACAGGATAGAGCAATGGTGAGACCACTCAAAAAGCGAAAAGTTGACCTGCGAGGGTGACACTTATCAAATCAGCACACAGTGGGAGTGGAAGGAATGTCCCTCATCAGTTACAATATTTGGAGAGTGCAAGTTATAGAAAACCCAGCCCTGGCCGGGCGCGGTGGGTCATGCCTATAATCCCAGCACTTTGG
The DNA here is from genome assembly GCF_000001405.40 of Homo sapiens. NCBI lineage: Eukaryota > Metazoa > Chordata > Mammalia > Primates > Hominidae > Homo > Homo sapiens. The sequence continues at coordinate 57,446,910 of NC_000011.10, read as the reverse complement.
GAGGCTGAGGCAGGTGGATCACGAGGTCAGGAGTTCAAGACCAGCCTGACCAACGTGGTGAAACCCCACCTCTACTAAAAATACAAAATTAGCTGGGCGTGGTGGTGTGTGCCTGTAATCTGAGCTACTCAGGAGGCTGAGGCACGAGAATCACTTGAAACCGGGAGGTGGAGTTTGCAGTGAGCCGAGATCGCACCACTGCACTCCAGCCTGGGCAACAGAGCGAGACTCCATCTCAAACGAAAAAAAAAAAAAGAAAGAAAACCCAGCTCTAACTGGCTTAAACAGTAAGAAGATCTATTATATTATCCATCTCAGGCAGCAGCAAGCCCAGAGGTAGGGGACTCCAAGGTTGGTTGATCCAGGGCTTAACGATGTCATCAAAGACCCAGGTTCTTTCTGTCTCGGCACCTCTGTCTGCAGGGCCAGCTTCATCCTAAGCCAGATTGTTCTTGTCTTGATTACAAGTTGGCTGCTGGGCCAGCAGACGCTGCCTGCCTCCCTGTTCATCTTCAGAAGTAGAAAGTGGCCCTTCCCCAGTCATGGAATGAAAGAGTTTCCTTTCTGTCTGGGATTGCTTAGGTCCACCCACCTGAAGCCAATGACTGTCACCAGGAAGGTAATATACACTGATTGTCTTAAGTCAGGGTTCCTGAGCCAGTCTTGGGCAAGGAGTGTGATACTGTCATGATTGTCTTGGGCTCATCAGGGCAGCTCTGCAGATGAGATCAAACTCCAAGCTACATTATTCTGAACAGTGGGAAGTAGGAAAGAGACATTTTGGGAGATACAAAACACAATGTCTATCCCATATCCCTAGGTCCAGGTCACAGTGTCTTGGTTGGACATCAAATGTAGAAAAAGAAAGACTGTCCATCCATTTATCTACCTATTCATCTGGTTTTTGATTTTTTTTAAATTTTATTTTAAGACAGTCTCACTCTGTCACCCAGACTGGAGTGCAGTGGTTTGATCATGGCTCATGGCAGCCTCAACCTCCCAGGCTCAAGTGACCCTCCCATGCTCAAGTGATCCTCCTACCTCAGCCTCCCAAGTAGCTAGAACTAAAGGTGCATGCCACCACGCTCAGTTAATTTTTGCATTTTTTGTAGAGATGGGGTTTCGTCATGATGCCCATGCTAGTCTGGAATTCCTGAACTCAAGCAATATGCCTGCCTTTGCCTCCCAAAATGCTGGGATTGTAGGCATGAGCCACTGCTCCTGGCTCATCTGTTTAATAATTTATGAAACAACTACTGGGTGCTGAGCACGGGGCCAGGGGCTGGAGATCTAGCAGGGACCAGGCAGATCTCTGCCAAGTCCTTGGTTTCTTAAAGGTTTTGCTCATAATTCCCCTTTTCTTTTCTCTTTCGTTTTTTTTCTTTTCTTTCTTTCTTTCTTTTTTTTTTTTTGAGACAGAGTCTCACTCTGTTACCCAGGCTGGAGTGCAGTGGTGCGATCTCAGCTCACTGCAACCTCTGCCTCCTGGGTTCAAGCGATTCTCCTGCCTCAGCCTCCCGAGTAGCTGGGACTACAGGCGCCTGCCACCATGCCCGGCTAATTTTTGTGTTTTTAGTAGAGACTGGGTTTCACCATATTGGCCAGGCTGGTCTTGAACTCCTGACCTTGTGATCCGCCCGCTTCGGCCTCCCACAGTGCTGGGATTACAGGCGTGAGCCACGGCGCCCAGCCAGTTTCCCTTTTCAATGAGGCCTCCCTGACCTCCATACTCTACTCCTCCACCTGGCCCACTCAGCTCTACTTTTTCTTCCCCATAGCACTCAAGACCTCCTAACATACTACATAAGTTATTTATTTACTAGGCTTACTGTGTATTGTCTGTCTTCCTCTACTAGAATGTAAACTCCATGAGAATAGAAATTTTTGCCTTTTTATTTAGTGTGGTGTCTGCAGCCCCTGGCTTAGTCCCTGGCATACAACAGTCACTCCACCCACAGTTGCTGAATAAGTGACTAAAGGTCCCTGCCCTCATATTGTTATGAGGGAGTGTGCATGTTGTTAGAGAAAAATCTGAGGCACAATAAAATTTTATAGAGTTTAAGTTTTCTTTTTTAAGCAATCCACGAATTGGGGTAGTTTCAGAGGTAGTTTTTCAGTCATGACGTATTTCAATGGCTTCACTGAGCCCAAGTTCTTTCACCTCTCTAGGACTTTATTTCCTTATTTCTAGAACGGGGATAACACATAGTTCATAAGGCAGTTATGAGAGTAAGGGAGCTGGTATGGGGTGATGCATAAGGACAGGATAGAGCAGTGGTGAGACCGCTCAGATGACAAAGCGTCAGAGACCAGTATTTACGACGGAAATGTGGAAGCATGATAAAGAAATTATTTGGGCTGGGCACAATGACTCACAACTAATAAAACTTTGGGAGGCCAAGGTGGGAGGATCACTTGACTTGCAGAAGGTCAAGGCTGCAGTGAGCTGTGATTTTGCCACTGCACTCCAGCCTGGTCAACAGAGTGAGACCCTGGCTCGAAACGTTATTTGATTGGTTACAGTTATACAGTTGCCTTATTTGGTCTATTCCATTTGAAAGTTCCTAGTTCTATAATTTTAAGTTTGTTGGCTGTTTCTGATTGGTTAAGCTTAAGTTTTGTTTTCCTTTAATACAGTTAAGTGCCCCATAATGACATTTTGGTCAAGGACAGACCACATATACAGTGGTAGTCCCATAAGATTATAATGGAGCTGAAACATTCCTATTGTCTATGGTGTAGTGGTCCTGATGTTGTAGCGCAATGCATTAGTTATATGTTTGTGGCAATGCTGGTGTAAACACACCTACTGCACTGCCAGTGATATAAAAGAATAGCACATACAGTTATATATAGTACATAATATCTGATAATGATAATACATAACTATATTACTGGTTTATATATTTACTATATTATTTATCTTTATTTTATTTTTGAGACAGAGTCTCATTCTGTCACCCAGGCTGGAGTGCAGTGGCGCGATCTTGGCTCACCGCAACCTCCGCTTCCTGGGTTCAAGTGATTCTCCTGCCTCAGTCTCCTGAGTAGCTGGGATTACAGGTGTGCACCATGACACCCTGCTAATATGTTTTGTATTTTTAGTAGAGATGGGGTTTCACCATGTTGGCCAGGCTGGTCTTGAACTACTGACCTCAAGTGATCACCCCGCCTCGGCTTCCCAAAGTGCTGGGATTACAGGCGTGAGCCACCACGCATGGCCTATTTATAATTATTTTAGAGTGTACGCCTTATACTTATAAAAAAAAGCTAACTGTCAAACAGCCTCGGGCAGGTCCTTCAACAGATATTCCAGAAGACATTGTTATCATAGGAGATGACAGCTCCGTGCATATTATTGTCCCTGAAAACCTTCTAGTGTGGAAGTGGAAGACAGTGATATTGATGATAGGACCCAGTGTAGGCCTAGGCTAATGTGTGTGTTTGTGTCTTTGCTTTTAACAAGAAAGTTTAAAAAGTTAAAATAAAATACAAAAATTTTTAAATAGAAAAAAGCTGCCCAGGAACAATGGCTCACACCTGTAATCCCACCATTCGGGGAGGCCAAGGTGGGTGGATTGCTTGAGCTCAGGAGTTCAAGACCAGCCTGGGCAACATGGTGAAACCCCATCTCTACAAAAAATACAAAAATTAGCCGGGTGTGGTGGCATGCGGCTATAGTTCCAGCTAATCGAGGGGCTGAGGTGGGAGGATCACTTGACCCCAGGTGGTTGAGGCTGCAGTGAGCAGTGATTGTGCCACTGCACTCCAGCTTGGGTGACAGAGTGAAACCCTGTCTCAAAAGAAAAAAAAATCTTAAAGAATAAGGATATAAAGAAAGAAAATATTTTTGTGTAGCTGTTCAATGTTTGTATTTCAAGCCAAGTGTTATTACAAAACAGTCAAAAGTTTTTAAAAATTTAAAAGTTTATAAAGTAAAAAAGCTAAGTAAGCTAGGGTTAATTTTTTTATCGAACAAAGAAAAATATCTTTGTATAAACTTAGTGTAGTCTAAGTGTACATTGTTTTTATTTTATTTATTTTTTATTTTTTTGAAATGGAGTTTCACTCTTGTTGCCCAGGCTGGAGTGCAATGGCATGATCTTGGCTCACGGCAAGCTCTGTCTCCTGGGTTCAAGCGATTCTCCTGCCTCAGCCTCCCAAGTAGCTGGGATTATAGGCACCCGCCACCATGCATGGCTAGTTTCTTTGCATTTTTTTTTTGAAATGGAATTTTGCTCTTTGACCCAGGCTGGAGTGCAATGGTGCAATCTGGGCTAAATGCAACCTCCACCTCCCAGGTTCAAGAGATTCTCCTGCCTCAGCCTCCTGAGTAGCTGGGATTACAGGCATGCACCACCACACTCGGCTAATTTTTGTATTTTTAGTAGAGACAGGGTTCTCAACTAAAGAGAACCATGTTGGCCAGGCTGGTCTAGAATTCCTGACCTCAGGTGATCCACCCACCTCGGCCTCCCAAAGTGCTGGGATTGCAGGCATGAGCCACCATGCCCAGCCAGTATACAGTGTTTATAAAGCCTCCAGTAGTGTACAGCAATGTCCTAGACCTTCACATTCACTTACTACTCACTCACTCACTCACCCAGAGCAACTGCCAGTCCTGCAAGCTGCATGCATGATAAGTGCCCTATATAGGTGAACCATTTTTTAATATTTTATACTATATTTTTACTGCACCTTTTCTATGATTAGCTACACAAATGCTTACCATTGTGTTACAACTGCCTACAGTAATCAGTACAGTACTATGTATGGGTTTGTAGCCTAGGCTATACCATGTTGCCTACGTGTGTAGTCGTCTATACTGTCTAGTTTGTACACTCTATCATGTTTGCATAAAGATAAAATCACCTAATGACACATTTCTCTGAGTGCATTCCTGTTGTTAAGCAACACATGTATAAACATTTACAAGAAATAGCTCAAATTTTTTTTTCTTTTGATACAGGGTCTTGCTTTGTCACCCAGGCTGGAGTGCAGTGGCGCAATCTCGGCACACTGCGACATCTACCTCCCCGGTTCAATCGATTCTCCGGCCTTAGCCTCCTGAGTAGTTAGGACTACAGGCACGCACCACCACGCCTGGCTAATTTTTTTGTATTTTTATTAAGAGATGGGGTTTTGCCATGTTGGCTAGGCTGGTCTCGAACTCCTGACCTCAGGTGATCTGCCCGCCTTGGCCTCCCAACATGCTGGGATTACAGGCATGAGCCACCATGCCCAGCCATTACGTTTTTTTGGTTGTTTAATTTTTTTTTTTTTAAGAGACAGATTCTCACTCTGTCATCAAGGCTGGAGTGCAATGGCACAACCATAGCTCACTGCAGCCTCCAACTCCTGGGCTCAAGGGACCCTCCTGCCTCAGCCTTCCCAGTAACTGAGACTACAGGTGTGAGCCACCATGCTCAGCTAATTATTTTTTATCTTTTATTTTTTGTAGAGGGGGGGTCTTTCTATGTTGCTCAGGTTTGTCTCAAACTCCTGGGCTCAATCAATTCTCCTGCTTTGGCCTCCCAAAGGGCTGGGATTACAGGTGTGAGCCTGAAAACCTTCTAGTGTGGAAGTGGAAGATAGGCCCAGGCCACTTATGTTTTCAAGTTAAGCAAGGTTTAGGTCACTTATGAAGCCTGACTAGTTTTGTTTGCTTAAGGGATCTGCAGGCCTGACCTCGGTTTTCATTTGTTTTAACAGTGTCTATGTGTATGTGTGTGTTTATGTACGTGCATGATGGGGGGAAAGCTCAGAAATCAAGTAAGCCAAACACAAACATGTAATTATAAGCAGGGATAAATTCTATGATGAAGAAGTATGGGCCACGGGAGAGTACTTGTGCCAGTCTGGTGATCAGGAACAATGTCCTTTGGGAAGTGACATTTGAGCCATGCCCTGAAGTATGGTAGGAGTTGGTTAGGGGTGAGGCAGTAAGACCCAGAGCTGGGGCTTCCTGCACAAGCTCAGCTGGGCACTGAGGACCCAGTGGACTCTGCTACAGGGCAGTGAGGAGCAGAAAGGCTGAGGAAGGCTGGGTGTGGTGGCTCACACTTGTAATCCCAGGGCTTTGAGAGGCTGATGGGGGAAAATCGGTAGAGCTCAGGAGTTTGAGACCAGCCTGAGCAACATAGCAAGACTCCATCCCTGTAAAAAGCTTTTAAAAATTAGCTGGGTGTGGTGGTATGCATCTGCAGTCTCAGCTACTCAAGAGGCTGGGGTAAGGATTGCTTGAGCCTAGGAGGTGGACGCTGCAGTGCGCCATGATTGTGCCACTGTACTCCAACCTAGGAGACAAAGCGAGATCCTGTCTCAAAACTGAATGAATAGGCTGTGTGCGGTGGCTCACTCCTGTAATCCCAGCACTTTTGGAGGCTGAGGTGGGTGGATCACCTGTGATTGGGAGTTTGAGACCAGCCTGGCCAATATGGTGAAACCCGATACAAAAATTAACTGGGCATGGTGGCTCACATCTGTAATTCCAGCTACTCGGGAGGCTGAGGCATGAGAATGTCTTGAACCCGGGGGGCAGAGGGTGCAGTGAGCTGAGATCGCACCACTGCACTCCAGCCTGGGAGACAGCGAGACTCCATCTCAAAAAAAAAATAATAATAATAACAATTAAAAAAAAATTAAAAGGCCAGGGAGCACTGGCAGCCTGTCCAAGGTTTCAGGTCACTTTAGTAAAGGGAGAACAATGGCTCCTCCCAGGACCTCTGGGATCTCAGCATTGATACGACAGTCATGGAAATGCTAGGGCCCAGGCAGACCATCTCAGGGAAAACAAGTGGCTCTGCCCTGCCTTGGCCACTTCCTGGCCCTCTGCATGCCCCAGGGTCTCAGCACCAAGCTGTTCTCAGTGAGTAGCTCTCATTTAGTGCCAGGGCTCTCGGGCTTACATCCTACGATGACGATGGAATGCATAAAGGATGGGGCTGTGATAGCCCAGAGCTAGGGGTTCGAATCTCATGAGATGTTCATGGAGCCCTGGGAGGGAGCTCAGTGCAAGTTCATTTCTCTTTTTTGGTTGAGATGGGGCTCAGAGGAGGAAGGACTTGTTCAAAGACACACAGGGAGTGTTTCAGTGTGGGACGGAGGTTTATGGAGAAAGGGTGACCATCCAAGGCTTGGACAAAGATCATGACTTCGACCAGCAAGCCTCAACTCTGTAGACTTGGTGGGGGCCAGGCCCTCCCAAACACACCTGACAGGTGTCTGTGGTCTTGGGGACATTGTCGCTCCCCTTCCTGCTGATGCTCTGCTGTCCCTCTCCCATGAAGCGTATCTCTTCGCCGTCTCCCATCCTTGCTGAGAGAGGATGGGTTCTCTTCTGACCAATACTGAAGATCTTTAGTAAAGTTCTCTTTTTTTTCATTTTCTGAAAGTCCCTCTCTTGAGAAATCAGGACAAGTGAGTCAGGGCCAGGACAAAAAACAGTGTGGGACGAGTGTGGTGGCTCACGCCTGTAATCCCAGCACTTTGGGAGGCCAAGGTGGCGGATCACTTGAGGTCATGAGTTTGAGACTAGCCTGGCCAACATGGTGAAACCTCGTCTCTACAAAATACAAAAATTAGCCAGGCGTGGTGGTGCATGCCTGTAATCCCAGCTATTCGGGAGGCTGAGGCAGGAGAATCACATGAACCCAGGAGGCGGAGGTTGCAGCGAGCTGAAATTGGGCCACTGCACTCTGGCCTCTTGGCAACAGAGCCAGACTACCTCTCAAAACAAAAACAAAAACAAACGACAAACAGTGTAGACTTTGTGTTTTTCTCAAAAGCACTGTCAAGCCAGTGCCCGCAGCAGTGGGCCTAGACACCTCCAGTCTTGCCTCAGGGTCAGTTTCCAGCCTCCCTGGACACTTCCCCCAGGTATGTGTACTTTTTGATTGTCCTAAATCCAGAGTCTGTGGCCTGACCTGGTTTGTCACAGCTCTCAGTCCCTCCCCATCCCGAATCCCAGGGAGCCGCAGGTGTGTGCAGAAGAGGCACACCACACTCAATACATCTTGCATCCTCGCTGGACCCAATCCATTGGCTTGGTGATGTACAGACTGAGCCTCATTATAGCCGTTCGTTCCTGTTGACCTTTCCAGATCAATCTGCCAGCTTGGCTTCTCCGAGTTTCGCTTGTCAGCATTTCTCCAATCCCATCATGTACTTTGGACCTCTTTGTTGGGTGGCTTGCTTTATCTGAAATTTTCAGATTTGACTTCAGGTCTCTCCTTTGTCCCTTAATATGGCTTAATGGTGGACCCTGTCAGGGGTAGAGAAAATATTGAGGAGCCCTGACTTTGAGGTGCACAAGTTAGAGGGTTAGACAAGTCCAGCCACAACCAGCCCAAGCTGCAGTGTAGGGAGGCCTGTCCAGCTGCTCCACGGTTGAGGGTGGAGCATACAGGAAGGCTTCCTTCTTGCTGCAGCCCAGGTGTTCTGGCTGCCCTAGCTGCCTGGCTTTGGTAGAAGAAAGAAAGGCTCTGTCTCTGACTTGTCAACTAATGGCACTATGAGATTGCACATAATTAACCTGGGTCTGCTCTTCCAAAAGCCTTGGGCCTCTGACTGCAACATGGAGTCTGGGTATCACTCCCCATCCCTGCGCCACTCACCTGCTCTGGCGCTAGGCGTGTGCCTAATCACTTAATTTCTCTGTGCTGCCTCTTAGGTATCACTTCCCCTGATCCCAAATACTTACCAGGTGTGGGATGATACCTGACTAGTTACTCCTTGGAGGTATCTGCTTCTCACCGGGGACTCCGAAACCAAACGAAAAGCAAGGCCAAGCCCAGCCTAAAGGACGCTTCCTACATGACTTCAGGCTTGCGGGGGCTGGAGCGTGGGGGTGGCAATGGAGTTGGGGGGGGCTCAGGGAGGGGATGTGGAAGTGCTTTGCTTTGCAAACTCTAGAGAGCCGTGTAAATAGGAGTGATTATTCTGTCCCTTCCCTTTCTTTCCAACAGGAATCAGCATCCCACAGCCCATGTTCAGCTATGAAGAATGGAAACTGAGGCTCCGGGAGGGGTATAGGGAGGAGCCAGCAGGGTCTTGAGTTCATATTAGTGCCCTTTCCTCCATAGGCACATCTGTGTTTTCTTTTATTTTATTTTGAATTTAATTTTTTTTTTTTTTGGCAGAGTCTTGCTCTGTCGCCCAGGCTGGAGTGCAGTGGCGCGGTCTCAGTTCACTGCAATCTCCGCCTCCTGGGTTCAAGTGATTCTCCTGCCTCAGCCTCCCGAGTAGCTGGGATTACAGGTGTACACCACCACACCCAGCTGATTTTTGCAATTTTAGTAGAGACAGGGTTTCACAGTGTTGGCCAGGCTTGTCTTGAAATCCTGACCTCAAGTGATCTGCTAGCCTCGGCCTCCCAAAGTGCTGGTATTATAGGTGTGAGCCACTGCGCTCGGCCACATCTGTGTTTTAAATGAGAGGAAAGGGGATAATGTGCATTTTGTGGAAGCTTGGGCCGTTTGTGTCTAGGACTCTTATGATCTTCATAAGTTTTCCCCCAGGGAGGACACTGTTCCACTTAGGGAGTCAGGACCCCCAGTCCTTACAAGATTCAGCCTCTCAAAATGGAGACAGCAGTTCCAGGCCTGGGCTGGGTTCTGTTCACACTAGGAGAGGGCAAGTGAGTGGTGTTTGGGATGTGGGGAAGTATTATGAAAACAGAGATGCTCCAATTCCTAGTGATAGGAAACCATTAAGCTACTTGGCATCTTAAAACCAAGAGCGGTTCAAGTTCTGAGATTGTTAACACACCTTACAACACCGCCGCCGTTATTAGGAAGAAGCTCTGTTTGATGACGTCCCACACTGTGGGTACCTTTATGAACAGGAATTTGCTTTTTCAAATCCCAGAGAAGTAAGATTAAAGTTGGCTGTTCTCCATCCTTGAAAAATTTGGTTTTAGGGTGAATTCAAGAATGACTGACCATACAGAATGGGGAGCAAACTTGGGAAGAAAGAAGGCACAGTTCAGAGCTCTCCCAATAGTCACCCCTGAACTGCACCCGGACCATCAGTTATCTCTGTGGGTAGAGCTCAGGAATCTAAAATCCATTTTAAAATTAAAGTATATCGGGGCTGGGCGCGGTGGCTCATGCCTGTAATCCCAGCACTTTGGGAGGCCGAGGTGGGAGGATCACGAGGTCAGGAGTTTGAGACCAGCCTGGCCACATGGTGAAACCCCGTCTCTACTAACAATACAAAAATTAGCCAGGCATGGTGGCAGACACCTGTAGTCCCAGCTATTCGGAAGGCTGAGTCAGAAGAATTGCTTGAACCTGGGAGGCAGAGGTTGCAGTAAGCCAAGATTGTGCCACTGCACTCCAGCCTGGGCAACAGAGGGAGACTCTGTCTCAAAAAAAAAAAAAAAAAAATTAAAGTATGTCATACATACTGTTACAGGCACAGACCTTAAGCGTACAGCCCAGTGAAATTTTACACATCTATACAGCTATATAACTACCACCTATATCAAGACACATTCCAGGAACTCAGACTCCATCATACCCCTCCTCAGCAGAGGTAACAGACCCACACCTCTCCTGCTCCGGTGGTAATTAACCACTATTCTAACTTTTCTATCAATTAGTTTTGCCCATTCTTGAGCTTCACACAGATATACATTGTCAGGCATGATGACTCATGCCTGTAATCTCAGCACTTTGGGAGGCCGAGACGGGAGTATCACTTGAGCCCAGGAGTTGGAGACTACTCTGGACAACATAGTGAGACCCCCGACTCTACAAAAAAAATAAATTAGCTGGTCATGGTGGTGCGTGCCTGTAGTCTTAGCTATTTGAGACGCTGAGAGAGGAGAATCTCTTGAGCCTGGGAGGTTGAGGCTGAAGTGAGCCGTGATTGCACCACTGCACTGCAGCCTAGGTGACAGAGTGAGATTCTGCCTCAAAAAAGAAAAAATATGGCCGGGCGCGGTGGCTCAAGCCTGTAATCCCAGCACTTTGGGAGGCCAAGGCGGGCGGATCACGAGGTCAGGAGATGGAGACCATCCTGGCTAACACGGTGAAACCCTGTCTCTACTAAAAATACAAAAAAAGAAAGAAAAAAAAATTAGCCAGGCATGGTGGCGGGCTCTTGTAGTCCCAGTTACTTGGGAGGCTGAGGCAAGAGAATGGTGTGAACCCGGGAGGCAGAGCTTGCAGTGAGCCGAGATCGCACCATTGCACTCCAGCCTGGGCGACAGAGTAAGACTCTGTCTCAAAAAAAAAAAGGAAAAAGAAAAAATATATATACATTGTGTACTTTTTGGCATCTGGTTTATTTTGCTCAATATCACATCTGCGAAATTAATCTACACTGTGTGTATGAAAGGTTGGTTCTTTTTGTTGTGATGCAGTATTCCGTCGTGTGACTACGGGACAATTTGCTTATCCGTATTCCTATCGGTGGGCATTTGGGCTGTTACCAGGTTCTGGCTGTTATGAATAAAGTTGCTATGGATATTCTTGTACACTACTTCTGGTGAGCGTATGCACTCATTTCGCTTATGTAAATATCTTGGGTGGAATTACCTGATCATAAGGTAGGTGTGTTGGCTTTGTAATGTGCTGACTTGGTTATGTTGAATTCCCTTTTTTGTGTATTTCTGGTTAGAGCGGAACATGAGGGTGTCTCTTCAGGGAATCTGGAGGGTGGAAGGGAAGCAGGAGTCGGTTTCTGGCTCACACATGTTGTGACTGAACTGCTGGTACACCTGGTTGGCATGGAGCTGGCTTCTCCTTTGGCGTTGCCTACTGTTGGGGCAGGTGTGTATGTGGTTAGCTCCATGCAATGAACCCGGGCTTCTGCAAAATACATTAACAACGACAGAGACAACAAAAGCTGATGTGGATTTAAAGGCTTCAGTTCATCCTCATGGGGTTCCAGTTCATACTTATGGGGCTCAGTTTGCTCTGTCTTGCCCACTTTATATCCATCTTCCTTTCCCAGTTGCCTGACCTGTGGAATTCAACTGCAACATGACATGCAAAGATAATAGCCTTACAAGATTGCTTAACTACCTCCTACAATTGAGTAAGGCCAAATCCCTGTAGCAATCCACAGAGAGAGTGGTTCCACATCCCTGGTTGAACTTGGCTGATTCATTAAGTGTTTGTTTAACTTATTTCGAAACTGCCAGACACTTTTCCAAAGTGGTTCTTACTGCTTACTCCCTCCAGTTGTTCTGCGTCCAAGCTCCACCTTGATATTTTCATTCTTTTAAATTTTACCCATTCCGGTGGGTGGATATACCTGATTTTTAAACAAGCTCTCCTTCAGCTTGTTATGAAAGCGAATGGGTAAGAAACTAGTCTGTGGAAAGACTTTAGTGCTTAAAGGATGCCAGTTTGATTTTCAATGATATCTTCACCACTTACTGGCTGTATGATCTTAGTTGACTTTTTATCTCTCTAGGCTTCAGTTTTTTCATCTATGAAATGAATTATTAATCATCGCTAACAAGTATTGACTGCTTACCAGATGGCAGACACTGTTCTGAGCACTTTATGTGTATTCCCTCATTGAATCCTCTTGACAGATGTTGAGGTGGGTGCTATTATTATCCCCAATTCAGAGAAGGGGAAACTGACTTAGGTAATCTGCCCGAGGTTGCAGAGCTTATAAGTAACAGAGCCAGGATTCAAACCCAGACGGTCTGGCTTCCAAGTCCATGTTTTTACCATCTCTGTCCCTCCATTATAAGGAAGCATGAGGATACAGTGACAACACAGAAGTGAATTCTCTGCAAAGGGCAACACAACTAGTATGTATTGATTATTCCTCTTCAGTGGGTCTCAATGGGAAATTGCCTTTCAGTTCTATTAAATACGCAGAAATTAATCTAAGCAAACAAGGAAACAAAAAGCCTTCCACAATCATGATAAATGCAGCCAGAAAGGTAAGATCTTCATAGGATCCAGAAAAATCCAGCACTGTCCAAAGGAGAGGACACCCAGATGGCTCCCTGCCTTGGATATTCTGATCCTTGGCAGGATGGAGGCTTTATAGAGGTATGTCAAGCTTCACCTATGTGTCAATCCATCAACTCCCTTCCCTCTGACTTTGTACTCAACAAAGAACCTTCTGGTATTGATTTCCTTTCCCAAAAGCCTGTCCTTCCTGAAAGAGATTGTGCTGACCAGTCAGCCTTAGGATTCCCATCTGCTGGGTGGTTTCATTTCTCAGTGTTAATTAATAAATTGCATTTCAGGTTTATCAATCAGTCTCTTATGAGTTTGTTTAGTGTGGGTCATTTCCCCTATACTTAATCACAACAACTAAGCTCCCAGGGAGGGGTAGGGGAGGGAACACCATTGGAGTAGTATAACAGAGATGTCCAAAGAATGGTATGAAAAGATATACTATCAGGCTGAAGAGGACACAGAGAGGACTTCTGTATGGGGAAGGGAACATCAAGACAGGATTCCTGGAGGCAGATCACATTGGCACAGGAAAAGAGGTACTTCAGCATAATGGTGAAAACATGGGCTCTGGATACTGGGAAGTCTATCTCTTCCCATTTACTGGCTGAGTGACTTGGCCAAGTTACTTCATCTCTTGAGGCCTCAGTTTCTTCATCTTTAAAGTTGGCATAATGATAGTACCTCCGCCTCCTTATGGGGTGGCTGTGGGCATCAAATAATAATATATATTACATATAGCTCTTAGCCCAATGCCTGTCCCAAAAGCAGCACTCAGTAAATGACTGTCATTACTGTTGTCATTATTAATACCCAAAAGGGTGCTTTCATTGAGAATTCTAGAAAGGCACACATTTGAGGCCTGCTGCCTCCCTGATGCCCCTGAGGCAATTTTGTCTTAAAAGGAATAAGGATTGAGTCTGTGTTTGCTTTAAGACCTGGAGGGCAGAATGCTTTTTGCAGATAGGGCTCTTTCCTTGAGAGTGGTCACAGCCCATCTTGCGGTTTTGCAGCCCACGAGGAGAGCTGCATGTACAATCTATAAGAACCCATCAGCCCCGGGAACTTCCGTGGTTTCTGAGTCACTCTCAGGCCACTTCAGCTTCCAAGCAGAGGCTCCCAGGGCGGACTCACCATATAGGCCTTTTCTGCCCTCTCCCGTGCAGCATCTGGAGGAACATTGCAGCACCCCACGACAGATCCCTGCTTAATGTCAGCCTCTGTACAGAGTCCCAGCATTTCAGCAAGTCAGGGCTAAGAGAGGTTCAGCACTCGCTTCACAGAGGTAGGAATGGAGGCCCCAAGAGAGAAAGGTGCCCGGGGCAGCCCACCCAGGGGGCTCCAGAGCCAGGACTGGACCCTGGGTCTCCCACTTCCTTGTCCAGTGCTCTGTCTACAGTCCGCAGTGGAGCCTTCCCTAATTTCACCACAGACTTGCTTCTGGTCTAATGCCATGCCTTGAGTATCATCTGGGGTTCCCATCCTACATGTGCTCTCCTGGCAAGTGGAGGTTCCCCTCCACCCCAGCTTCTCCTTCTCCCTCCAGCTAATCCCTACCCACTTCCCCATCCTCCAGCACCATGGAAACTGTTCCAGTCTCTTCCGGCTTCCCTTTGCCTTTTTCCACAACAAAAGTCCAGTGTTCAATCGGCCCCAGCAGTTTCCTGCTCTTTTCATCTTTGGGGTGTTGGGCAAAGCTCTCAATGTGAAAAACCCCGTTGTTTTCACTCAGGAGTCGTCTCCTTCTCCTGGATCCATTTCCTCTTTTCATGATCATGCGTGTGGGTGGGTGTGGTGTCTGTGTGAGCAGGGCAGGGAGACACAGAATCACAGAGAGGCAGCACTACTCTCTTGTTTTAATCAAGGGTGCTGTCTGAAAGAATTACCCATCTTCATTCCTATTAGTAATAACTGGTACCCCCATCAACCCGATTCCAGAACTCATGCTCTGTGTAGCTCTTGGGAAGCCTCCCAGGAAGGCTGGGTAGGGCACAGATTAAGAGCATCAGCTGGCTGGGCATGGTGGCTCACGCCTGTAATCCTAGCACTTTGTGGGGCCAAGGCAGGCAGAACACTTGAGCCCAGGAGTTTGAGACCAGTCTGGCCAACATGGCGAAACCCCATCTCTACAAAAAATGCAAAAAAATTAGCTGGGCATGGTGGTGCACGCCTGTAATCCCAGCTACTCGGGAGGCTGAGGCAGGAGAATCACTTGAACCTGGGAAGTGGAGGCTGCAGTGAACTGAGATCACACCATTTCACTCCAGCCTTGGTGACAGAGTGAGATGCTGTCTCAAAAAAAAAAAAAAAAAAAAAAAAAAAAGCATTAGTTTCAGTCAGAGCATCAGGTTTCTATCCCAGTCCTGACACTGCTACCTGGTGATGTTGGGGGAGTTGCTTCGTCCCTCTAGGCCTCAGTTGGCCCAGATAATAGATGCTAATAACAACACCTATCGTGAGATTCAGTGACAGATTAAGCAAAAAGCGCTTCGAATCAGATACATAGTCAGTGCTCAGTGCCCAGCAGGTATTATTGATATTCCTTATTTTTCTTCTCAGGGGTAGGACGTGCCTCCATGTTGACACAGTGTTCCCCAGCCTAGTCCTTAGAGTTGCAGGTTTAGATATTGTCAGTGCACTGAGGCATTCCTTTCTAGCAAAGTCTATCGGGAAGTGCAGTTACCAGTAAACAGTTGCTTGATGAACATAGAAGTGGAGCTGGGGCTTGGGAGGGTGGGTAGCAGTAGCCTCATAAGCCCTGGTGTGGTGGGGCTTGGGGCTCTGCTTTCTCTTAGGCCTGGCCCAGTGCTTCCAGTATCTGGTCTGGTGGGGGAGCTCTGTTTTCTGCATGGTGAAAGGGAGGCTGATCCAGGCTGATCCTCTGCTGCCTCTAGCATCCACTGAAGCTGAGCTGGCTGCTCTGAGGGGCCAGAGTGGCCCCCACCCTCCAGTGCCTCTTTGGGTATCCTTTCAGATTCACCTCTGTTAAAGAGAAAGGTCTCCCCAGAGCAAGGAGGCCTCATATTTACTTGGCTATGTAGTAGTTCCCCACCCTCCTGAGAACTGCTTTGAACACACTAGGAGATACCCTGAAGAGCCAGCTCTAAGACTCCATCCCCTTCCTGTCTACTGTGGCTCATGAACAGACTTCCCACAGCTTACAGGACAATCCAAGCCCCTGCCTTAAGCCCAGACAGTCTTGGGGGGTTGTACTGAGTGCATTTGGGTGTCATCTAGAGATCAGTTCTCTAGGGTGGGACTTCTTAAGCAAGGTAAACTGAGCTCACCCATTACTTAGTGGTTTTCCCCCTAATTTATTTCTTTTTTAGGTTAGGAACACTTTGAAATTCTCCCTAAATGTGACTTTATTTCCTCTTTGTTTTCCAGTAAGTCAATAATATTTGTTAACAACAGTAGCTGCTATTTATTAATAGTGTACTAATTGGGCAGTTTTCATACATTATCTTTAATCCATACAGCTCGATTCCAATTTTATAGATGAGGAGACGGAAGCTCAGAGATACCAGTAATTGGCTCGATAGCAGTGTGCTTGTATTATTTTTGGCACTGCCTCAAGAGGATTAGAATTTTCTCTGCAGGTGAAATGATGTTTGCATTTACCTTTTGCTTTCTGACTTCCAAAACAGGCTGTAGAAACCCCTTTCAAGACCGTAGGTGGAAAACCAAACATTTTAATTTACATGAGCCCATTGTGAAAGGAAAGCTTATGTTTGTTTGTTTATGTGTTTGGCGTATCCGAAATCAAAGCCCTTTATGTGAATGGCTCAGAGTTTATCTACATATACAAATTTAGAAAGTGATGTCAGAGGGTAGGAGAGAATATCTGGACTCTGCCCAGAGAGTGGCAATTGCCCTCGCTGAGGTTGTTCAGAGGAAGTTTGAGGAGAGAGGTCTGTGGACAGGCAGGGACTGCATTGGAAGGTGGTGCTCTTGAGGACTAGAGGATACTAGCCATTGTTTGTGCCAGGGGAATGATGGAGTGCAGCTCACTTATACTGCCCTCTTTGGCAAACCCTCTTTCCCTAACCTAAACATATCCATCTTCCCACTCTGTCCATAAAAACATCCATAGGGTGGATCCTGGATATCCAGACTTGCTGATGATGGGAAGGAAAACCACCTCCAGCATTGGTACTTGGGCAGTAGGATGCAGGAGATCCAGTTCTATGCTCCCTCTTCCCCTCAAAGCAATGTCTCATGGCTGGCATCCCCAGACCCTGGACTGGTCCTTACCAGCCAGTTGACTGGACCTCAGAAGGGTTTTGAGCAGTTAAGTGAAGCCATCCAGTGGGAACCATGGAAATAAACTCTTGCAGGAGAATGGCGATGGCTTGGAAGCAGATGATGCCTCTGTGAGAGATGATGAGTGTCTGCATAGAGCAGTGGCCACGGATAGATAGGAGAGATATTAAGGGGTGAAATCAATAGGACATGATTGATTGATGTGGGCTGAATTCTTAATGCCCTCACTTAGATGGCGACGCTGGCCTCAAATCTTTCCACTTTCTTCACCACCCTGTGCTCTAGCTGGTTCCTAAATGTTATTGTTTTGTTGAGGTTCCGTGCCTTTCAATGTGCTGTGCTAGCATCTGCCTGGAAGACCATTCCCACACTCCAGAAATCTTGGGTTTCTTTGTCTGTCTCTCCCACAAGAGAATGAGCCCCTTGAGAGCAGGCACTGAATCTCTTCTCTACGAATCCCGGCACTTGGCACAGAGCCTGAGGTACCACATGTATTTGTTGAACCAATCAGTCAATTAAAAAAAAAAAGGTGTGAGATGATGAGGAAGGAGGCGAAGAGAAAAGGATGAAGACATCGGGTGCACCGTCAGACCTTATTATAATCACTTCTCTCTCTGATGTTACTCATTAATCCTCATTGGAGCCACGCAGGAGAGTGATCAGAATAGCATCTGCCTTTTCTAGCTGCTGGAATTCGAACCAAAGAACATGGGAATGGTTCAGAGGATATTCTAATTTCCTGTCCCATCAGTTCAGTAAGACTTGTGTTAGTGGAGGCCACGTCTTCTGCAGACATTGATGGGAGATGTGGAGTGGAGGCTCTAAGAGTCAAGAGAGGTAACAAGATAAGGTGGACAGAACCCTGGACGACCTGCCCCGTGTCCCGTGCTTCAGTCCTGGATGTACAGATAGCCCATGAGCTAGATCTTTCTGGCAGGCTCCTGCAGATTAACATTCTAAAATCTGTCTCTTTACTTTGACTTTTTTCTGTTTCTCCCTTGCTACTTCCACACTTACTGATCCCCCCAGGAGACTAAAATGTATGCCAGAGCAGAAGATAGGGCATGCATTAATTTCAGAGTCTTTGTGTCTTGCAGTAAAATAGAAAATCTTGCATCTTAAGCCCTGTTTGTCCTGGGATGCTATATTTTTGTGGATTTTCTCCCATAAATAATGTTATTTTAAGAAAAGACTTGTTTTCTCTAATGTCCAAATGTTTGTTAAGACGGGGTGATGAGAGCATACGTTTCAGAGTTGGGAAGGTACTGCAGCTTTGTAGAATGACCGTGGGCAAGTTCCTTTGAAATTCCTCCCCAGAGCTGCTTCTCTGGCTCTGTCTACATAACTGCAGACTAGAAAATCTACTACCCTACAATCTGCCTATAGCACCTGCGCCATGCAGGGACCTCATACACCCATCTTATACTTCTTTTATGACAATTCCTATAATTAAGGTACTATTGTCCTCGTCTTACAGGTGGGGCAGCCAAAGAGCTTGCCTCAGGTTGTATAACTAGTGAGTAGCTTGGGGTACAGGACCCCAGCCACCCTTCCTCCATTCAGTCAAGTCACTAGGGTGGTTGCAGACTTTTATCTTTTGTGCTTTGGTGGTGAGCTGGAAAATCCTCAGTTCTGGCTGTCCCCTATCGTAACCTCTATTTCTTCCTCTTAAAAAAAAGAGGAGTGGGCTTGGAATAGCTGGAGTTCCTGGGCCCTCAGGGGATCCAGGTAGCTGGGGTTGGGAGTCTGCAGACTGCATCTAATACGCAAGAAGCTCTCCCCAAACTGAGCTTTTGGCAAGGAAACGGCCACACAGGCCAAAGAAGACGTCAGCTCACGTGCTCTGGGCTGGAAGGATAGTAAGGCAGCTGCTTAGTAAGGCCTCACGCTGATCACAAGCTCCGATGAGCAATTATATATGTCTTTGATTAATAAAAAATGGGGCAATGAATGGTTAATCAATGCAGTCTGGCGGGAAGGCTCTTTCAGAACCTGGGGGGCGGGGGTGAGGCAGGGAGTCATCTAAGGGGTTTTTGGGAGTGAAAATATGGGGCAGTCCTCCAGGGGATGGTTTCTGAAAAGCCCTCAGTCCTGGTTCTTGGCTTCCTGATTCTGTGGTTGGGATTTTTTTGGCAGCTCTGGGAGTGTGAAACTGGGAGAGACGGTTAAGCTGGTGAGCAAATAGGAAAAATATGTTCCCTGCCAACCCAGCGGTCAAGGCAAAATGCACAAATAGAGTGTGTGTGTCCCTATGCCCTCATGTGCTGTCTGTGTGTCCTCTGGGTGCTGGGTGTGACATTTTCCCTAGGTGGGCCTGAGCGAGTAACAGCATTCAACTAACTTGGTTAGGGGAGGCAGAGGCAAGGGGGCTGGGAGGCTGAAAGGCAGCGAGGAGGGAGGGAAAGACACCGCTGGGGTTCTAGGGGGTTCTAGAGGGAGAAGTTTCAAGAGGGAGAGGTAAAAAGGGCGCGGGAGGCTGTGAGCAAGGGAAAAGAAGAAGGAAGTGATGGAGAGTGGGAGGTCTGCCCCAGCCCCTTCCGGGCGGGCAGGAGGGGGCGGAGGCGAGCAGGGGACTGGGAGGGGCTGCGAGAGGCGCGAATGCGAACCTGGCCCGTGCGGAAAGGGCGCGGAGAGCCCCGGCGCGGAGCAGGCGGGTAGGGCGAAGGGTCCCCTTTCGGGCGCCATGGGGCGCCGAGCGCGGCCTGGCCCCTCGGGCTCCTCTGCGGGGAGGGCAGGCCGCAGGCTGGAGCGGGGTGCGGAGGCTGGCGGGGAGCGGCCCCCGGAGGCTTTCCTGGTAGAAGTTGATGCGAGGAAGGGCGGCGGGGACCAGGTTTGCGAGTCCTAGGCGAGGGTCATGGGAGTTGGGGGTATTTCTGGCAGTAGAATGGCCTGCGTCGTGACTAAACTAGCCCTGTGACCTTGGGCAAGTTCCTGAAATCCATGGGAGCTTTTGTTTCATTGTCAGTAAACTGAAGATAACACCAACTTGGCAGCGGGAGTTTGTGTCTTCTGTATGAAATCTCCCTGCCTCTGCACCTGGTTGAGTTGCTGTCATTATTTTAGGGGACGGTATTCAGAATTCGAGCGCAGGAGCTCCGCTTCTCCACCTGCTCCCGGGGAGCTATTGGGTAAGTCGTTTATCTCACCTGTGACTCCAGGTGGCCATCAAGACCTGCCTCTCTACTTGCCACGTGGTTACTCAAATGCAGTGCCTAAGATGATGTATTGGAGTATTTATTCCCCACATTTGCTGCCAGCGGCCATGATCATCCTGCCTCTTAATGCACCTCACAAATAACTCTAGTCTACCTTTCCCTTTCCCGCAGGCCTCCTCTTCCAGCAGCCTCTATCTTTATTCTACAGGATCCAGAGAATCACCCGCTGATGGTTTTTGCCCAGGCCTGAAACAACCAGAGAGCTACGGGAAAGGAAGGGCTTGGCTTGCCAGAGGAATTTTCCAAGTGCTCAAACGCCAGGCTTACGGCGCCTGTGATCCGTCCAGGAGGACAAAGTGGGATTTGAAGATCCACTCCACTTCTGCTCATGGCGGGCCAGGGCCTGCCCCTGCACGTGGCCACACTGCTGACTGGGCTGCTGGAATGCCTGGGCTTTGCTGGCGTCCTCTTTGGCTGGCCTTCACTAGTGTTTGTCTTCAAGAATGAAGATTACTTTAAGGATCTGTGTGGACCAGATGCTGGGCCGATTGGCAATGCCACAGGGCAGGCTGGTAAGGGCAGGGATGACTTTTCTAAGGAAGTTAAGTCTGGCTCCCACGTGGTGGCAAGGAGCAGGAAGGACTCTGCCCCCTGCCCACCCCTCTTTCTATGATGAGAGGAAGGGTCAGCAGCTCTCACCCCACTTGATCTGGGAAGTGCCTGGGAGGGAGGCACCAGCTCCTGAGGGGTAATTAGGGGCAGCCACATTTCAACTCAGCTTAAGGGACAAGTTTGCGACCGACAAGCTGTCTGAGGTGGAGGGGAGCCCAGCCTGTGTGCTCATTTGGCAGGAAGGCTGGGATGCATGGGAGACCTTTTTTCTACTCCAGACTGCAAAGCCCAGGATGAGAGGTTCTCACTCATCTTCACCCTGGGGTCCTTCATGAACAACTTCATGACATTCCCCACTGGCTACATCTTTGACCGGTTCAAGACCACCGTGGCACGCCTCATAGCCATGTAAGTCCCAAAGGCCAGCCCAGGCAAAGGTGGGTAAGAGGAATCCTTCAGGCAGCAGCCTAGCTTGGAGTGAAATCCAGAGTCAGACAGCCCGGCCACCCTGCCAGGCACCACACCTGCAGCTCGCTCCCAGCAGCTGTTAGGAACAGCCCCAGGCAGCGGGACTCTCTCTAGACTTGCCCACTTCACCACAGCCCCACTTCCATTTCCTTACCTCGTTCCCTGCTCTGCATAAATGTGGCTTCCCTATCACGTGCTGAATTGAGCCGGAGGCCAGGGTGACTTCCTGTAAGGGCTGGCTTGGAGCCAGGGTTACAAAATTAGCAAAACCTAAAATTGCTCTTCTCTTCCTTCACCCCAAGGATCCTTGTCCTCATCCCCTGCACAGCCTCACATCCAGGTTGCCCAGGCTTCATCCTCATCCTCCTCACCGCCCCCCCTCCCCGCCCCAACAGCCAATCACTCCCTAGGGGCTTAGCTAATAGGAAGTTTCTTTGGTATTGCCACTGGTGGAATTTCAGGTCCCTTCTGACTGGAGGGGAGACTGGGGGGGTTTCCTGTGCAGATGAGTCAGAAGGTTCGGGACGTGATCTCACACACAGTGTGTTGCTGCATCCTAATCTCGTGCTCTGTGGCCAGGCTCAGTGGTAATCAGCGGCCTGCTGGGGGCTGATACAGCTCAGAGCAGGTGCTCCCAGGGAGGCACATGTGAGATTGGCTGTCAGAGAGAGAGACGGGAGGGCTGGCTGGGCCTGCCTTTCCGGAAACAGCCAGAGTAAAGCCAGTCCCTTACAATTTAAGCCTTTGGATGCAGAATGACTGTACCTCAGTCCTTCTTGGTCCTTGGCTCCCTGCTACCTCCCCTTTCCTCCCCTTCCTTTGTCCCCTCCCTCTTCTCCAGCCTTAGGATATTGCTTTTTTTTTTTTACTCCATGCCTTACAAGACCCCCAAATGCTAAGGGAGCCTGATAACCTTGGGACTGTAGTCCTGAAATCATAGCACTCTGAGCTAGATCAGTCCGATCATTTCTTTTTATAGAAAAGGCTCCTGAGGCCCAGAGAAGGACAGCGCCTTGCCCAAGGTCACAGAGTGAGGAGGAGTTAGAACTCAAGGCCTTGATTTGCAGACCAGGCACTAACCCCTTTCTCCAAGGGGTTGGGCTGTTGGGGCTTCCAGGTGGGAGGACCTTCGCTTTGCCCATTCTGTCCTGGCTAAGTCCCAAGCCAATCACATCGTCAGCTGAGCTCATTGTCCAAGACTTTCCATGCTAGCCTTGGGCCTCAGAATGAGCAAAATGCACTGTCCATGAGGTCAGGACCACATCTCAATCTCATCGCGGCTTCTTGCGCCTGGTTTTGAGCCTGGGGCTCAGAGGCATCAGTGCCCGTTGCATCCCAGGCTGAGGGTGCGGTCAAGTCCTACACTTGTGGGCTGGCTGAGCAGAATCATGTTTTTTCTCCCAGGTTTCTCCCTCCTTGACAATATTCTGCTTTTCCTGTTATGTGTTTCAGATTTTTCTACACCACCGCCACACTCATCATAGCCTTCACCTCTGCAGGTGAGTGCTGTCAGGTGGGTGGGAGGGATGCAAGCTCAGAGGCACCTGGTGGCTGGGGCAGGTGTGAGCAGAGGGCTATAGGCAAGATATACAGACCACATGGTTATTCAGAGATCTGCAGCTTGAAAGAATCCTGGAAGGATCTTGAGCTATTGCTGGTCTGTGAAAACAGTTTATTGAGAAAATGTGAAAAGCAAGGATGATGGAGAGGGATTACTTCAGAGAGTAGAATTTATTCAAAACTTTACATCTGGCCAGGTGCAGTGGCTCACTCCTGTAATCCCAGCACTTTGGGAGGCTGAGGCGGGTGGATCATCTGAGGTCAGGAGTTCAAGACCAGCCTGGCCAACATGGTGAAATCCCTTCTCTACTAAAAAAAATACAAAAATTAGCTGGATGGTGGTGCGCGCCTGTAATCCCAGCCACTCAGGAGGCTGAGGCAGGAGAATTGCCTGAACCCAGGAGGCAGAGGTTGCAGTGAGCCAAGATCACACCATTGCACTCCAGCCTGGGTGACAAAGTGAGACTCTACCAAAAAACAAACAAAAAACCCTAAAAAACAAAACAACAACAAAAAACCTTTACATCCTTCTCCTATGTGTTAAAATGTTCTCTTTCTCTTTTTAATGAAATGATTATATGAATGACCATTTTGCAAATATCCTTACTTAGCAGGGTAAAAGTTGACAACCCTATTGTACTCAAAATCTTTGTTTTAAAATTTCACCAGTCTGTTAAGTCTGGAACTCCAATCTGGTTTATTTTCCACCACCCTTCCACCCATTACACAGAGGAGAAACTGAAGCCACAGCAGGACCCCTTGCAAAGACATGTCCATGGCCACAGAGAAAGCAAGTGGGAGGTGGGCCTGATGTGCAGGCCTCCTGATCCCTCACTCTTCTTTCTGTCATTGCCTTGGTTATGGTGGCCACGAGATGCCTCCCAATATTCCTTCCTAGTGTTAGACCCGTGGCTCAATTTTTGGTTTAGGAAAGAAAGTACATTACTCTTGTGTGTGTAAGCTATGCTAAAGCTGACAGCATCATGAGATTGTCTGCACTCATGCTGGGCAAACACAGAGGCTGAGTGTCTTTGTTCACACAGATCTCATGAGATGGCCCAGCACCTCAAACCAATTATTTCAAACCACTCTCCTTATCAAACCAGCATCATCTACTCTAAAAGCCTGTAAATGATTTTTAAGCAACTGAATGTGGAGGTGGTGGCTGGGTAATGTTTGACTCGTGCCTGCAAATCGTCTGAGCAACAATCCTCCTCTTCCTCCATAATATAGGGCTTTTCAGTTTTGAAAAAAGCATTGAGCCCATAAGGACTCTATTGTGAAAGGAGTCTCCAACCTTTAGTAGTAGGAGAGATGTACATTTTATAAAGACAGAAATTGAATGGTAAACTGTGTGAATACTCTAAAATTAGCTCTTGGCAGTGCTTCTTAAGGTATAGCACGGTAGTTAAGAGGATGTTAGGGGCACACGCATACTACGTGAACTACACTAACAAACATCAAATCACCTGGTAGAACAGCTATTCCCTTTTTATTTCTCTTTCAGTCCTTCTGATTTCATGAAAGAATGTCTTCATGTGGGGCCAGTGTGATTTTAACACTGATGGGAAGAGCAGGTCTTAGGCTTTGAACATTCTAAGGTCAAATGCATCCAGCTACAATTGAATAACATTGTTTTCCTTTCATTGTATTTATTTTGACAGTTACTTTCTATTCATGACAAGTAATGCCAGTGTTTTCATCTACAGTAGTGATATAAAGTGTCCTTTAAAAATAGATACTTTTTGGATAAAAGTGAGTCAACTTAAAACATTTTAGCAAATAATAGGACAGGCATAGGTTGTGGCCAGAATAATGGTGGGCAGAAGTCTGGTTTGGGGAGGAAGAATTTGTCAAGGGTTCCCCTAGCCCAGCTCTTGAGCTTTTTTGCTGTGGTCTCACACTTACCAGACCTGTTATAACCATTTGTTTGCATGTCAGTCTATTTAAGGGCAAGGACTATCTGATTCATCTTGCATTTCCAGTGCCAAGCACAATGCCTGGCACCAAAGAAGTGCTCAGAGTTTAGTGAACAAAGAAAAGACCATGGTCCTTTTCTCACTCAGTTCTCATAGCACCTGAGACAGGAAGAGCAGGAACTGTTGTTCCCATTAAACAGATGATTGAAGCTCAAGGCCAATACCATGAATTAGGGAATGGGCTAGAGGGTTGAGCCAGGGACCTGAGTCCAGGGTCTTCTTTTCCAGGAGTGTCAAGGATGAAAGGGAGAGGCAGCTTGTGGTTTACTGAGGGAAGAGAGAGGTGGCTTCACTTAGAGCTCTGCCTCTGTCTGTAGACTTCCTGGCCTGCCACAGACTGAGGACCAACTTTGGTTGGGAAGAAGGTGGCTCAGAAGACTTCCACAGAGATATCTGGGGAAGCCTTGGCCGGTATCCTAAAAACCCTTGAAGGACGCTGGAACGCTGGCTAGAATTGGGGCCTGGATACCAGGATTGTTGGGAATTTGGAGCAGGTGGGAGCAGAGTTTGGGGCTCCATGTTTGGGTTGCACTATGACACCACCCTACCTCTGACTTTGATGGTCCAGGCTCAGCCGTGCTGCTCTTCCTGGCCATGCCAATGCTCACCATTGGGGGAATCCTGTTTCTCATCACCAACCTGCAGGTGGGAGCCTTCCCTAATCCCAGGCACTCGGCAGGGTGGCGGGAAGGTGGAGGGAAGGAGAGACCCTTTTCTATAATTGGCTGCCTCAGATGGGGTTGGCCCAAGCTGAGGTGGGAGCTCTAGCGGTGGAGGGTGAGTTTGGGTATAAGGAGGGTCTGCCACATGCTGGGTGCTCAGGAAGTATCTGTTTCATGAATAAATAAGTGATCCAGGCTAGTCCTATCATCCCCAGATTGGGAACCTATTTGGCCAACACCGTTCGACCATCATCACTCTGTACAATGGAGCATTTGACTCTTCCTCGGCAGTCTTCCTTATTATTAAGGTAAATATAGCAACAGCCTACATTCACTGGGCACTTGTATATGCCAGACACTTGTCTTGTGAACCTGCATTATTTGTCTCCATCAACTCGGTGAGGTAGGTACTGTGTTACCCCCATTTTACAGATGAAGCATTTGAGTCTCTGAGGTTAAAAAGCTTGTTGAAGGTTCTGCAGCTAGTAGCCATGATACTGGAACTTGAACCCAGGCTTGTCGGTTCTAGAGCCTGAGCTTGTAACCGCTAAGCCCCTTCTTCAGACTTGCCCAAGCTTTTGTGGCAGTGGTCATAATGTGCTTGGGCCAGTGTTGGGTAGAGGCTGGGGGACCTTTAGAGTGGGGCGTTTGCTGCTGTGAGCTTCTAGTTTGGACAAGAAGGTGGCAAGTGGCTAGTGGGTACAGCAGGGGCAGACACAGAGGCTTGTCCAGCTGTCCCAGTGGCTGATGTTGGGGTATCAGGGGATGAACTGTTGCCAAGGCTATTAGAGGTCAATCAACAACCATTCTGTCTTATTCATTGCGAACAGTTTTATCTGGGCAGTGACCCGCTTAGCCCAGGGGATGAATCCTGATTGATTAAAGCCAACCATGGCAATCCATTTACCCGTTGCTAGTGATAGGTGGAGGTCAGCATATGATCCAGTCCTTTTTAATGAGATAAAGGGAGTGTATATAGTGGAAGATTCAAGGGGACTTTTCTTCCCTGACGCAAGGTGAAAGCAGAGTAAAAACAAAGTCTTCCTCATTGAATGTTGTGGTGTGAGGATGTGATAGCTGGAGTTGTGGCAACCATGCTTCAATTATGAGGCAGCAAGCTGGAGGACTAAAGCCAGCACACCACAGATGGCTGAGTGAAAGGAAGGGAAGAGTGTGGATCTCAAGCCATCCAACCTGGGACTTCTCTCTGGGCTTAGTGTTAGGTCACAGGCAGTTGGCACTGCCTGCAGGTTATGGGGGCAGAGAAGAGGATCTCTGGCAGTCACCACCCAGACATGAGTCTAGCTTAGTCCCATAAGCTTTGGAGGTTTGGAGGGTTATGCAGAGACTGAGCCCCTGAGGCACTCAAGCCTTTCTACTCCTGGCATAAGAGTCACTTTCTGGGTTCTCCCTCCTTCCCCTGGAGAACCCAGATGGCTGCCTCATCTTTCTTTCCTCTCTCTTTTTTTTTTTTTTTTATTATTGAGTTGGAGTCTCACTTTGTCTCCCAGGCTGGAGTGCATTGGTGGGATCTTGGCTCACTGCAATCTCTGCCTAGTGGGTTTAAGCAATTCTCCTGCCTCAGCCTCCTGAGTAGCTGGGACTATAGGCGTGCCACCACAGTCAGCTTATTTTTGTATTTTTAGTAGAGATGGGGTTTCGCCATGTTGGCCAGGCTGGTCTTGAACTCTTGACCTCAAGTAATCCGCCTTCCTTGACCTCCCAAAGTGCTGAAATTACAGGCATGAGCCACCATGCCCAGCCTCTCTCCTGTCTCTCTAGAGTTGGAAGGGGAAAGGGAGCAGGAACAGGAATTCTTAGTTTAATCTGACTTTGCTGCTGCTTACTCTGTCAATTTATTGAGCAATTCACTGCACCTCTCTGGACCTCAACGTCACTCTCTGTAAAATGGGAGGAGGTTGGGCTAGGTCGGTGGTTTTCAAACTGAGCTGTTGAGGAACTTAGGGATTCTCTTTGATGTCATACCAGTCACCAAGGAGAATAAAGAGGGAGATGACTGGCAAGCTCCCCATTGGTGTGTTTTGTAAGATGAATTTTTGTGTAAAATTTTCTTTGAACAAAAGGCCTTTGCTGTCGTTGGGGGAAAAAAGGCACTGGGCTAGAAGATCTCTGGGGAGCCACACGAGGAGGCTCCACCGGCTGTGGGGATGGGTCGTATGAGGACTCCTCTACTGCCGGGTGTGTCTTGGGGTGGGTGGGGGCATGTGTGTACCAGGTGTCCCTAATCAGCTTACAGGATAGTAGGTGATGGCTTGTACTAGGACTCCTTAGAAAACAGGGTTCCAGCCCCTGCCTCTTCTGCTGATGTTTTTGTATGCAATAAAATATACATAACATAAAATTTACTATCTTAACCTTTTTTTTTTTTTGAGACAGAGTCTCGCTCTGTTGCCCAGGCTGGAGTGCGGTGGCAGGATCTTGGCTCACTGCAACCTCCGCCTCCCGGGTTCAAGCGATTCTCCTGCCTTAACCACCCGAGTAGCTGGGATTACAGGTGCGTGCCACCATGCCCCACTAATTTTTGTATTTTCAGTAGAGACGGGGTTTCACCATGTTGGCCAGGCTGGTCTGGAACTCCTGGCCTCAGGTGATCTGCTTGCCTCAGCCTCCCAAAGTACTGGGATTACAGGCATGTAATCATGTAATCATATCCTCTCACCTCAGCCTCCCAAGTAGCTGGAATTACAGGCGTGCACCATCACGCCCAGCTGATTTATTTATTTATTTTTAGTAGAGATGAGGTCTTGCTGTTTCCCAGGCTGGTCTCAAGCTCCTGGACTCAAGCAATCCTCCTGTCTTGGTCTTCTAAAGCACTAGAATTACAGGCAGGAACCACTGAGCTTGGCCCTGCATAGTGCTCTTAAAGTTCATCCATGTTGCAGCATGTGTCAGAATTTCTTTCCTTTCCTTTTTTTTTTTTATTTGGAGGCAAGGTCATGTTTCATTGTCCAGGCTGGGGTGCAGTGGCCCAGTCATGACTCACTGCAGCCTCAAACTTCTGGGCTCAAGAAATCCTCCCACTCAGCCTCCTGAGTAGCTGGCACTACAGGTGTATGCCACCACACCCAGCTAATTAAATAAAAATTTTCTAGAGAAGGGGTGAGGGTCTCACTATGTTGTCAAGGCTGGTCTTGAACTGGGCTCAGGTGATCCTCGTGCGTCCCAAAGTGCTGGGATTGTAGGTGTGAGCCAGCATGGTTGCCTCTTTCCTTTTTTAAGGCTGAATAATATTCCATTGTGTGTATAGATCACATTATGTTTAGCTGTTCATCTGCTGATGGACCCTTAGTTTGCTTCCATCCTTTGGCTATTGTGAATAGTGCTGCTATGAACGTGGGTGTGACACTGACTTTTTCCTTCTCCTTCTGCAGCTTCTTTATGAAAAAGGCATCAGCCTCAGGGCCTCCTTCATCTTCATCTCTGTCTGCAGTACCTGGCATGTAGCACGCACTTTCCTCCTGATGCCCCGGGGGCACATCCCATACCCACTGCCCCCCAACTACAGCTATGGGTAAGGACTATCTGGTGATTGTGGGCCAGAGCCCCTCATTGGCCCTAGGGTGGGATGGACAGGGTAAAGCAAACCTATCACAGGAGAGGAGGAGGACTGGAGCAGTGCATCTGTTAGCTATTGCTGCATAACAAACTATCTCAAAACTCAGCAGCCTAAAATGTTAAGCATTTATTATTTTTCACAAGTCTGTGGGTAGCTGGCTAGTTCCGCTGATCAGGGCCAGATGTAGATGATTTTGACAGGGCTCATTCATACATCTGATCATTTGGAGGATTACATGGGGGCTGGCTATGCTAGGATGGCCTCACTCACATAGGTTTGGAGTGACAGGGATGCCTGGGTCACGTGGCTGTCATCCTCCAGCAAGCCAGCGTGGGCTCATTCACACCGTGATTTCAGGGTTCTGAAAGAGTGCAGAAATGCACAAGCGTTCTTGAGATTTAAGCTTGGAATTGGCACAGCCACTTCTGCTGCATTCTTTTGGCTGAAGCAGTTCACAAGGCTGGCCCAGATTCAGGGCATGGGGAAATAGAGCTGCAGTCTCATTCAAATTGGGGGAAATACAGAGGAGGTGAAGAAATGTGATCATTTTTGCAGTCATTTGCCACAAGGAGTAGAGGAAGGGCATTCCTTTGCTGCTCACTTACTAATTGTCAGACCCCATGTGCTCTCTGATTTCATCCTCACAATAATCCTCTGAGATATCCTTATCTCCATTTTCTAAATGCAAAAAATGAGGCTCAGAAGGGTTAAGTCTGAGCCATCTTTCTGTTGCTAGGAAGAGGCAGAGCTGGGATTTGAACCTGGGCCTGCCCTACTCTTTTCATGCTTCCTAAACTTTGCTGCTTATTAGAATCACTAGATTCACATAGAGATCTTAGAAAAGGAAGCCTGGCTCTCACCTCCAGACATTCTGATTTAACTGGTCTGGTCTGCAACCTGGGCATCAGAGTGGCTAAAAGGTGATTCCAAAGTGCGGTGGAATGTGGGATTCACCATGCTATTCCCTCCAGTCTGAGTCTCAGGTTCGGCTCACAGTCCTTGGCCTTGCTGGTGGGGCTTTTGTTTCCATAGCCTGTGCCCTGGGAATGGCACCACAAAGGAAGAGAAGGAAACAGCTGAGCATGAAAACAGGGAGCTACAGTCAAAGGAGTTCCTTTCAGCGAAGGAAGGTGAGCCCTGCTGGCTAACCCATCTCTCCTCCAGACCCAAGCCTCTCCTTGTGCCTTTCCTGGCCCCTCACCTCCAGAGCTCCCCCAGGGACCCAGAATCAGGAAAGGCAGGACAGAAAAAGGGCCTTAGGCATCTTCCCAACCCTCTCACTTAATGGAGGGTCCAGGGCTTTCGTCTCTTTTCTGTCCCTCTTTTCTCTATTTCGCATCCTATCACTTCCCCACCCCTTGAAGCCCGCCTGCCATGGGTTGCCTTCCCTTCCCCCCACTCCTCGGTTCTGCCCTCTTCTGTGATGCCATTGCACTAAGTCTGGTACAGTGCCCCCATTTCTCCAGGTCTCCTGGGTCCGCCCTCTCTTATTGTCCCAACTCTATCACTGCTTCCTTTCCTTCCTCTCTGTTCTGCGTCTTTGGTTACACACATCACAAACCGCAGCTAGCTACAGTAGAAATAAGAACGGGGTGGGAGAGGAGATGGGAGATGCAGGTCGAAGGACAAAAAGGAGCAGATGAGCAGGATGAACAGGCCTAGAGATCTAATGCACAGCACGAAGACTGTAGGTCATCAAACTGCATTGTGTTTGGGACTTTCCTAAACAAGTAGATTTTAACTGCTCTTGTCACAAAACAGGTAGAAATGTGAGATGATGGATATGTTAATTTGCTTAACTGTAGTAACCATCTTAGTAGCTATATGTATCCTATGACCTCATATTGTATATCTTAAATATACAGAATAAAATTGATTTTTTTGTTTTTATTTTTACCATCTGACAATTGGATCCAAAACATGTATTTATTTATTTATTTTAAAGAAAGAAGAATAGGGTTCTGGGAAGCTTCCAAAATCAAGGGAGGACATTGAACTTGCCAGGGTGTAGGACCTATTTTAGATTAAGTCCATCCTAATCTAAACTCATGGCCGGTCTGCCTTGTTAGGAGGAACCATCTCATTGGTTAACCTTGAGAGAGGAACAGAACACTGAATTCATGGTCCCATCTGGACCATGAAGATTAGGGTAGAGGAAGATTTCCCAAAGAAACTCAGGATACTGGTATCAAAAGAAAGGGAGGTGCTGAGGAGCAGGTTAGAACAGAGTATCCACACTCATTCTCCTCTCCCTTCTGACTTTCTCCTCTCCTTGTCGTTCCTTTCACCTTTCTCGCTGAGAAAGATCAGGAAGGTATTACTGCAAGAAGTGTCATTGACCAGGCTGTGAGAGACAGATCGGATTTCAATAGAGAAGAACACAGAGGGTCATCCAAGGTGGTAGGGCCAGCATGACAAAGCAGGGAGGTGGGGATGTGTGAGTCCGAGGCAGGTGCAGAGCACGCCGGGTGAGTTCTGGGAGCCAAGGGTAGAAGGTGGGCCCGGATCTGAAATGTTCCATTGAAGCCTCCACACTCCCCATCCTACCTGTCCACTTTCCTCGTAATTCACGCCCAGATCCTCCTCTCCCCATTAGAGACCCCAGGGGCAGGGCAGAAGCAGGAACTCCGCTCCTTCTGGAGCTACGCTTTCTCTCGGCGCTTTGCCTGGCACCTGGTGTGGCTGTCTGTGATACAGTTGTGGCACTACCTCTTCATTGGCACTCTCAACTCCTTGCTGACCAACATGGCCGGTGGGGACATGGCACGAGGTATGTGGTAGGGCTGGGAGGTAGCCCATCTGCATGTCCCAGCTGGGAACACAGAGCCTCCCAGCAGGGCTGTACACACCAGAGGAGGGTCTGATGGTGTGGGGAGGAGGGACATGCAGACAAGGGTAAGGTGGGAGAGTCCCTGCCTGGAAGGGAGTTTTGGAAACTTCTCATCAACCAACCTCTCTCTTCCTTCTGCAGTCAGCACCTACACAAATGCCTTTGCCTTCACTCAGTTCGGAGTGCTGTGTGCCCCCTGGAATGGCCTGCTCATGGACCGGCTTAAACAGAAGTACCAGAAGGAAGCAAGAAAGACAGGTGAGATGCGGGGGAGGGCAGGGGCTGGTCAGGGAACCAGGAAGGGAGGTCTTCATTTACCCCATGACATCTTCTCTCGCTCTTTTTTTTTTTTTTTTTTTTTTTTTTGTGATAGAGTCTTACTCTGTTGCCCAGGCTGGAGTGCAGTGGTGTGATCTCAGATCATTGCAGCCTGCACCTCCTGGGTTCAAGAGATTCTCCTGCCTCAGCCTCCCAAGTAGCTGGGATTACAGGCGTGTGCCACCATCCCCCACTAATTTTTGTCTTTTTAGTAGAGACGGGGTTTCACCATGTCAGGCTGGTCTTGAACTCCTGACCTCGGGTGATCTGCCCGCCTCAGCCTCCCAAAATGCTGGGATAACAGGCGTGAAGCACCATGCCTGGTCTTCTCTTTTGTTCTTAACCCTGTCTAGTTGCACTCATTCATTCATTAAAACACTAGTCACTGAGTGATAGTTATGTGTCAGCCATGGTGCCAGACACCAGGGATTCAATGACAGACAAGATAGATGTGTTCTTTTTCTCAAGGTGTTCTCAGTCTAGAGGGTGGAGAAAGGCAGGTAGTCAGGCAGTTATAATCCGTGAAGCAAACCCACAGGGGGCCATGGGGGGCACAAAGAAGCGCACATAATCTGTTCTAGGTGAGGATGGGATTGGTGTCAGGGAAGGCTTCCTGGAGGGAATGGCACCTAAGCCAAGACCTGAAGGATGAGTAAGGAGGGAGGAGATGAAGAGGCGGGGCCTTGGAGAGTGGCCCAGGAGCACAGTGGGGTCAAAATGGTGAATGAGAGAGTGAAACATTGAGGAATCTGGGCAGATGAGTCGGGCTGGCTAGGGCACAGAGCACTGGGGAATCTTAGGGAAGTGGCTGGAGAGAGAGAGGTAAGAAGGGGTCAGGCTGTTTACCACATCAGGGAGTTTTGGCCTGATCCTTGGACCTGGTTGGAGGAGTAGAGGTATGCTGAGGTATTTTAACCTGCTGGGTCAGGAGGGACAAAAGTAGACTAACATTTTGCATACTTATTTCATCTATCCCTTCCCCCACCCATGCACCTGCTTCTCCCACACCTGCTAGAGTTTTCAAAGCAAATCTCAGACATCGTATCATTTCATCCGTAAATATTTCTCTATACCCGTACATGTATCTCTAACAAATAAGGCCTCTTTTACTTAAACATCACCATAAAATCATGATCACACCTAAAAAATAACAATAATTTCTTCATATCATCTACTGTGCAGTCACTGTTCAAATTCCTCCAATCATTTCAAATACATCCTTTTACAGTTGGTTTGTTCCAATTAGGATCCATGCCTGGTCCATGCAGTGTATTTGGTTGCTGTGTCTTCTATAGCTTTTAAAATCTAGAACAGTCCTCCCCCCTACCTTTTCTTGTTTATTTGTTGAAGAAACTGGGTCATTTCCCCATATTTTGGATTTGGCGTTGTTTTAATGTGTCATTTAAAAGTATTCCTTTCCTTGGGTATTTCCTGTAAACAACAGGATTAGAAGCTTGGAGGAAACGCAGTTTAATTTTTTTTTTTTTTTTTTTGCCGTGAATAACTCAGTGGTAGAGCTATGGGTTTCCTCTGTTCTCCTGTCAGCAGCCCCTGGTGTCTGTTGTCTTGTTACGATGTTAAGATTGATCAACTGGTTTAGACATTGCGAGTCTGATCCATCCACTATAAAGTTTCCCATCAACCATATACTTAGTGATTTTAGGAGCCATTAATGATCAATGCCTAGGCCCATTATTTCATTAGGATCGCAAAAGGATGATTTTCTTTTCTTTCTTTTTTTTTTTTTGAGACAGAGTCTCACTGTGTTGCCTAGGCTGGAGTGCAGTGGCGTAATCTCAGCCTACTGCGACCTCCGCCTCCCAGGTTCAAGCGATTCTCCTGCCTCAGCATCCCGAGTAGCTGGCATTACAGGCACCCACTACCTGGCTAATTTTTGTATTTTTAGTAGAGATGGGGTTTCACCATGTTGGCCAGGCTGGTCTCAAACTCCTGATCTCCAGTGATCCACCTGCCTTGGCCTCCCAAAGTTCTGGGATTACAGCCACTGCCCCTGGCCAAAAGGATGATTTTCTATTTCTATCTTCTACTTTTAATCACTAGAATTCTTCTAGAAAGAAAAACATTCCTTACTATTTTGTTACCCAGAAATAAATGCTTGGCTTACACATTTATTTACCAGTTTGAAATATGAGTTGGTGCCCTAGTGACCTTCAGGGATGGCTACTAATTGTTTCTTTTATAATATTTCATTTTAAAATATATTTGACATGTTTTAATCTGTTCTGTCATGATTCTTCTTGATGCTCAAATTGTCTCACCTTTGGCCATTGAAAACTTTACCAGCCCAGAATCTGTGTCTTTTAGATGAAATCACATTATTTCTAGAGAGTTTCCTTACTTTCTAACACAATTAAATGTTCAGGTCCATTTCACTAGGTGTGTTTCTTGCCCTAGACATGAAATTGTCATTTTTCCCAACTAGCCCTGGGTTTCTTTAATTGGAAATGGTAGAGACTACAGTCTGGATGCTGAGGTTTTTTATTGCTCCTGGGTTGTCACTGCTTTTGGGTTTTGGATAGAGTTAACATATATATAATTTTTTTATAAGAAAAATATCATAAATACTTAATACTGATATTTTTATTCAAATTTTTATTTCCTTGATTTTACATTTGTAGCCCTTTCTCTTCCTCTGATAAACTTGGTTCCTAACATATGCATATGTAAATGTACATACACATATATAGTATTTTAAATATAATTACTGGTTTTACCAATATTGATGTTACTTGATAACAATACAATTGCTAAATACTGTTGCTACTTCTTTGTTTCCTTTTTTCTGTCCTTCCTTATTCCTTTCTCATCCTTAGGATATATCCCATTAGAGATGTACAGTCAAATTGCCATATTTTCTTCTTTATTTTTAGGGATGAGGTCTCACTCTGTTGCCCAAGCTGGAGTACAGTGGTACGATCACGGCTCACTGCAGCCTCAACCTCCTGGGCTCAAGTGATCCTCTCCCTTCAGCCTCCCAAGTAGCTTGGACTACAGGCATGCACTACCATGTCTGGCTAATTTAAAATAATTTTTTTTTTTTTTTTTTTTTTTTTTTTTTTTTTGTAGAGGAAGGGTCTTTGTTGCCCAGGCTGATGTCTAACTCCTGAGCTCAAGCAATCCTCTTGCCCTGGCCTCCCAAAGTGTTGGGATTGTGGGTGTGAGCCACCACACTGGGCCAAATTACTGATTTTAAGGGTCACTAATTTGGTATAGAGTTATGTTCATTGATTTCATTTTATTTTGTTTCTGATTTTTAAAGATTGTTTTACTTGTTTTCTTCCTATTATTATTTTATTTTATTTGTAAAACATTTACATATCAGACATTTACATTTTCCCAAAGGTAAAACTGTGAAACAAGATATATTCAAAGAAGTTTACTTTCCCTCTCTGTTTCTTGTACCCCTTTTCCTCTTCTTTAGGTAACCATTTTTATTTTTTTAAATATAAACATTGTGTAGGTGTATATACATGTATTAGTCTGTTTTCATGCTGCTGATAAAGACCTATCTGAGACTGGGAAGAAAAAGAGGTTTAATTGGACTTACAGTTCCACATGGCTGGCAAGGCCTCAGAATCATGGCAGGAGGTGAAAGGCACTTCTTACACGGTGGTGGCAAGAGAAAAATGAGGAAGAATCAAAAGTGGAAACCCCTGATAAACCCATCAGATCTCGTGAGATTTATTCACTATCACAAGAATAGCGTGGGAAAGACTGGCCCCCATGATTCAGTTACCCTCCCCCACTGGGTCCCACCCACAATACGTGGGAATTCTGGGAGATATAATTCAACGTGAGATTTGGGTGGGGACACAGCCAAACCATATCAATACATTTCCCTCTCTTTTAGATAAAAGGTAGTATACTGTATACACTATTCTGCAGAGTTTTTTTTTTTTTTGATGTAACTCTATCCTGAGGGTGCTCTGTAGCAGGGACCTCTCATGCCTTTTAACCACTGCCTGGGTCTCCATTACATGGCTGCAGCATAGTTGCCACAGCATTCCTGTACTGATGACTATTTGGATTGTTTCCAGTCTTTTGCTATTACCAGTAGTGTTACAAAGAGGATCTGGCTACATGTTCAGGGTGGGGAGGGGCAGATGTGTAGCCTGTCAGGAGGGTATTGCAGTAATCCATGACTGAGTTAATGGTAGTTTAAAGCTAGGATGAGTCAGTGGGGTTGGAGAGAAGTGGGCACATTTGAATGATATGTAGGAGGTGAATGATCAGCATTATTGATGAGTTTGAGGTGGGGCATGTGGGGAAAGGATTCGAGGATGACTCCCAGGTTTCTGTTGGGACAGTGGATGGATAGTGGCTCCTCCCCTTTTTCCAATCTTCCTTGGCCCTTCGCTGACTTCTGTTGGGTTGGCCTACAGAGAGCTTCTTTTTCCTCTCTGTTCGCCCAGGTTCCTCCACTTTGGCGGTGGCCCTCTGCTCGACGGTGCCTTCGCTGGCCCTGACATCCCTGCTGTGCCTGGGCTTCGCCCTCTGTGCCTCAGTCCCCATCCTCCCTCTCCAGTACCTCACCTTCATCCTGCAAGTGATCAGCCGCTCCTTCCTCTATGGGAGCAACGCGGCCTTCCTCACCCTTGCGTAAGTGGCCTTGGGGCGGGCTCTGTGGAGACGGACACACTGGGGCAAAGAGAAGCTGGAGGTAAAGAAATTGGGAGGCAAGGCGGGGCCTGGAGGCAGTCAGGTGCGGGAGACTGGGTTTGGGGGCAGGTGTGGAGGGGGTGAGACCAGAGGTGGTGGGAAGGATAGAACATTCATGCACTTGAGCCTTTACATCTGCGGTGCCCTCTCCCTCTGTTTTCTACCTGGTGAACTCGTATTCATCCTCTGAGGCCCACTTCTGTTTCAGTTCTCCAGGGAAGAAATGGAAAAGTGTCTTCCCTTCTTTGTGCCCTTAGTACTCTAGTCTTACTTCCTTTGCTAGTGCGTGCATTGTCTGGCATGCCATCCATTTACATGCCTGTCTTTTCTTTCCTGGTGCAGCCTGCATGAGGGTCCTGTCTGTTTTTCCAGGGCCCCGCATGTGCCTTCTTCTGGGTTCTGTGGGTCAAATGTCTGAGCAGAGCTGAAGAGGGAAAGGCCAGACAGGTGTGGTTGGAGGGCAGGCCTAGGACAGGGGAGCTGGGGACAAGCGGCCGACAGCCCCCAGAGGCCAGGCTTCTGCTTGGAGGGAGGGTCCCTGAAGCTCACTGGAACCCCTCTGGTTTCTCTCCCCAGTTTCCCTTCAGAGCACTTTGGCAAGCTCTTTGGGCTGGTGATGGCCTTGTCGGCTGTGGTGTCTCTGCTCCAGTTCCCCATCTTCACCCTCATCAAAGGCTCCCTTCAGAATGACCCATTTTACGTGAGTACTGGGAGGATGGGGATCCCTGGCAGGAGGCCTGGGCCTTAGGCCTTGGCTGCCCCAAATCTGGCTGTGATGGCCTGGGTATGTAGCATGGTGCAGCTTCCCAAAGGGTCTGTGTTATTCAAGTATTTGGGGCAAAAGTATTTGTGTGTGTGGGGAAACAGACATTCTGGAGTAGGGTGGGGAATTCTCACGAAACTTCAAGCAAAATCCTGAGACCTCAAAGGTGTTTCCTGCTTGTGGTGAGTGCAGGCCCACCCTGGCCTCTCCCCTAGGCCCACACAGGGTTTCCACAGTTGGCCCCAGGGACAGGACCTCTGTGCTTTCACCTCTGTGTCCTTACACCTGGAGGGATGCTCTGAGGTCCTGCTCTAGGAGGTGGTCGTGAGTCTCCTGCTCTTTGCAGAAACTGAGGCTCAAAGAGGTTACTTACGTGTTCAGAGGCACCAGCTAAGGAGCAAAAGTCAACTTTGAATTCTGTGTTTTGACTACTGCACAGCTCTATTTGCCTCATTTTTTATTTTTAAAGCAGCAAATCTTAGAATAGGAGTTTAAATCCATCACTTGGAGAAAAGAAAGACTAAATGTTTTTTGTTTTTGTTTTGGAGACACGATCTTGCTTTGTCACCCAGGCTGGAGTGCAGTGGCACAATCTCGGCTCACTGCAGCCTCGATCTCCTGGACTCAAGCGATCCTCTCATCTCAGCCTCCTGAGTAGCTGACACTACAGGCATGTGCCACCATGCCAAGCTTATTTTATTTTATTTTTTTGATAGACACTGGGGTTTCGCTATGTTGCCTGGGCTGGTTTTGAATTCCTGGCCTCAAGCGATCCACCCGTCTCTGCCTTCCAAAATGCTGTGATTACAGGCGTGAACCACTGTGCATGGCCAAAAGAGTAAACTTGAAATCTGAGGCGAATGACTTGATTGTGACATCAGGTGACCTAGTAATCAGCTGTGTATTCTAGCTGGTGCCTCTACCAGCTTCCCATGTGACCTTGAACATGTCATTGAATGCTCGCTAGGCCTCTGTTTCTTTATCTGTGAAATGGGCTTGATATTCCTCCTCTACCCCAACCGATAGTGCAGAATGAAAAGTAACTGAAAGTCCTTCCTCCAGGGCACCATAGTGTCTGGGTGAAAAGTAGAATATAAACTCGGTAGACTTCTGGTCCCTTCATTGGTCATGGAATGGACCAGTGCTTGCTTCATTGAGCAACAGTTCTGTTGTTCAGAATTCCTGGATTTCACCTCACTTCTGCTCTCCCTGCAGGTGAATGTGATGTTCATGCTTGCCATTCTTCTGACATTCTTCCACCCCTTTCTGGTATATCGGGAATGCCGTACTTGGAAAGAAAGTCCCTCTGCAATTGCATAGTTCAGAAGCCCTCACTTTTCAGCCCCGAGGATGGTTTTGTTCATCTTCCACCACCTTTGAGGACCTCGTGTCCCAAAAGACTTTGCCTATCCCAGCAAAACACACACACACACACACACACACACAAAATAAAGACACACAAGGACGTCTGCGCAGCAAGAAAAGAATCTCAGTTGCCAAGCAGATTGATATCACACAGACTCAAAGCAAAGGCATGTGGAACTTCTTTATTTCAAAACAGAAGTGTCTCCTTGCACTTAGCCTTGGCAGACCCTTGACTCCAGGGGAGATGACCTGGGGGAGGAAGTGTGTCAACTATTTCTTTAGGCCTGTTTGGCTCCGAAGCCTATATGTGCCTGGATCCTCTGCCACGGGTTAAATTTTCAGGTGAAGAGTGAGGTTGTCATGGCCTCAGCTATGCTTCCTGGCTCTCCCTCAAGAGTGCAGCCTTGGCTAGAGAACTCACAGCTCTGGGAAAAAGAGGAGCAGACAGGGTTCCCTGGGCCCAGTCTCAGCCCAGCCACTGATGCTGGATGACCTTGGCCTGACCCTGGTCTGGTCTCAGAATCACTTTTCCCATCTGTAAAATTGAGATGAATTTTGGTGTTGAAAGTTCTTCCTGGAGCAGATGTCCTAGAAGGTTTTAGGAATAGTGACAGAGTCAGGCCACCCCAAGGGCCATGGGAGCCAGCTGACCTGCTTGACCGAAGGATTTCTGACAGACTATCTTTGGGGATGTTTTCAAGAAGGGATATAAGTTATTTACTTTGGGCATTTAAAAGAAAATTTCTCTCGGGAATAATTTTATAGAAAAATAAAGCTTCTGTGTCTAAGGCAACTACTGTTTCCATCTCTCTAGGCTTTGGGCCGGGGCTGTGTGTGTGTGTGTGTGTGTGTTTGTGTGTATGTGTATGTTTCTGAGGAGGCCCTACCCTGGCATGAGAGGGTAGGGAATCTGGCTACACATCTAGTGTGGCAGCTGGACCCAGAGGTGGGGCAGGAACCCTGACTATGATTCACCCCGCTGGTCCTGGGATGTGGGCCCAGAGACTTCCTCCCCCAGGAACCCCTCTGCTTCCTCTTCCTCTCCACATCCTTAACTAACTTTAGCAGAACCCTACTCCTCACTACACACCCCCAGCTAGAAGCGCTGGATGGAATCAGAAATTCCTAGTTTGAGTTTCAATTCTGCCCCTCAGCAGCTGGGCAAGCCCCTTAACCACTCTGAGTCACTAGTTCCCCACCTGCAAAGTGCAGTTAATCATTTCTATCTCTGATGGCGATTGTGAGAATGTAAAGTCATTGCAACTGCCTAGCACATGGTAGGAGCACATGAGGGTTTGCTCCTGTGTTTACTCATGACCCTTGGGGAGGACGGGGGCAAAGAGGGAGAAGTTGAGGGTGCAGGAGGAGAGATGGCAGGTGGGTGGGATGGGAGAATCTGGGGCACACCTGCTGTCTCATTCCCACCTTGCTAGGAGAGGGACTAGGAAAGAACAGTGGGAGGCAGGGGGATGGGGGTGGAAGGCAGGGGGTGGCAGGCAGGTTCATCCATCCATTCATTCAACAAATGTTTATTGAGCACCTGCCACGTGTCAGGCCCTGTCCTGGGTGCTGGGGCTATAAAGATGCAGAAGGGTCTGAAACCCAGCTCTTCCTTCTTCCTGTGGATGTCGGGGTGTAATTTCCAGGGGCCAGGAGCCTGGGTCTGAGGGCGGACACCAAAGTTCTAGTGGTGTCTATTAGCAGCGTTTAAATCTAATGGATGGATTTGGTCTTGTTACCCTGCTCAAAAGCTTTCAGCAGCTCCCCACTGTCCACAGGACAAAAATCCAGATGCTAGCCTGGCATTCAAGGCTGTCACTAGTGTGATCTCAACCTCTCCCCTTCCCTCTTTACCTCCTACCAACAGCGGGGCAGAGCCCACCCCTGTGGACCAAGATTCCCAGTCTCTGGGTCTGTGTGTGCACCAGTTCCTCTGCGTGGGTGGCTCACCCTGCCTCAGCTTGTGAAATCCATCTGGTCTGCTGGGATCC
This sequence comes from Homo sapiens, assembly GCF_000001405.40. Classification (NCBI taxonomy): domain Eukaryota; kingdom Metazoa; phylum Chordata; class Mammalia; order Primates; family Hominidae; genus Homo; species Homo sapiens. The sequence continues at coordinate 57,405,755 of NC_000011.10, read as the reverse complement.
TGCTCAAAATGTCATCTTCTCCAAAAATCATTACTCAGGCTTTCCAGCATGTCTGAGTCCCTGGCACTTGGTCACACCCTTCCTGGTGACTGGCATTTGCCTCCACATCATGACCCTCCCACCCCTTGCCTGGGCAGCATACTCCAGGAGGCAAGGTCTGTTCTCGCCTGGCTCTAATTAATCTGTGCTTACCATCCACATGGTACCAGCTAATTCTTGTTGAATGAATGATCGTTGAATGAGTGGATTCTTGTTTTGGCCTCAGAACCAATTAGAAGGAGCCAGAAAAACACATGGGGGTGGGGGAGGTGCAGTGTGGTGCAGTGGAAAAAAACCCTTCTGGAAATCTCAGCTCTGTCACTTACTTTGTCAGCTCTGTGACTTTGGATGGACCACTTCTTTGTCAGTATGGTGGGAGAAATAGACATGCCTCTCTGGGCTGTTGTAAGGATTACAAATTAGGTCGAGTGCTTGGCATGTGGTGGGTTGAACAGATCACAGCTAGCATTACAGATGATATATTAAAGCCAAAAAAAGATGCCTAATGTCCACCAGTTGGTGAACGGACAAAGGAAATGTACCATATTTGGGATATTATTTGGCAATCAAAAAAAGTACTGACACCTGCTACAACACGGATGAATCTTGAAAACATTAGACTAAGTGAAAGAAGCCAGACACAAGAAACTGCTAATGATTCCATTTAAATATGAAATATCGGGCCAGGGTGCAGTGGCTCATGCCTGTAATCCCAGCACTTTGGGATGCCAAGGTGGGCAGATCACTTGAGGCCAGGAGTTCGTGACCAGCCTGGCCAACATGGCGAAACCCCGTCTCTACTAAAAATTAGCCGAGTGTAGTGGCATGCACCTGTAATCCCAGCTACTTGGTTGGCTGAGGCACAAGAATTGGTTGAGCCTGGCAGGTGGAGGTTGCAGTGAGCCAAGATCGTGCCACTGCACTCCAGCCTGGATGACACAGTGAGGTTCCGTCTCAAAAAAAAAAAAAAAAAAGGAAAAAGAAAAAAAGAAATTTCCAGAATAGGCCAATCTGTAGAGGCAGAAAGTAGATTCATGATTGGGTAGGCCTGGGTGTGGAGGCCATGGGTAGTGATGGCTAATGGGGAAGGGGTTTCTTTTGGGGTGATGAAAATGGGTGGACTTATGGTATGTTAATTATACCTCAATAAAACTGTTATTTAAAGGAAGAAAAGATGCCTGGATTCCCCAGGAAGTGTACAGTAGACTTCTGTGAGAATCAGAAATGATTTCTGGGGAAGATGGGCGAGAGGAGAGTAAGTGGGAGAAGTGACCACGTGCGCAACTCTCATCGTTCTGCCCTGAGAGCCTTCCTCCTGCAACTTTATTTATTTATTTATTTTGAAACAGGTTCTCACTCTGTTACCCTGGCTGGAGTGCAGTGGTGTGATCTCAGCTCACTGCAGCCTCGACCTGCCAGGCTCAAGCAATCCTCCTGTTTGAGCTCCTGAGTAGCTGGGACTACAGGCGCATGCCACCACATCTGGCTAATCTTTTATTTATTTATTTATTTATTTATAGAGATTGGGGAGTCTCACTCTGTTGCTCAGGCTGGTGTCAAACGCCTGGACTCAAGTGATCCTCCCACCTTGGCCTCCCAAAGTGTTGGGATTATGGGTGTGAGCCACTGTACCTGGCACCTCCTGCAACTTCTTCCTCAAGTGGAACCAATGAGGAAGCAAGCAACTCAGAGCTTTCACAAGTTTTGATTTCAATCAGCAACGGGCTTCCAATGCAACCCTTCTCTCCTGTAACCAGCCTCAGTAGAGAGGAACTGGAGGTGAATTGGCCCCCATCACACCCCCACAGTGCCAAGCTGGGCCCTTCCATCAGGGGGAGAACACATGCCGTGTAAGGGACAGCCAACAGCATAAAATAGGAATTGTGTGATGATCCCTTTTAAGCCTATTCAGCCCAGGGAAGTGCATATGATCAGCCCCATTTCATAGATGAAGAAAGTCAGGTTCACCCATTAGCACATTGTGGGGCTGGTATTTAAACCAGGTCTGTCTGGCTCCCAAGGTCACATTCATTTAGACATTACCTTTACTTTACATTTCTTCTTCTTTTCTTCTTCTTCTTCTTCTTCTTCTTCTTCTTCTTCTTCTTCTTCTTCTTCTTCTTCTTCTTCTTCTTCTTCTTCTTCTTCTTCTTCTTCTTCTTCTTCCTCTTCTTCCTCTTCTTCCTCTTCTTCCTCTTCTTCCTCTTCTTTTCTTCTTCCTCTTCTTCCTCTTCTTCCTCTTCTTCTTCTTCTTCTTCTTCTTCTTCTTCCTCTTCTTCTTTCTTCTTCTTCTTCTTTTTTTTTTGAGGTGGGGTCTTGCTCTATTGCCCAGGTTGAATGCAGCATCATCATACCTAAATGCAGCCTTGAACTCCTGGCCTTAAGCAATCCCCCTGCCTCGGCCTCCAAAAGTGCCAAGATTTCAGGCATGAGCCACCATGCCCAGCCTGCATTTATTCTCTTGTAAGAAAGATATCATTTAAAACAGACGAGAAAATAAAGAGGGACATGAAAAAGACGCATCACCATTAATTGGACCACTCAGAGATAATCATGGTTAACATGTTGGTATGTTCCCTCCCGTCATTTGACTGGATGTATGTGATAATTTAAATGATCTCATAAGCTTTTCCTTATGTAATCAAATAGTAGCCAAAAACATGATTTTAAATGGCTGCTCACAACCCCATCTCGTGGTTCTGCCACGCCTTGTTTATCCCCATCCACCCCCTACTCCCTTTCCCCTTCCCTGCCTGTGTGGGGGTCCTAGATGACGGTGAGCCAGAGGGCAGCCTTGGTCAGCAGATTGGAGAGTGCAAATAATAAAAACACTCAGAAGGCGAGCTGTTGTCAAGTGGGCTTATCACAAAAGAGCACCTTGGGATATTCCAGAGAATGACCTCATACCCGCTAATCACTATCCATAATCTGGTGCTAACTGTACTTTAGCTGAAGGTGCTGGCAGGTCCTGCCCAGGTGCTGCTAAGAACACTTCTATTCTGTGAGAATCAGAGATGATTTCTAGGGAAAATGGGCGAGAGGGAGTAAGCAGGAGAAACAACCCACAGGCACAGCTCTCATCTTTCTGCCCTGAGAGCCTTCCTCCTGCCACGTGGTTTTGTTTGTTTGTTTGTTTGTTTGTTTCAGATAGGGTCTCACTCTGTCACCCAGGCTGGAGTGTAGTGGCAAGATCATGGCTCACTGAAGCCTCGACCTCCCAGGCTCAAGCAGTCCTCCCCAAATTCAAAGCTTGGAGTGATGGTCCCAGTGGTTATGTCTAGGAGCCCTTTTTCCTGCCAGCCCCTCAGGGGATTGATGACTCTCAAATGCTTCAGGTGTGACATGGGCACAGCAGTGAGTCATTCCTCTGACATTCTTTGGGAAGAACATTTTCCATCCAGGCTTCCAGGCATAAGATCCAGTCCTCTGGTGATAAGGAGTTCACAGACAGGACAATGTCTGAGTGTATCTTAAACCCAGGACCATGGCTTGTGTTCACACCAGACCCTCCAGGGATTTTGAGGTGTTTTGTTTGTTTGTTTGTTTGTTTGTTTGTTTTTTGAGACAGAGTCTCTCTCTGTCGCCAGGCTGGAGTGCAGTGGCACGATCTCAGCTCACTGCAACCTTCGCCTCCCGGTTCAAGCGATTCTCCTGTCTCAGCCTCCTGAGTAGCTGGGACTACAGGTGTGCACCACCACACCCGGCTAATTTTTGTATTTTTAATAGAGACTGTGTTTCACCATGTTGGACAGGATGGTCTTGATCTCTTGACCTCGTGATCCTCCCGCCTCGGCCTCCCAAAATACTGGGATTACAGGCATGAGCCACCGTGGCCCGCCCAATTTTGAGTTTTTATGTTCTAATCCCAAACATCTGCTCACAGGCCCCTCAGCATATTCTTTCCTGGGTCCAGTGTCACCTCCCAGGCCTGCAGGCTGGCTAGAGCAGTAGGGTGTGTGGGAAAGCTCTGGGCTTTGCAGGCACTGATCAGCTGTGTGACCTTAACCACCCTGAACCTCAGTTTCCTCACCTGTAATGGAAATAGGTACCACGGCAGTTTGTTGCAAGGACTAGAGAGTAACCTTGGGAATAAAAGGTAGCAGCAGCTTGGGCTCTGGAGATGGACTGTCCAAGACCAACTTCCAGTTCCTCCCCACACAAGCTCTGGCACTTAGATTCCTGGTACCTCCGCTGCTTCATCTGTAAAATGGAGTAACAATAGGAATACTTTATAGAGTTGTAAGGATTGAGTGGCTGGATGAACGTCAAGCACTTCAAAGGGGACCTGGCATGTAGTGAGTGATCAATATAAACCACCTGGCTTGTAGCAGGTGTGCTGTGTGTGGCTGCAGGTGTTATTAGTAACATCTGTGTGCCCTTCAGAGCGTGCACCACACTTCACACCTTGTGGAGTCTGGAATGCCACTATTATAGTTCAGGATAGAAAACCTCCCTGCAAGCACTCGCTTTAGCTTGTCTCCACCGAACAAAACAACACAAGTTCTTTATTACTTGGAATGGGAAAACTTCAAAGGCAAAAAAAAAAAAAGACTTTCGAGTTACCCCAAATCTTAAGCCAAAGTCAATGAAAAATATCAATCTTCATATTCAATTTTTGCGATACTTTTGTCTCCCCAGCAGTCAATGGAGAGAATCCAAGCACACAGAAATGTCAATTACCAGGGGCAGGGCTATGAATTCCTTTCAGAGCCCTGGGCTGGGGAAGAGTGCAGGCAGACAGATCTGGGTCCTGTTATCACGTTCTTAGATTGGGTGTCCTTGTAGGAGTCATGAAGCATCTTAGTGCCTTTGTTTGCTACCTATAATGCCTACCTCAGAGAGTAATAAGGATAAGTAAGGCTCTACGTGAAAAGTGCTCGGCCCTGGCACATAGTAGGTCCTTCATTAATGGCAGCTACTAATTTTTATTACATACGCAAAATCACATTACAGGTCAAGTACGCTACATGACAGTGAAACAGTTTTTTTGTTTGTTTGTTTTGAGACAGAGTCTCGCTCTGTCACCCAGGCTGGAGTGCAGTGGCACGATCTTGGCTCACCGCAACTTCTGCCTTCAAGCAATTCTCCTGTCTCAGCCTCCCGAGTAGCTGGGATTACAGGCATGTGCCACCACGCCAGCTAATTTTTTTTGGTATTTTTAGTAGAGACGGGGTTTCACCATATTGGCCAGACTGGTCTCAAACTCCTGACCTTGTGATCTGCCCAACTCAGACTCCCAAAGTGCTGGGATTACTGGCATGAGCCACCGCACCTGGCTGTGAAACAGTTTTATTGTGTTTCTGTGGAATGTGTCCTACCCAACCTATAGCTAACTCCTATAGTTCCCTCAGTTCTCAGCTCAGATATCCCTTCCTTTCTGTACTGTTACCTAGTACTGGTTTTCATAGCACCAGGTACCTCTCTGGCATAGAGCTTGTCACAGTTGCAGTTTAATGTACCATCATAGGATTTTAAAAATATTCAGTTGTGTCTTCCATTAGGCTTTCATTTGGGAACTCCACGCAGGCAGCAGCTGTATATTTTGTATTGCCTACTGTATCCTGAGAACTTTGTACCCTACTTAGCACAGAATGGAGGCTCAGTAAATACTGGACATGAGAGAGAGAGAGAGAGAGAGAGGAGAGGGAGAGAGAGAGAGAGAGATTCAACCTACAATCCCAGCTCTGAGCTTCTAGTTCCCTGATGGTGAGGACTGTGATGTGTCTCACACGGTAATGAGCACTTATGCAGAAGAGGCTCAGAAAATTTCTCCTCATGGCCAACGGAAGACTTAGAGTTCTTTTCCAAGCTCCACCGTTTGCTGGCATGCAAAATTTGGACTATCACTTAAGTTTTCCAAGCCTTGCTTTTTCTATCCCTAACATAGGACAATATTCAGCATTGTTGTTTGTTTGTTGGGGGCACCATGTTTCAGGCACTTAGTAGATTATTGTACCACCACATTTCAATTGGTCCTCCTCAAGCCCTGCAACATCTGTGAGGTGGTCATCCTTAACAACTCACAGATGAGCAACAGGAGACTGGGGGGATGAGGGAACTGCCAAGGAGGTCCAGCTTATGGGCAGCAGAGCCAAGAATGGAACCAGGGTCTTTTATTTTTTTATTTTTTTATTTTTATTTTTTAACCAGGGTCTTTTAACATCCGAGGACCACATTCTTTGTGCTTTCCAAATCATCACCTGCCCCATGCAACTTACAGGGTAAGTTACATTAAACAACGTATGTAAATGGCTTTGTGCTAGTTATTCACCACCACAGGGGAAGTGAGTCACGGACAAGAGTGCAGCCGCTCCATTCGGATCCTGGCTCTGACACTTACCTGGAAAATGACTTAACCATTCCCAGGATCAGCTGTTTGTCTGTAATTTAGGTAGTTTAATGGCACTTGTGTCCTAGAGTTGTTTAGAAGGTTGAATAATATGGAGCACTTAACATACTTAGCACCTAGAAACACTTCCTAAATATTAGTTGCTGCTGTTGTTATCGTTATTAAAATTTCTGCCTAAGATCTCATTTCAGGGAGCCCAACTCAATCTTTGACAAGCTTAAACAAAAATTGCTTTTCTTCATTTATTCACTTACACAGCAAACATGAATTGAGCCTGTACTGTGTTTCCAGAACTGTGCAGGACCAGAGAGGCACAGGTGAAGGAAGCAAGGCTCTGGCTCTACTGGGGAAACAGCAAGAAGATTGCTACAATGAGGTGGGAAGAGGGCTGGACTAGAGAGAAGCCCTGATTAGTGTCCTTGCTACCTTTCTCTGGGAGAGCCAAGGCAGGCTTCCTGGAAGAGGTGATCCTTGGCTGAAACTTCGATGAAGAAAAGGAAAGAGCGCAGTGGTTAGGGAGGAAAGGGCATTCTGGGCAGATGAAATGACATGTGACAAAATATGGGTGATCATGGCATGTTAGGAAAATAGCAGGGTGTTCAACATGATTGGAGCACTGTGTGTGTGTGGTGAGGGGGAGAATTGAGGTTGTCAAGAAGTGGTTCTCAACTGAGCATAGTTTTGCCTCAGAGGGGACATTTGGTAATGTCTGCAGACATTTTTTGATTGTCACAGCCCAGCCGAGAAGGTACTACTAGTATCTTTTTGGTAGAGGCTAGAGAGGCTGCTAAACATCTAACAATGCACAGGACAGGCCTCTGTAACAAAAAAGTATCCAGTCAAAAATGTCCACAGTGTTGAGAGGTTTAGGTAAGTAGGCGCTAAAACATAAGGAGACTGTGCCTGAGAGCAAGAAGGAGTAATTGGAAAGTGCTGGTGTGATTAGCTCTGGGTTTTAGAAAGCTCATTTTGGCTGCTTGTAGACAGTGCATCAGAGGTGGAGGAGGGTGGTAAGACTGGAGGCAGGGAAAGTAATTTGGGAGCCACTGAAATGATCCAGGTGAAAAACGGTCAGCAGGTGACTAGGAAAGTGGCAGAGGCAATGGGGATGGGTGGCTGGATGAGATGGTGAAGAAAGCACTATAACTAACTAATGTGTGGATGATGGGCAGGAGGGGTGAAGGATGACCAGAGTCCTGCCTTGCAGGTCTAGTTGGAAGGTGATGGTTTCTCCTGAGAAAGTGACCACAAAAAGTGAAGCAGGTTTGTGCGTGTGTGTGTGTGTGTGTGTGTGTGTGTGTTGAGTTCAGTCTGAGATGTGTTGGACTCACAATGTCCATGGGACATCCAAGTGGAGAAGCATCTTGGGTGACCATATGTGTGAGTCTGCAGCTCAGAAACAGGCCTGGGGCTGGAGATGAAGACTTGGGAATGATCTGCGTATATATTTGGTAGCTTGAGCCACAAGAGTAGATGACATAACCCGTGGTGGGTGTGCAGAATTAGGAGAGACGTGCACCAAGAAGCCAGGTGATCCCCAATATTTAACCATCTGGAAGAATAAGAGGAGCCTGCCAACAGAAATTGGGAGGGAATGGCCACAAAGGCTACTGAGAAGGGAAGCAGTTCTTAAGAAGGGGGAAGTGAAGAGGTATCACTACTGCAGAGGTCAAGTAGGATAAGAACTGAAGAATGTCTGTTGGGTTTGGCAATGGGGTAGTCAGTGGGCACCTGGGCAAAAGCAGTTTTGGTGGAGCAATAGGGATAACAGAAACAAGACTGCTATGGTAAGAGGAGGAAGAGGGTGTTGAGGAAGTGGCCAGCGAGTCTACACCACTTGCTGGAGGAGCTTGGCTTTGGTGCAAAGCAGAGAAGCCAGCTCACTCATTGACTTAACCTCCAAGAAACACAAAATCATCCATATCCTGGCTCAAATTCCAGCACTACCAGGAGATGGTTGGCCCCTAGAAATGCCATCCCACTTCTCCTCTGCTTATCCTATCCTATCTGTCAGTCTGTTGAGCCCAGGCTAAGCGCTACCTCCTCAAGCAAGCCTTCTCTGCCTGCCGTCACACTTTAAGTGATCCTGACAACACTGAAAATGTGTGTCTCTTCCATTCATGTTAGTTCTACACTTCTGAGTATCTCCTCAATATATTGCCTTGTTTTACTAATATGCTCGTTCTGTTTGCCTTATTTATCAGCTACCTTAAACCTCCCTGCAACTAGAGATTCTCTTTAAGTATTTGTTGAATAAATGAATGAATCAATCGATGATCCAGAGCCTGGTAGAGGCTTGTGTCCATGGTGGATGAGGCTCAGAAAATACCTGTAGAATCGAAATAAATGCATGTGTGCTCTGATCTAAACTCAGCTAAACTTTCTCCAGGGGGTAAAGTTCAAGTTGATTAGTCAATTGATTAATTAATTCATTATGTAATGGAAAAACTCCTTCTATGACCTGGGCAGAGTTATAGGCAGTGAACAAGACAGACAAGGTCCTTGTTGTCATGAAGTTTGCTTTCTGAAGGAGAGAGATAATAAACAAGAAACCAGTAAGAAAGCAAGATTATATCATTTTGGTAAATGTTCTTGTGGAAATAAATGTGATGATGTGTAACAAAAGTACCAAATAGGAGAGTGGGGTGGGTGGGCTTCTTTTAGAAAGAGTTCTCGGAGAAGGCTTATCTGAGGAGGTGGCCTTTTAACCAGTACAAATGCTTTAGCTTGGCCAGTGGAGCTGGGACCAGGATGACAAGGGTCACTTGTCATGCCAGTGAGTTTGAGCTTGTAGACAAGAGCCTGATCATGAAAGACTTTGCAGATGGTGGTAATGGGTTTGGGTTAATTGCTACTATGTGGGAAGACTTTGAATGGGAAGCATGGGGACAATGGCCTGTGATACATGTTATCAAATATGGTCGCAGGGGCTAGTGAGGTGGCAGCAGAGATAGGGAGAAGTAGACGGACTGGGGAAGGTAGAAGATGGGGCAGGGGAGGCAATTACTGCAAAGACATATTCCTTCTAAGCTCACTGAGTGTTCATGGTCTCTGGGAGCAGAGGTTCCTGGAGGGGAAAGAGGATAATGTCACTTCCTGAGGAAGCGGGAAGAACCCATCTGAGACGTGGGGACTGTGCTGGTTCGTTTCTAAGGGGCCTTCCAGATCTCACATGCCAATCGTCTTGGTCTATGTCAATTGTTGGGGCATCCAAATGGGGAACTGTTGTCCAGGCCGATTTCACAGAACAACCGCCCAGTCCATATCTCCCGAGCCATTCACCCTTGCAGTGGCGTTAGCTCTTTCACCAGCTTTTATCTGCCCCGTGGGGATGTTGGCCAAGCCCAGTTAACAAGCAGTTGATCAGCCCCAGAGATCAGGTCCCTGGAGTCTGTCACTTTTCTGAGGGTGGGGAGAGAATCCTGGAGCAGAACATGTAACTAGAAGGGCCACCTGGCTTCCTATGGTCTGAGGGAGAGAATGGTGGGATCTCTGGCCTGAATCAAACCTCCCTTTCTCAGTGTCCATCTTACCTCTCTGCTGTACCTTCGTTATTTTCCAGCAGCTCCTCAGCCCGTTCCTGTGGGACCCTTCTCTGCCAATCCCTACACCCACTGTAAATTTCACCGTGGGAGGGAGATGGGCCTTGAGGGCTGTATTAGTCTTCTATTCTGCATAACAAATTGCCTCAAATTTAGCAGCTTCAAACAACTCATGTTTATTAGCTCATCGTGAGTTCATCAGCAGTGTGGGCCCAGCATGGCTAGGTTTTCTGCTCAGGGTCTCACAAGGCTAAAATCAAGATGTTGTCTGGGCTGTGTGCTCATCTGGAGTTTAGGGTTCTCTTCCAGGCTCACGTGGTTGTGGCAGAATTCTGTTCCCTGGAGTTGCAGGGCTGAGGTCCTGTTTTCTTGCTGACTGTCAGATGAGGGCTGCTCTCAGGTCCTCGAGGCTGCCCACATTGCTTGCCACGTGCGTGGTCTTTTCCATCCTTGAAGCCAGTGATGGAGAATTTCCCTTGGATTGAATCACCCACATGGTTGGACTCTCTGACTTCAGGAAGAGAGCCCTGTCTCTTTTATGGGATCACCTGATTAGATCATACCCATAGAGGGCAGTTCCTTTTCCTTAAAGTCAACTGTGGCATGTAACATCACACAACCACAGGAGTAAAATCCATCATATTTACAGTCCCAGGGATTATGCACAGTGCACCAGGGGACAACTGAATTCTGCCTGTCAAAAGGGCCAAGCAGGACTTTATTGGTGAAGAACAGTGGAATGTCATTCTTGGTTCTTCCAGAAAAAAATCACTCAGTAAAGTTAGAGGTTCTCTTGCCTTTTGGGAAGTCATCAAAGAATCTCATGGAGGGTTTGGACCTTCACCCTAGAAACATCACACCATGTTTTCTATAATTGCAGGGTTCATGGTCCCTTGAAGCCTATTCATAGTTTCCAGGTTGAAAAGCTCTGCTGCAGGGTGTGGGGAGGGATGCAGGTGGAGGTGAGGGCTGAATAGTGTGAGCTGCATATCTGGAGCTGTGGTGGTTTTTTTAGTCTTTAAGCTGTCATGTGTTGGGGGTTGGGCATGGGAGGGGCATCCCAAGAGCTCCTTGGTATTGACACCATCTCCAAGGTGATCTCTGCTCTGCCTGGTGCACACATGTTTTTCTCCTGTTGCAACAGCCCACTCTTGTAGAAGAGCAGACCCCTCAGTACCAGGTCTGACCCTGGACAGCTTGTACCAGGAGCTACAGCACACTCCCCCACAAGCCTAAAGTTGGGATGAGCCCCCCGAGAATTAGATCAGAAAAGATTAAATGCAGAGGTGATCTGTCAGGTCCCCTTTGGAAGTGCTGGTATGGAGAGGATTGACTGAGTCTGTTTAGGAACCTCCAAGCTCTGTAGTAACTTTAGGGCTAGAAAGGAGGATGCCTAAGATTCAGGATCCTGCAGTGATGAGTCAACATTTCTTGGGGAAGGAGGCAGGGCTGAGGATTAAACGGAGATGATGGGTATCGTTCTCTTGCTCAAAGGCACTGGACCCCAAGGCCTCCAGCTCTTCGCTCCCATTTGAAATTCAAGTCCTGAGCACACCACAGTTGTGATGCAGGGAAAGAATGTGCTTATCAGAGAGCCTGGGCAAGTGGGCCCCTTGTGAGTACCGTTCAACCTCATTTATGTCATTGGCACCAAAAGTAGACATCAGTCTCTTGAAAGTTTGATTAATGCTGGTCACACTCAAAGACCCTGGGTAGCATTCATTTACTAAGCAATTACTAAATACCAGTTTCTGTGCTAAATGCTGCATCAGTCAGGGCTCTTAATGGCAGGCAGCAGAAACTCTCCTTGGCTGATCTAAGTAGAAAAATCCAGGACTGAAAGGAAACGGAGTAGCTCATGAAATTGCAGGAAGGGCCGGAAAACCAGACATGGAGCCAAAGTCAGGCTGCAGAACAGGTCTAGGGAGGATCCCACTGCTGCTGAGACCTAGACCTTGTGTCTGGCACCCAGGATGTTGTAGGGCTCAGACCCTGGATCAATGTATCCTGCAGTGCCTCTGTGGGTACTGCAACTCCAGGAACTCAATCTTGTCAACGCCACCGCCAGAGAGAGGCCTTCTTGGCCTCCATCTTTTTGGTCACTAGCTCCAGATTCAAAATCTTGAATAGATGCTTCTTCTCTTTGATAGAGCCCAGTCATATGCGTTAGCTGCAAAGGAAGCTGAAAATCTATTAGGAACTTTTGTCTTCAAAAATGAGAGGCCTGTCCTCCACCAAGATCCATAGGAAATGGAATCCAAGAAACCACAGGAAGGGGTGAGGTGACTGGGCAGCTCACAGCATGCATGCTACATGTGAATTATCTCATTCATTTCTCACACTACCCAGTGAGGTAGGTATTGTCATCCCTACTTCATAAATGATGATATGAGGTACAGAAAGTTTAAGGAACTTGCCCAGGACACGACACGCAGCTATTAAGTGCTAGACCCAGTCAATTTGAGTCTGACTTGGACTGTCTGACTCCAGAAGCCACCCTCTCAGACACTGCTGTATACTTCCAGTGAATGTTGATGAAATTTTCAGGGTTGCTAAGCTGTGGATTTCAGATCCTGGATTGTATGACCTAAAAGAGAGACTTCCCTAGGAGTGAGGGTCCCTGAACAGTCAACTGGTTTCCAAGAATGGGCTCCCTCTCATCACCTTATGACAGTAATCCTCTGTCCAACAGCCAAAGAGGTCCTGTGGGGAGGGCTTGCAGATGGGAGTGCGCAGAGCCCAGCTCAAAGCTCCTGACTAGGCTCTTGTTGAGTATTCCTTTGATTCCTGCTTCTGTCTTTTTAAATCAATGGAGACAGGGGAGGGTTATCTCCATCCTCGGCTCAAGATGAAATGCATCGTTCCTCGTTTTTCTCATTCCTTCCCAATGTGTGTACTGTTAACTTTAGTTATGAAGGAAATTACAGTGTCCTGTGCATATACCAAGGCTGTCCAACCTCCACACCTTTGCTCAAGCTGTTCCTTCTACTTGAAATGCCTGTTTCCTTCCCTTCTAATTGCATCTTTCCATCCAGGTAGGAATCAGCTCCTTGGTTCATGGAGCCTTTTCTGCTCTGTTTTACTATGCATGGACTTCCTTCTGAATTAGCAGAGGATGTTTCCTAGCTTGGTCTTAACCCTTCTCCTTTTGTTTGACCTCAATTTACTCATCTTACAAATTAGGTTGTAAGCTAATTGAATACAGGATCTATGCTTCACTCTGATTTTATCTCCACCTGGATAGCATCATTTTTGACACACAAGCAGGCATATGGGAGGGGAGAGAAGTTTGGTGCCAGAAAGAACTGGATTTGAATTCTAACCCTGTTGTTTACGTGAGTACGTTACTTAACCATTAATTACTTCAATGTATATTTATTAAGTACCTACTATGTGCCGGGCACTGTACTAAGCACCAAGGATACAATGGTGAGTAAAGAGATGCAGCCTTCACCATCACGAAGGAAGACAGATGTTAATCCATTAACCAAGTAATCTCACAAGAAAAGTAAAATGACTAACTGATAAGGACAAGCCCCTGGAGCTACAAGAGGGTGTATACAGGGCATCGATCCAATAAGGGCAGTGTTGCGGGGAGATCAGGAGCCACACAGAGCCTGGGTTGTCTCACTTGGAAAATGGGGTATCAACCACCTACCTCACTAGGTTTTTAAAATCAGGTTAAATGAGGTAATACTTGCCATGAACAGTATTTTGTTGATTGATGATTGATTGAAACGGAGTCTCACTCTCTCGCCCAAGCTGGAGTGCAGTGGTGCAATCTCAGCTCACTGCAACCTCTACTTCCTGGGTTCAAGTGATTCTCCTGCCTCAGACTCCCAAGTAGCTGGGATTACAGGCAGCCACCCCTATGCCTGACTAATTTTTGTATTTTTAGTAGAGACAAGGCTTTGCAATGTTGACCAGGCTGGTCTCAACCTCCTGACCTCAAAAGATCCACCCACCTCAGCCTCCCAAAGTGCTGGGATCACAGGCATGAGCCACTGCATCCAGCCACTTGCCATGCATGGCATTTAAAAATGTTCAGTAAATGTTACCATAATGAAGGCTGGTAGGTTGGCCAACTGAGTGGTCTGATTCAGAAGGAAAGAAGTTAGACATACGTGAACATTTCCTGTACTTGAAGATCCTCAGGACAGTGACTCCTAGACCCATCTTCCATCACAGTCAGCTGGGAAGCTTTTAAAAAAATGCAGACATCTGACCTTCACGCTAGACCTATTAGCCAAGCAGAAGTTTCTGGGCAGGGCATCTGCATATTTTTAAAAATCTTTAATAAGGCAGCCTCAAAATTACAGATTCAGCACGCATTTACCATAACCACTGAAGAAATGCAAAGTTATAAAAAGAAGATAAACAACAATCTGTCTCCTGCTTTCTTCCCTCTCCTCCCCTGCTTCTGGAGGCAACAAGGTCAACTATTTGGTGTGATTCCTTTTAGCATTCCCTCCATCAATGGTCACATAAGGATGCTCACAGATAAGCACCTATGCGGGGGTTTTTTTTTTCCTTGTAAAACTATTCACATACTAAATACTTTCCTCAGTATCTTGCCTTTTTTCACTTCATGTCACAGAAACATCTCTTCAGGTTTATAGATACAGGTCCAGCTCTTCTTTTCATAGCCATATAACATTCTGTAGAATAGAGAGGACACATTTTACTCAGTGTCCGATTGATGGATATCAATATTGTTTTCATTTCTACAAATAGTCAAGGAATAACATAACTCTGTAAAAGTTTTATTACTTATAGGCGCATTTATGCCTAAAGGATAGTCTCAAAAGAGTGAAACTGATCAAATGTGCATTTTTTTATTTTAATAGGTATGGACAGATTTGTTCTCAAAATGTTTGTGGCAGTTCAAAACACCAGTAAAACAGGGGAGATATGTATTTTGGAAAAGCACCCAAGGCGATTCTGAAGTGTAGCCCAGGATAAGAACCATTGCCCAGAGCTGTTCCAGATGGCCCCTGGGTTCCTGAAGTGGGTATCGGGAGAGAAATCTTCACTGAATGAATGAGTGGGCTCCCCAGGGAAGTGATGAAATGGTCCTTATCAGCCTTGCTATCTCCCTCTGACAGAGGCAAACTCTCTCTCCCTGGGGGAAGTTCCTCCAAGGCCTCTATATAAGAAGTCTTTGTGAGAGGAAGCAAAGAAGGACCTGGGCTTTGGGAAGATCTAAAGACCCAGGAAGGTCTCTGGGTGGGTGAGTGCTTTCTCTGCTGTGGTGGAGCTGGTGACAGTTTATTCTCCCAGGAGGTCCCTGGCTGTGGCTGACAGTTTCTGGAGGGCTGGCAGGCGTCTACCTGTGGCTTTCAGGTTATGAGGATGTCAGCAGGGGCAGCCTTCATCCTCTGCCTTGCACATTCCTTCTGCGGGATGTGAAAGTGCTCCTTGGCTGGGGAAAGGAGATGGTGGAGACATGGAGGAGGGTGTGGGTGGCTTCTTGAACTCTGAGGAGGGGACATACCTTCTAAGTCCTATGTGTTCCTAGGAAAGCCAATAATCATTGCTTCTCCCGCCTTTTTTATGTCATAGACTCTGAGGGACCCATTAAGTACAAACAAATAAGCGTAATAGTCCCTTCTTTACTTCCGGGCCTGAAGGAAAGCCAGCCTCAGCCACCCCTCAGGGTTTGCTGCGTTCTGTTTAGAAAGAGGTCCTTGCGTCCTGGATCCTGGAGCATCAGGAGCTGGGCTTGGCATGAGCTTTTCTGGCCCATCCTGATTTCTATTCAGGCCTTCTTTTTCTCCACCTCACTCCCACGGTCCCCTAATGGTGTGATTGTGATGTGTGTGCATGTGTGTCTGTGTGTGTCAATGACAAACTGTGTTCTCCGTTGCAGGATAAAGCCAAGATGAAACTCCCCTTACTTCTGGCTCTTCTATTTGGGGCAGTTTCTGCTCTTCATCTAAGTAAGTGTTTTTTGCCTTCAGTCTTTCTTTCTCTGTTTTTTCCCTTTCTATGGTAGATGGGGTCAGAGTTACACACCCACCCCCTTCTTTGATCGTCTTCTATTTCTGAATTTCTGTGTGCTTAAAGGGATGGGGACTCTATGGCCAGGAGTTGAAAGGATTTCTCAAGGCGTCTGTTATGTCTGTGGTCTTGGTTCTACTGTGACATTCCCAATTTTGTCCTTTCTCCATTATGCTTACTTTGAGCTTACTGAGTGCCTTCTCTCCTTTAACTCTCTTAGCATCGCCATGAAGTAGGTGGTATTGTATACCCATTTCACAGAAATACAGCTGGTGGATGATGGAACCAGTACCCAAGCCCATGACTGCCCGACTCTAAGTCCATGCTCTTAACCACCTTGACCTTGTCAGGCAGCTTGGGTTCCCCTCATAGAGACTGGGTTCCAGGTTCCCCTTCCCAGGCAGAGTTGAGCACTCTGATGCCCAGGGCAAGGTGTGAGCTGTCTGTGGTTCTGGGGAGGAACAAGGGGAGATGTGAAGGAAGGACACTTAGCTATCCTCCCTGCCAGGGTCTGAGACTTCCACCTTTGAGACCCCTTTGGGTGCTAAGACGCTGCCTGAGGATGAGGAGACACCAGAGCAGGAGATGGAGGAGACCCCTTGCAGGGAGCTGGAGGAAGAGGAGGAGTGGGGCTCTGGAAGTGAAGATGCCTCCAAGAAAGATGGGGCTGTTGAGTCTATCTCAGTGCCAGATATGGTGGACAAAAACCTTACGTGTCCTGAGGAAGAGGACACAGTAAAAGTGGTGGGCATCCCTGGGTGCCAGACCTGCCGCTACCTCCTGGTGAGAAGTCTTCAGACGTTTAGTCAAGCTTGGGTGAGTGGCCTATGGCTGAGGCTGAGGTGGGAGCATGGAACGGGTGTGGGATATGCCCCCAGCATTGCTATCACTGGCTCTTTTTCCCATTGAGGGCCCTGGGGGTGTCAGTAGAACCTGAGCCTCAGAGAGGTGTTGGGGTAAGAGGGGAGGGCCACCTACAAACAGAAGTTGCATTTTGGTCTCCAACCTTCAAATGGTTGTGGCAGGGGAGGGAGGGAATGAATTGTGGGGACTCAAGACCCATGTGAATTCATGTAGGAAGGATGCTCCATTCTTTGTCTTTTATCCTGCCCTGTAGTTTACTTGCCGGAGGTGCTACAGGGGCAACCTGGTTTCCATCCACAACTTCAATATTAATTATCGAATCCAGTGTTCTGTCAGCGCGCTCAACCAGGGTCAAGTCTGGATTGGAGGCAGGATCACAGGCTCGGTAAGAGAAGTGTGAACACTAAATGGGGTGCACCTGCTGATCTCAGCCAGCACTCAGCTTGCATCAGATTTGTCTGTTTTTCTCCTGTATAATCTCCAGAAGAACCAGGGATAGATGGACACCCACAGACAACACTGAGGGGGCTGCCTGGGCATTCAGGGAAGAGCTAAGGATTTAGAATCAGGAGGTTTGGGTCCAAGTTCCTTTCCATCTCTCACTATCTATGTAACTTAAGTTAGCTGGGCATGGTGGTGCATGTCTGTAATCCTAGCTACTTGGGAGGCTGAGGCAGGAGAGTCACTGGAACCTGGGAGACAGAGGTTGCGGTGAGCCGAGATGGAGCCATTGCACTCCAGCCTGGGCAACAAGAGCGAAACTCCGCCTCAAAAATAAATAAATAAATAAATAAAATAAAAAAAAAATTAAAACAAGACCATGAGTTTGTTTCCTCATCTCTAGGATGAGTTGGCAACCCTTGTTCTACCTTTTGTTAGGGCTGGAAGGACAAGCCTGTCACTGGGATGCATAGAATCTGATGGTGATAATTGCCGTGGATCAGCATTTCAGATGACTAGGACAGTTCCCATCATGGTCCAGCAGGGAAGGGCCCATTGCCCGGTGGGCAGCAGAAAGAGCTGGCAGATACGGGGCCAGGTCTGCTTCTCTGCCTTCCCTCTGCCCCATCCCTTCTTCCCCTCTTGCTTTCTCCAGGGTCGCTGCAGACGCTTTCAGTGGGTTGACGGCAGCCGCTGGAACTTTGCATACTGGGCTGCTCACCAGCCCTGGTCCCGCGGTGGTCACTGCGTGGCCCTGTGTACCCGAGGTGAGGTGGGGCTGGGGATGAACGATGGAAAGGTCTGGGAGATGGGAAGTGCCCCAAGGAGGAGATGCTACAAAGAGCCTGACCCTTTGTGGGAGAGGCTTCCTGGGTCTTTTATATACTCTGACTCCACAGCAGTGTGTGGGTGGGAAAAGAGGCCCTCCTGTGGGTTGAGTTGGGATGGACAAGAGGCTGAAAGTCCCTTTCTGTTCTGCCTTCACAGGAGGCCACTGGCGTCGAGCCCACTGCCTCAGAAGACTTCCTTTCATCTGTTCCTACTGAGCTGGTCCCAGCCAGCAGTTCAGAGCTGCCCTCTCCTGGGCAGCTGCCTCCCCTCCTCTGCTTGCCATCCCTCCCTCCACCTCCCTGCAATAAAATGGGTTTTACTGAAATGGATTTATTTTCTCCTCTGATCGCGGATCCACTCTGCTTAGCCCTCATTGAAACTTCTTCCTTATCATCTCTCCCCACACCACAACTTTCATAGAAGTGTCAGAAGCTACTACTCCTTGAGGAGGAGGATGGAGGGTGGAGTTGGGTCTATGGAGCCTTTTGGAGATGGAGGAATGGGCTCAGCTAGTTCTCTTCATAGAACACCTGATTACTGGGCACCTGCATAGTGCTGCCAGGACCTTTCAAGGTTGTAGGTAGACTCCCAATGGCCCAGTTTGCATCTCTGTAACCAAAGGCCTTTTCTCTCTCTCTCTCCAACCCCAGAACTGTGGTTGGTTTTATATGTAAGGAAGTTAACATGTCCCTGGGAACAGTCCACAACATTCAGGAATGAATGTATAAGTACCGCAATCCCCGGCCCCTCAAGTGGAATAAATCTAACATGTATTGGGCACCATTTCCCAGTGGCCTGCTGTGGTAGTTGGCCTTATTCCATGCATTTTTATGGGCTGCCTTCCCTTCCTCAACTGCATTCTCTGCTCCTTCCTACTCTCTGCAACTCCCAAATAAACACTTGTACGCAACTCCCTCTCTCAGGATCTCCTTCTGGGGAAACCTGATATAAGACAGCTTGCCATGCGTCAGACTCTGAATGAGGCCTGGGAATACAAGACATAGTCCTCTGGCACTTGGGATATATGGTTATTTGTAACATAGGCACAAAAACATCTACTAGTTGTTATCGCTTATTGAGCACCCACAACATACCCCCTGCTGTGGCAGGCACCTTGCCTAGATGACCTCATGTGATCAATAATTATGAGCCCTATTTTACAGAACCAGGCTCAGAGAAGTTAGGATCTGTCAAAAGACTTGCCCAAGACTGAACCTCTAAATGCAACTCATATTGAAATTCAACTCTGCTCCAAAGCATGTTACTTTAACCCTTGTGCTTTTACAGCTGGCTACTCTCCCCTTATGGTCACACGGGGATGAAGCACGGGGGGAGGAAAGCCAGACTGTCTCACTCTTGGGTTCATCTTGGGACACAGGACACCAGCCCAGCTGGAGGTGAGGGAGCTTTAATCAGAGGGGAGGGAGGAAGGCATTCTCAACCCCTTCTGTACTAGGGAGGTCAGCAGAAGAAAATAATTCAATGTTCTAAAGCCATTTTTTTCTCCAGCATTCCTCCAATTCATAGATCTTCATATGGGATTAGGGGCTCAGAGAGGGGTGAAACAAGAACTCTATTTTTTTGGAGTGTGGTATAGAGAAGGGATGCTACTTCTCTAAGGTCACATAGTAAGTTGAGAAAGAGAGAGAAATCAAACTCAGGTTCATTTCAACTATTGTTCCACAAGAATCTGTTGATTTCAAAGATGGTGGACTATGGGTTCATCCCTGTGGTGAGTGCTGTGAGGATGCAGCTGAGGTGGAACTTTCACTCCTTGCCCTCTTGGACTTTATATTCTGGTGTGGAAAGGCATTGCTTCCCTTATTTCAATATTAACAACAAAGGGTAATAATATTTCCCATTTATTAAGCATTTACTAGGTGTCAGGTACTGTGCTAAATGTTAGGTGAACTTTGTCTTGTTCCTCATAAATCTCTGCCGCTGTGGGTGTGTACTTTGACAGAAGTTTGACTTCCAGTCCACAGAGATCTTCTTTGGGGGAGTAATATCAAGAAGGGGCACGAAGGAAGCTGCAGGGCTCCTAGTCCCATCCTGTATCTCGACCTAGGCATGTTTACATTGGTGCATTCACTGTGAAGTTTCCCTGAGCAGTCCACTCTATAGTGTGCTTTATAGGAGCACATTGTACATCCATTGAAAAATTTTTCTTGGCCGGGCACGGTGGCTCATGTCTGTAATCCCAGCACTTTGGGAGGCCGAGACAGGCGGATCACCTGAGGTCGGGAGTTTGAGACCTGCCTGACCAACATGGAGAAACCCCGTCTCTACTAAAAATACAAAAAAATTAGCCGGGTGTGGTGGCACATGCCTGTAATCCCAGCTACTCAGGAGGTTGAGGCTGGAGAATCGCTTGAACCTGGGAGGCGAAGGTTGCAGTGAGCCGAGATCGTGCCATTGCACTCCAGCCTGGGCAACAAGAGCGAAACTCCGTCTCAAAAGAAAGAAAGAGATTTTTTCTTTTTCTTAAAAAGTAAAAATCATGAAATAAGGGGACTGGGCTAATATTCCAAAATATGGGTTTGTGTGTGAATTTTCCTCTCCAGTAAGATACTAACTAAGCTCTGTGAAACTGTTTATCTATGGTTCTTTATCATTGAATCCTTGGAGTTCCTTACACTGTGCAGAGCACAGAGTAGGGGCTCAATCAACAGTGCACTCATTGCTTTTTCATAGACAAGGGCCACCCTCACTCAACTCATGTGCCAGGCATAGTTCTGAGAGCTTTGCTTAAGCTGATCTCATTAGAGGTAAGTCTTGTCATTAGCCTTAGTTTACAGATGAGAAAGCTGAGGCAGAGAGGGGCTGACCCTGGAACTTGTGATTTCATTATACATCACCCTACACTGCCTCTCAAGATGGCAAGGCCTACCGTCTGCATAATGAGGGGATGGACTGAATCTTGGAACAAGAGGCGGAGTTTGAAACCCCTGTGAACACAAATGCAAACATTAAGCCAGAGGCTTGGGGTTCCATGGATGCTGAAAGCAATGTTTTCATCATTGGCTAGATCATCTGGGGGTAACACATCTGGGTGTGTCAAAGAAAGCAAAGATTTGGGAGTCAGACAGACTAGGATCTGATGTATCATTTGTTACTAGTTGTGCAAACTTGGATAAGTCATTTGACTTCTCTGAGCTTTTGTAGTACCTATATAGACTAGAGATGGCAATACCCAATTTGTAGGATGACTTTTAAGGATTAAGCTGTTGTTAAGTAACAGATGTAAAAACCTTAATGAAGCATAGTGTCTGGTCCATGGAAGACCTTCAAAAATGTTTTTTCTTGTTTTAAATCAGACAGAAAAGGTCACTGAGGTCATTGGAATATCTTTGCCCAGGGTTTATATACAGTGAAAACAGGATCGACTTGAAAGAGGGAATGGTCTGTTCAGGAGGGAGGTTGATGAGAGGAGGCTAGAGAAACACAGCTATCCGGTGGATAAGGAGCTGGGAGCCTATGGTTCAGGCCTGTCTCTACTTGCTTGTGACCTTGGGCAACTTGTTTAAAGTCTCTGAGATGTCATTTCTCCATCTGTAAAATGAAACAACAAGGCCGGGCATGGTGGCTCCCACCTGTAGTCCCAGCACTTTGGGAGGCCAAGGTGGGTAGATCACCTGAGGTCAGGAGTTCAAGACCAGCCTGGCCAATATAGTGAAACCCCGTCTCTACAAAAATAAAAAAATTATCTGGGCATGATTGCAGGTGCCTCTAATCCCAGCTACTCGGGAGGCTGAGGCCGGAGAATTGCTTGAACCTGGGAGGCGGAGGTTGTAGTGAGCCGAGATCATGCCATTGCACTCCAGCCTAGGTGACGGAGCAAGATTCTGTCTCAAAAAAAAAAAAAAAAAAAAAGAAAAAAGAAAAGAAAAAGAAACAATGAATGAGTGTGAGGCTCATGGTAGTATTGGTTCCTGAGAGTAGCCAACCTTATTGGTCATCCCAGCCACGAAGTGAAATGGTACCCCTGGCTTGGGCCAATGAATGAGGAAGAATAATGGCAAATGGGGGTCTATGCCTCCACCCTCCACCACTAGGGAGGTCTCAAGCTTGAAATCCAGTGACCAGGTTTTTAGGTCCTGGACCTGGCCAGTCCTCCTACAGTCAAGTAGATAAGTGGAGGGTTTGGTCCGTTGGGCTACGGAGATAGTGATCAAGGCCGTTACTCTGCAATCAGACTCAGAAATGGCCTCTCAGTTACTTCTCCATTTGTGGGTCTTTTGGAAGAGCAGAGAAGAGGAAGGAATTTAGGTCTTCTCACCCTCTGGGCTGCCTGTCCCTGCTCCCTGAGCCATGGAGGGCTGGGGTGGAATATGGGGAATAAATCTGTACTTTTTTTTTTTTTTTTTTTTGAGACAGAGTCTCGCTCCGTCGCCCAGGCTGGAGTGCCGTGGCGTGATCTCTGCTCACAGCAGCATCTGCCTCCCGGGTTCAAGTTATTCTTCCACCTCAGTCTCCTGAGTAGCTGGGATTACAGGTGCCCACCACCACGCCCGGCTAATTTTTGTATTTTTAGTAGAGACAGGGTTTCACTGTGTTGGGCAGGCTGGTCTCAAATACCTGACCTCAGGTGATCCACCCGCACATGCCTCCCAAAGTGCTGGAATTACAGGCATGAGCCACCGTGCCCGGTCCTACCAATCTGCACATTTTAATTGACAAGGGTCACCCTCCACTCATGTGCCAGGCATAGTTCTGAGAAGCATCCCACAAGGATGCCTCTGAGTTCACCCTGACAAGTCCACTAGCTCTTGGCAGAGACATCTGGCAAATTCAAGGCTTGAGACATGCTGGCCTCTCTTTAAAGTGCAGCAAATTTTGTCTAGAGCTTGGTCAGTTAAAATTTTGATGTTTTGTTTTGCATTAATTTCAATTTTTAAGAAATGTTGCATTAAAATGTTATTTATCTTGAATAGTAAATTTCTTAGTGTCCCCTTAATTTCTTAGTGTGTCTGAGTTGAGAGCCTCCCCTGCCTGATTCTAGTCCAGACCCTGGGGTGACAGAAGACTGGTGGGAGATGGGAGGTGAGGAGGGGAGTGTTGGTTGGAGAGGATGATCTACAGAGTGCTGGAGAGACTCTGTATGGAGCTTTTCATGCTGCCTGTTTGCCAGCCCTGAAGCTATGCCTTGAGGTTGGGCAAGGTGGCATATCCTAGATCAGAGATCCTCAACTGGGGCCATTTTTCTCCCCAGAGGACATTTGGAAACATGTGGAGACATTTTTGATCATCTGCGGGGGTGGGGAGAGGGGCTACTGACATCTGGTGAGTAGAGACCAGAGGGACCATTAAACTTTCTACAACGCCCAGGACAGCCCCTCCACAATAAAGAGTTATTTGACCTCACATATTAATAGCACAAAGTTGAGGAACCTTGATCTAGATCCACAGCACAGAAGAAAGGATGTAGATTTTTCACACATTAAAGATGAGAAAGCTTGTGCCTGTAATCCCTGTGACTCAGGAGGCTGTGGCAGGAGGATTACTTGAGCCCAGGAATTCAGGGTTACAGTGAACTATCATCGCAGCACTGCACTCCAGCCTGGGTGACAGAGCAAGATTTTGTCTCTTAAAAAAAAAAAAGATGAGGACAGGCACAGTGGCTCATGCCTGTAATCCCAGCATTTTGGGAGGCCGAAGTGGGTGGATCACGAGGTCAGGAGTTCAAGACCAGCCTGGCCAGCATAGTGAAACCCCATCTCTACTAAAAATACAAAAAATTAGCCAGCTACTTGGGAGGCTGAGGCAGGAGAAGCGCTTGAACCCGGGAGGTGGAGCTTGCAGTGAGCCAAAATCTTGCCATTGCACTCCAGCCTGGGCGACAGAGCAAGACTCCGTCTCAAAAAGAAAAAAAAAAAAGATGAGAAAGAGGAAGGGAGAGAAAAAAGAGAGAGAGGAAAGAAAGAGAGAAGGTTTTGGAGTCAAAAAGACTTAGAAATTCCAGTTCTTCCACTTCCCATGGAACCTTGGCAAGTTGCCTTCTCTCTTTCTCTGAATCTCACATTTTGCCTCTGTGAAGTAGGGGTGGTACCTGGTGGAGATGATGCGGAGATGAGGGTGAGGGGTGTGTTGCACACTATGCCCCTAGGATGGGTGAGAGCTTGGGAGCACTGAACCTCCCTTTCCCCTCTTGTTTCTTCCCCCCATTGTCTCCCACCAGCTCCCTGGGATCTCCACTTCACTCTCTGGGATTCCACCAGCAGGAGGCTACTCCTGGAGTTAAGGCGTGTTGTTCAGACTGGGGCATTTTAGGGGGCATAAATAATAATTATGCCTGGACAATGGACATAACATCTAGGGCCTTCTGAAGCAAACCAGGGTGTGGGGTACCCAAACAAGGCAGTAGGCCCCAGGAGGCAGGTCCCTGCAGTCCCAGCAGAGAGCAGGGCACAGGGTTGAGAAGACTGAGCAAACTTCATTATCAGCTCCTTTGTCCCCCACTCTGTCCTGGAGCAATCATTCTGGCCTCTTCCCACTTCCCCAAAAACCCAGTATAAAGGCTGCTTCTGGCCCCTGAAGCCAGAGGCACTGAGAGTGGAGGTCTCAGACTCTTGGAAGGTGAGTTCTTTTCTGGCTGCCCAGGCAGGACCAGTGTAGGCCCTGGGAAGAAGCAGCACCTCATAGGGCAAACACGTAGGAGGCCTGTCCTTAGGAACATCATAGCTAAGCAGACCTGTCCCCGCAGGGGCAGGAGTCTGGGCTAAGGGTGATACTGGAGAGCAGCAACGGAGACTGGAAGACAAATGAAATTTGGTACCTGAGTTATCCCTCCCACCATTCCTTTTCTAGACTCTCCAGCTCAGGGTCTGTTCATGGCAAGAGGAGAAAGCAATCTTGTTTGCTCTTTAATCAAACAATTAAACAAATATTCCCTCTATACTATGTGCCAGGGGCTATACTAGACACACAAAGACAGCCCCAAGAAGGACGGTGGAGTAGTGTCCTCGCTAAAAGACAGTAGATATGCAATGCCTCTTGCTCCTGCCCTTTCTCCTGCTGGGAACAGTTTCTGCTCTTCATCTGGGTAAGTCTCTCCCTTCCCTCCTCATGCGTCTTTCCCTTTTTTCCTTTTTCCTACACTCCCCTCCCCCCGCTTTTATTTGCACTCATGAGGCCAGGACCACAGCCTTCCCTCTTTAGCTGATACAGCTCATCTCCGGTAAGATATCACTTGGACTCAGAACTGTAACCTGGAACTTTCTCTTTTTTGTTTGATTTTTTTTTGTTGTTGTTGTTTTTGTTTTTTTTTTTGTTTGTTTTTTGTTTTGTTTTGAGACGGAGTCTCGCTCTGTTGCCCAGGCTGGAGTGCAGTGGCGCGATCTCGGCTCACCACAAACTCCGCCTCCCGGGTTCAAGCAATTCTTCTGCCTCAGCCTCCTGAGTAGCTGGGACTACAGGCACATGCCACCACGCCTGGCTAATCTTTGTATTTTTAGTAGAGATGGGGTTTCACCATATTTGCCAGGCTGGTCTCAAACTCCTAACCTTGTGATTCGCCCGCCCCGGCCTCCCAAAGTGCTGGGATTACAGGCGTGAGCCACCGCACCCGGCAAACTGTAACCTGAACTTTCAGAAGGAAAAACCACCCACCTGTTAAGATGAAGGGCTGGTGACTGCCCCAGGCTTCTCACACGTGCTTTCTCCCACCTTCAAAACACACACTCGTGGTGTCGGCCAGAAGTCAGGTTCTTGTCCATTTGTGGGTGTGACCCGAGAGATCTCTCCTTACCTAACACCAAGGAAATCCTCCAGTCTTGTCTTCAGGTGGAATTCCTAGGAAAGCTCGAGCGACGTTGCTGGAGCTGTC
Source organism: Homo sapiens (assembly GCF_000001405.40). NCBI lineage: Eukaryota > Metazoa > Chordata > Mammalia > Primates > Hominidae > Homo > Homo sapiens. The sequence continues at coordinate 57,379,864 of NC_000011.10, read as the reverse complement.
CACGGTGCTGGAACTAGGAAGCTCTTGACCTGATGGCAGGTTACCTCTTCTTCCCAGAGAATGATGCCCCCCATCTGGAGAGCCTAGAGACACAGGCAGACCTAGGCCAGGATCTGGATAGTTCAAAGGAGCAGGAGAGAGACTTGGCTCTGACGGAGGAGGTGATTCAGGCAGAGGGAGAGGAGGTCAAGGCTTCTGCCTGTCAAGACAACTTTGAGGATGAGGAAGCCATGGAGTCGGACCCAGCTGCCTTAGACAAGGACTTCCAGTGCCCCAGGGAAGAAGACATTGTTGAAGTGCAGGGAAGTCCAAGGTGCAAGATCTGCCGCTACCTATTGGTGCGGACTCCTAAAACTTTTGCAGAAGCTCAGGTAAGTAGTAGGGAGGCTACTGCGGAGGACCTGGGGGAAAAGAGAGTACATTCAGTCTTCTGTTCCCTATTCATTTAGGCTAGTGGTTCTCAAAGCCTCGCATGCATCAGAATCACCTGGAGTTGTTGTTAAAACACAGCTTTCTGGGCCTCACCTGCACGACTTCTGATTTAGGAGGGCTGAGGTGAAGCCTGAGAATTTGCATTTACAACAAATCCCCAGGTGATGATGATATTGTTGGTCTGGGGAGAACCACCGATTTAAACAAAAGGCTTTGGTGTTAGAAACGCCTGTGTTAAATTCTGGTTCTGCCTTTTATTAGCTGTGTTACCTGGGCAAGTTGCTTTGCCTTTCAAAGCTTTAGCACCTTCATTTGTAAAACGAAGATATATAGCACCAACTTCTTAGAGTTGTGGTGAGCATTAAATGAGATAATACATGAAAAGTGTTTGGAATAGTCACTGGGCTGTAATAAACTCTCAATAAGCGGTGGTTATAATTATTATGAGTATTATCATTTCCTGTAGGATTGTCCTGACAGCTAATTAAGAAGCAAAAGATAGGATTAAGGGAGGCAAGTAGGTTTATTTTTAACCTGAAAAGGGATGCCGGGCTCTTGCCTGGAGACTCAGAAACTTGAAATAAATGAGAGGGAATTCTCTACTTTGTTTCCGTCTGCAGAATGTCTGCAGCAGATGCTACGGAGGCAACCTTGTCTCTATCCATGACTTCAACTTCAACTATCGCATTCAGTGCTGCACTAGCACAGTCAACCAAGCCCAGGTCTGGATTGGAGGCAACCTCAGGGGCTGGGTAAGTCAGGGGCCAAATCTTGGGTGCAGTAAGTTCTTTCTGAATGTGTTAAAGTAGCATCTGATGGTGCCAAGCCTCAGGCCAGCAGCTAAGGTTTCCTTAATGTGGCAGGCAATGATGTGCTGGAGATGGCTTGTACTGGCTCAGGAGAACTGATGGTGCACATCTCTTACCAACTCCATGCTCAGTGACTACATGCTTGCAGCTTGACATCAGCCATGGTGGGAGTATTTACACAAAGGAAATAGGCAATTGCTACACATCAGGGCTCCTTTCTACTCCCCATCCTCCCACCCACCCCAAGAGCTGGTATAAACATTTACCAGCATACCACTGGAGTCATGAGACAGAGTCCAGGCCCAGCTTAGTCACTTAGAAAGCTAGTTAAATAGGTTTCTTGGAGCCTCTGTTTTTTTTCAATCCCTGAAATGGGGACCTTCTTCTCTCAGGGTGGTTCTGGAATTGTGGGTGAATAAGTGGCATTATATTTGGTACGGTCCATAGATCAGCAGTATGGTCCATAGATCAGCAGTACCACCATCCCCTGGGAGCTTGTTAGAACTGCAGAATCTTGGACCCCACCACAGACCTCTTGAATCAGAACCTCCATTTTAACAAGATCCCCAGGAGATAACGTACGCACAGTAAAGTTTGAGAAGCCTGCTCTGTGTGATGGCTGAGAGAGATGGTTGCTCTTCCTGTCATTGCCTGGAAACTCTTAGGAATGGCTCTCTAGGGTGTCTGGCTCCTGGCCAGGTAGGCAGTGAGAGAAGTCAACAGGGGGTATTCCATGAGGTCCTGGATCTGAACTTCTGCCCTCTGACCTAGCCTGTCACTTCTCTAGTTCCTGTGGAAGCGGTTTTGCTGGACTGATGGGAGCCACTGGAATTTTGCTTACTGGTCCCCAGGGCAACCTGGGAATGGGCAAGGCTCCTGTGTGGCCCTATGCACCAAAGGTGAGGGGGAAGGGCACCAGGGCAGGGAGAAGGGATAGTAAAGTGGATTCTTAATACTACCCCTTTGAGCTGCCTGAACACACCTCCCCAAACTCAGACCCTCCCGCTGACTGAAGAACAAAAGTCCTGTGTGTAAGGAGGGCTGAGACATAGGGAATCCTCAAAGCAAAACCAGGTGATAGGAGTTCTGGAGACAGGGGGGTGGGCTGGATGGTGTGTGTGTGGGAAAATTCTTTGCCTCCTTTGATATGAGGGCAATAAATTCGAACAACAGGTATGACCAATGAGAGTAGCGGAAGTGGATATAAGGCGTGGATGAGAGAAAAGGAAGGATGGGGGAATTAGGGATGGCTGAGAGACAAGATGCCCACCTCCAACAGCAGACATGGGCAGCAGCATGGGTGCCAGATGTGAGTTTAGTATAGTGGCTGAGACCATATGTGCTAGAGCAAGACTGCTGCAGTTCACATCCCAGTGCTGCCACTTGCCAACTGAGATACAGGCACGTTGTTTATCTCTACTAAGCCCCCGTTTCCTCATCTGTGAAATGGGGATGATGACAGCACCCACCTCTTGGAGTCATGGTAAGGATTAAATGCAATAGTCCACCTAAGTCCATCTAATGCAGTTAGCACACAGCCTAGCTAGCAGTAAGAGCTCAGCAAATGTGAGCCAGTAGGGATGTGGGGCAAGCACACAGCTGGCAGATGACGATGGCCATAGATGGGGACATAGGGGGCCCCTGAGGAGGGAAAGAGGTGAAGCCCAGGCCAGACCCCGCAGGGCGGTGGACTTCACTGTGCTCTGTGCTGCTAGGAGGTTATTGGCGACGAGCTCAATGCGACAAGCAACTGCCCTTCGTCTGCTCCTTCTAAGCCAGCGGCACGGAGACCCTGCCAGCAGCTCCCTCCCGTCCCCCAACCTCTCCTGCTCATAAATCCAGACTTCCCACAGCATTTCCTGACTCTCGTTTCTTTATTGCTCACTTTGGGGATTACTCCAGTTCGGAAAAATCCTGGAAGCATTCACTCTCGGGAAAGTGAGCCATGGCCGAGTAGGGCGGCCCGGTGGGGGCTGGCGGCGGCGCTGGGCGGCAGAGCGGGACCTGGGGCGGCCGGAAGGCCTCCCCGGGCGTGGGGTAGGGTTGGGAGGATGGGGACAGGGGTGTGGGTGGTGGGAGTAGAGGTGGTGGAGATGGTTTGGGAGTAGGGGTGGGAGTGGGAGGTGGGGGGATGGGAGTAGGGGTGGGGGGATGGGTTTAGGGATGGTGTGGTGCAGGTGAGGGGTTGGAAGTAGGGGTAGGGGTGGGAGGTGGGGGGATGGGAGTAGGGGTGGGAGTGGGGACGTGAGGGGTTAGGAGTAGGGGTGGGGGTGGGAGATGGGGGGATGGAAGTAGGGATGGGTGTGGTGCAGGTGAGGGGTTGGGATTAGGGTTAGGGGTGGGAGATGGGGGATGGGAGTAGGGATGGGTGTGATAGAGGTGAGGGGTTGGGAGTATGGGTAAGGATTGGGGAGTGGGGGGTGGGAGTAGAAGTGGTGGAGATGGTGGTGGGGATGGGAGTAGGGTTGGGTGTGATGGAGGGAGGGGTTGGGAGTATGGGTAAGGACTGGGGGAGTGGGGGATGGGAGCTCAGTTGGTGTGGGGTGCTTTGCTGGTCCTCTTGCTTTGTTTGGATTCAGTATGCGGTGCAGGGTGGGGTGGCTTTCCAAAATAAAGGTGATGGAGCTGTTTTAAGAGTTGGTGTGGAACACTGAGGTCCCACCTAGGGGACAACACGAGGAAGTGGGGAGAAAGCAGTCTTGTCTTGGGGCAGACTGCTCCTCTGGCCCTATGCCTTTCTGGCTTCTGGTAATGGCCCCCAATTTTATTTCCAGCCACCTCTGTGAGTCCCCAGCCTCCTCTGAGGCATGTTCCCCATCCATTCCCAGGAGGGTGGTGGTCCTCCCCTTCCTTCCTCCTGGCCTACCTCTGTAGAGGGGCCACATCCTTAGGAGGGAGCGACTTCTCCCCAGCAGGGCCCTGGGCACAAAGCCAGGGTGTCTGGTAGTTCCCATTCCCAGTTCTGCAGCCCCAGGCCTCTGTGTCTCTCCGTCCCCCACTTTCTCAGACCCTGGGGACATTGAGAGACATTATTGTTGTTGCTATTAACTTTGTCACAGATGAGGTACTGGGCTCCAGGAAGGATGTAGAGTTGATGAAGTAGGAAACTCAGAACTGAGACTGGGTATCAAGACGGTAGAGAGCCCTGGATTGTAGGGGGTGGAGGCAGTGGGGAGAGACAGACTTCTTGGGAGTGTGTTTCCACATGGGGCCCAGGGAGAATACAAAAGTATTTCTGTGTGTGCACATGTACATGTGTGCGTATATATCTTGGTGTGTACATGTGTCAGTGTTTGTGTACATGTGTATACCTGTATATGTGTGAATTTGTATATGTAAATGTGCATAAATCTGTGAGTCAGTATGAATTTGCATGTTGAGTATGCATATGTTTATATATCTCTGTGTATTTATGGATATGTCTGTCTGCGTACACCTGTGAATGCATATGTCTCCATAGCTTTGCAGCCTTATGTTCCCAAATCTCTCTGTGTATGCATATGTGTCTTCCTCTGTGTCTTTGACTGGTATGTATGTGGGTGGGTATATGTCTCAGTGTGTGTCTGAGCATAACTGCATACAGGACTATGTTTGTGTGTTTGTGTATATCTGTACCAGCATCTGATGGGATGTGGTTTCAGGAGCGAAAAGAACTTTTCCCAGATGTGCTGTGTTTCTAAGGGTGCTAAAGTTGAGGGGACAGGATCAGAGAGCCCTGGGGAAAGTGGGTGATGGAGAAAGCAGAGAGATGAGGCCCTTCAACATGGGCAGGCCTCTGGCAGCAGGAGAATGGGTGCTGTCATTGCCAGGGACTTTACCCATGCTGGGCCCCAGGGACTGTCTCTACATGAAAAGGCCTGTCCTCAGTAGAGGGGTCTGTCCAACTGCCATGGATGGAAATTGGGTCAGGCAGCTCCTAATCACAGCATGTCAAGTGGTCCTTCTCCCAAAGGGCATGGAAGGGGAGCTACCTGGGATTAGGGCCCCACACAGATCCACACACTACACACTACAATAGTCCCTTCTTTTTTTTTTTTTTTAACTTTTATTTTAGGTTCATGGGTACATGTGCAGGTTTGTTACACAGGTAAACTCATGTCACGGCGGTTTATTTGTTGTTCAGATTATTTCATCACCCAGGTACTAAGCCTACTACCCAATTTTTTTTTTTTTTTTTTTTTTTTTTTTTTTTTTTTTGAGACAGAGTCTCACTCTGTCGCCCAGGCTGGAGTGCAGTCGCACAATCTCGGCTCACTGCAAGCTCCGCCTACCTGGTTCACGCCATTCTCCTGCCTCAGCCTCCCGAGTAGCTGAGACTACAGGCACCCGCCACCACACCCGGCTAATTTTTTGTATTTTTAGTAGAGATGGGGTTTCACAGGATGGTCTCGATCTCCTGACCTCGTGATCCGCCCACCCTGGCCTCCCAAAGTGCTGGGATTACAGGCGTGAGCCACTGCTCCTGGCCTACCCAATATTTTTCTGCTCTTCCCCCTCCGCCTACCCTTCACCCTCAAGGAGACCCCAGTGTCTGTTGTTCCTTTCTTTGTGTTCATGAGTTCTCATCCTTTAGCTCCTACTTATAAGTGAAAACATGAAGTATTTGGTTTTCTGTTTCTGCTTTAGTTTGCTAAGGATAATGGTCTCTAGCTCCACCCATGTTCCCAAAAAAGACATGATCTTGTTCTTTTTATGACTGCATCGTATTCCACAGTGTATATGTACCACATTTTCTTTTTCTAATTTGTCATTGATGGGCATTTAGGCTTATTCCATGTCTTTGCTATTGTGAATAATGCTGCAATAAACATTCTCGTGCCTGTGTCTTCATGGTACAATGATTTATGTTCCTCTGAGGATACACCCAGTAATGGGATTGCTGGGTCCAGTGGTAGTTCTGTTCTTAGCTCTTTGAGGAATCGCCATGCTGCTTTCCACAATGGCTGAACTAATTTACGCCCCCACCAAGGGAGCACGTGTTCCCCTTTCTCCACAACCTCACCAGCATCTGTTATTTTTTGACTTTTTAGTAATAGCCATTCTGACTGGTGAGATGGTATCTCGTCGTAGTTTTGATTTGCATTTCTCTAATGATCAGTGATACTGAGCTTTTCTTTTTTATATGAATAAGCCCATTCTTTTTCTTTTTTTCCTATTGGAGAGTCATGCTTTAGAATAAGCCCACTTTTGATGCTATGCTTCTAGAAGAACAGTGTTGTCTGTCTGTGGGGGTGGGAAGGACAGGCGATAAAGGAAGTTCTGTGCACGTGGTCTGGGGATTGGGATTTCAGCTGAATGCCAAGCCCTTTGTATAACCTCTACTTATCTCCCTGATGGAGAACGAACTTTAGCCAAATCCAGTAGCCCAACATCCTGCCAGTCAAAACCAGGGGTAGAGGTAGGGAGGGGAAAGAAGAGGGGCTAAGACTCCTCCAGACTGAAGCTTACTTGAGGCAGACCAGGGTAGATAAGATGTCCCTCAAATCTCCAGCACGATCTAGCATTAGGCCTCAACGTCAATTCTTATATTTTCATTCCTTTGGCTGATTAAGGCCTTCCAGTCTTGAATAACCCCTGATTAAAAAGGAAATACTCTTGAGAGAAGAAATTCCCCAGAATGTTATCTATTAATACCCCTGGAAGGCTGATTGGCAGCTTGCTGAGAACAAGGTTTTGTGAGAAGGAACACAGAAGGGAAGGATGTGTGGAATTGTCAGTGGAAATGGTGGGAGTGGGGTGGGAGGGGGAGAAGAGAAGCTATTAAAATGGAGATAACGAAGCAGAGCCAGGGCCGTGCTCACTATTTTCTCTTCCTAGACACCCAAGAGGACTAGGACTTTCCCAGTATCCTTACAGTAAAGCTGGGCTCTGTAGCACGCTGCTGAATCCTGCCAATGGAAAGTGGCTGGAGGTGAAGTAAGCCCACTCCAGGCCTGATCTTCAGATTACCCCCTGTGATCCTCCAGTTTTCACTTTCCCTGTGACAGTGACCTGGGAGTCCAAGTGTCTCAGATGGCACAGCTACCAGATGGAGGGGGCTGTCTGACCTACTTTGCTGTATTAAACCTTGCGATTTTACTTGTCACTGCAGCAAAACCTGTATTACCTGAACGAACACACATAGGAAAAAAAGGTACTAACAAGTTTCTGGATTTTCCCCAGATAGAGCATAGAAGTCGTGATCTCAGACTCCAGAGTCATTAAGTTCTAGGTTCAAATCCCAGTTCTTCTATTTCAGTTTCTTTATTTTAGTATGCATCTGTTTCTTCTTCTGTAAAGTGGGGGTTGAGTTAGACAATCCCTGTCACTCATTTGGTCCATTGCCTGCCAATAGTAAGTAATCAGTGTTGGCTTTTATGTTGAATGATTAAAGAGGCAATGTAGTGTTAGGAATGGGCATAGGTTCCAGATCTCATTTCCACGTACTGTAAATTTCTTTTTCTATCAAATAGGATTAATGACAAACCATAGCGGACTCACCAGCGTTGGTGTGAGGGTCCATGTGATTATGTTGGTGATTGTGCTGAGTAAACCATAATGCAACAGAGACAAGGTAGCTGTTTTTATCACTACTGATATTAACCCTACATCTAGCACACAGAAGTGGTAACTTAGTTCAGATATGCGGAGGACAACCTCAGGCTCACACACACTTGCTGGCCGGCTCCAGAGGGGCGGAGGCACCTACAGGAGGACCACCTCCATCTGGGTAAAAGGGAGGGGTTGGGGGGGAGGGTCCCTTCAGGACACCACTGCCTCCATCTCCCCATTAGAGAGAATCCCTGTGACCCCAGCCTCCCAAGAGCTGAATTCCCCAGGGATGCCTGGGGGAGTCCCAGGTGGAGAATGTGGTGCTGCCTTCACTGATGTCTCTGCTGGAGAAGCATAGTCTGGTCAGATCTCCAGGCACTGCCCAATTCCCAAGGCTGACCCTGGGGAGATATGCCCCACCATCCTGGGCATGGGGCTGTGGGTTAGGGCAGAGTGAGGGAAGGGGTGTTGAGCTTTATGTGGGGTGGGTCTTACCCCTTCTCCCCCTGGAGCGGGGGGTCATTGGGCAAGGCCTTTGCAAGTACCCACCATTTGAGCCTCCTGAACTACTCCTGAAGCTGTCCCTTCCCCACTTCCTGTGCCGTGTGTTGAGGGGCCGCCCTCCATCTACAGTTGAGCTGGTGCAGCTAAGACCTCATGATCATGCCCACTCTGACTGCCAGATGCAGATTTATCATGAAGCTATTGAAACATTCTTTAGGCTCATTCACTTGCATGAGCCCCTTCTAATACCTAATTTTGTATTCTTTCTAAAGAGATGCCCCCAAATTGTATATGCTTAGGATTCACAAAACCTGGTTCTGCCCCAGAGCCCTGCCCTGGGGCAATTTCTGGGCCTCTCACTGTAGGAGAGGACAGAAAGGGGATAGAGGATGTCTGGGTCAATGGATCCAGCTTCCTGTTCTTGCCTCCTTCCCTGAAGGGCCAGGACATGTGGGTTCCTTTTTGGCCATGAACTGTGGCACTGAACCAGTCATTTTCCCTTTCTGGCCTCAGTTTGCTCATCTGTAAGCAAGAGGGTTAGATAAGATGGTTTAAAAGGCCCCTTTAGCTTCTAACCTTAGAAAATGGGGCACCTTATTAAGACCCTATGGGGACAGGCCTGGCCAACCCAGCTGAGCAGCTCACAAGGCACCAGGCCTTACTGGAGCATTTTCACTGTTGTTGTAAATGAGGACTGCTGAACTCCTGGAACAGGGTCCCAGCCTACGACAGGATCCCAGGTCCGGGAATCAAATCCCCAGAGTGAGGGGGCCCAGATGTGTGTGGGTGTGGGGTCCCAGAGAAGAACAAGAATGACCCCTTCCCTGGTTTGGGGAGAGAGCTATGGGGAGTGATGAGGAAAAATTCACTGACAGCCATGCCTTCTGTTTCCTTCTAAATTTGGGATGCACCCAAGTCAGAGATGGGGTCCCTCACCACTGTCTAACCAGTCTCCCTAAAATGCAAACTTTGTTGCTGGGAAAGGCATGGGGCTTACTCTTTATTAACCGAATCACCGTCAGGGTGGAGGCGGCTGAAGCAGCAGGGCTGATGGACCCTGGGAGTTCATTCTTCTCTCATGGGGTGTGGGCGATGGAGTTAGTCAGACGGACGTTCAAATCCCAGCTCTCTCACATCCTGGCTATCTGGCCTGGGGCAAATGACTCAGTCTCTCTGAGCCTTGGTTTATCTTCAAAACAAGGGAAACTAATATCTACCTCATAGGATTATTCTAAGGATTAAATGAGATAACGTGTGTGAAAGTGCCTGGCACTTGGTAGGCCCTTGTGGCCATCTGTCCTACATTATAATCTCTACTCTTTGGGAAGGGGATGGCTCAGGTGCTCCTGCCCCAGGGGTCCTAGGAAGCAGATGGGGCCAGGCAAGGAGTGAAGGTGAGATTGGGGTCTCAGCAGGGAGCACTGCCTGTCTGCTGGAGCAGTCGGAGGCCCAGACACTTGGGTCCCAGCTATGCTCATGGAATGAGCAGCAGAAATGAGAGCCCCTCTTCCCTCCCATGCCCCTTGCTCAGGCAGGGTCCTCTGTGGGGAGGCCTGGAGCCTTTGTGAGTGTGGGGCCCTGGAAAGAGGCCCTAGTGGCCTATGGAGAAGGCCCCCGAATCGGTGGACTGCTTCTCCGCTGTGGTCTGGTCGCTGGGGTACACTGGGTTGGTCAAAGCCGCGATTTTCAGCGTAGTCTCATTCACCTGCAGGCGAAAGAGCTGGTGTTGTCAAGTTCTGACTATGGGCAATGTCCTCTTTTGTGACCCCATTTGACAGACTCAGCAGTGGGCGCCCATGACCTAGTCATGAGGGGAGCCAGGACATCTGTGTGATCCCAAGGCCCCTCCCATGTACCCCGAGGGCAAACAGAAACCCCATTCATCCCATGGCCTCCCCTAGTCCTGCCCCAGAAATGGAGAGGGGAGGTGACGGGGTGGGGACCATGACAGAGATGACCCACAGAACCCCCAAGATTCTCTGCAGAGCCCAGTCTTGGCCAAGCCTTCCCTTGTCTGGACCCCAAATATTCATTGAGGCCTGGTGAACCCCCCTTCAGAAGGCCTCAGAAGGGGAGCCACTGAGAGTCCCTGCCCCTGCCTGCCCTGCCCCCTCTCCCTTTTATCCAAGGGTGCCCCTTCCCCAACTCACCTCCTCAAACTTCTTGGCTTTGTACTGGTCGGCCCCCTTGAGGAAGTTGAGCAGGATGATGTCACAGAGAACAGTTCCCTGGAGGAGGAGAGGCAGGGCGGGCTCCGAGGGGTGCCCTGGGTTGGGTGGGATCAGGGTGGCAGGAAGTGCTGGGCTCGGGCAGCACCCCCAAGCTGCCTAAACAGTGGGCAGGACATTTCACCCTTGCAACAAACTTTTGGGATAGTGCTATGGTTTGAATGTCCTCATCCAAACTCGTGCTGAAACTTAATCCCCAGCGTGGCAGTATTGACAAGTGGGGCCTTTAAGAGGTGATTGGACCCTGCGGGCTCTGCCCTCATGGATGGATTAATCCGTTCATGGATGCATGGATTAATGGATTAATGGGCTATCATGGGAGGGGAGCTGGTGGCTTTATAAGATGAGGAAGAGAGATCCGAGCTAGCATGTTAGCAGATTGCAGGCCAGGGTGGGGACCAGTCCTCCAGGGAGGACTGAATGATGTTCCCTCTTAGAAAAATGCCCAGGGACTTTGCAGGATGTTTCAGGGCTGCCTTCCCAGCTCCTAGGGGTGACCCAGACCACAGCTGCACAGAGAGAGGACTGCGTGGGGTGGAAGGGTGGAAGTCCCTGAAGGCAGGCTATGTGCCCACCATGCCACGTGGGCTCTGTTCCTCATTAAGGCATCTCAGGTCTGCAGAAACCCAGAGCCTCCTCCCCCAGCTATACGGTGAGAAACGGGAACTCTATAACAGGTGGAGTCTCCTGAAAACGGGAAGGCTGCTTCCGGAGGTAATGAGCTCTCCATGACTGGAGACGTTCCAGCCAGGGCTGACGCAGCAGGGTGGTGGCCAAGGAGACTGAAGCACCTAGCAAGTGGGGGTAGGGGTTTTACATTCCAGGCAGAGGCAGAGTTTTGCCGCCGTCACTCCCCTGCCTGCTGGTACCAGTCCGGGCCCCACTCTGACTGGCCCGTCAGAGCGTGGAGGGGCTGAACTCACCACTCCCACAGAAGTAAAGGCCGCCACAGAGCTGATGATGGTGGGGATGATGTTGAACTTGCCAGCCTGTGTGCACAAAGACCAAGGCAAGTGGGCAGAGGGCCCATGGGATGGGGGTGAGGCCCGAGGCTGCACGTGGCGCCAGAAGGGTTCTTGGTGGATCAGCAGATCCCTCCCCTTCACGGGACAGGTGAATTGATGGGAGAGTGACCCACTGAGGGTGTCAAAGCTGGCCAGCAGCAGACCCCTGCCCCCCAGAGGAGCTTTTTCAGAACCCGAGAGGTGGTCTGGGCTGCCTCCCCTGTCCACCCCATCTGCCTGGCCCATGGACTCACATTCCCGTATACCAGCACGTCGAAGCGGATGCCAAAAGCCTTCAGGAGGGTGCGGTACTCACTGCCATTTTCCATTTTGTAGTACTTGGCAAACCTGGAGGTCAGAGGCAGAGATGGGTCCCTCTGTGGGATCCTGTCTCTCCTGCCTGAACCTTCTGGGTCCTCCAGAGCCCTGTGTCTTGGCTCACTGAGCAACCCTTACTTACGGTTTGCTGAGACAACTGCCACGCTCCTCCCTGTGTGGTTAGCTGACCCCTCACACAAGCATCATCTTGGGGGCTTGTTATAAAAGCAGATTCCTGAGCTCCACCCTGAACCCACAGAATCAGCATCTCTGTGGGTGCAGCCCAAGAACTTGCCTTTTATTTATTTTTATATTTTTGAGACAGAGTCTCATTCTGTCGCCCACATTGCAGTGCAGTGGTGCGATCTTGGCTCACTGAAACCTCTGCCTTCTGGGTTCAAGTGATTCTCCTGCCTCAGCTTCCCGAGTAGCTGGGATTACAGGCACGCGCCACCATCCCTGGCTAATTTTTGTATTTTTAGTAGAGACAGGGTTTCACCATGTTGGCCAGTCTGGTCTCGAACTCCTGACCTCAAGTGATCCACCCGCCTCGGCCTCCAAAAGTGCTGGGATTATAGGGGTGAGCCACCGCGTCCGGCCAGAACTTGCCTTTTAAATAATTTCCATCAGTGATTCTGATGTGCTAGAAAGTTTGAGCCACTGCTAGACTCCAAGCTTCTTCAGTTCCATTTGTCTGGGTCTCCCAGAGCCCAGCTCACTCTGCTTATTTGGGCTCAAAGCCTGGCTCTGCCGCTTACTGACTGTGCAACGTTGGGCCAGTTACTTAACATCTCTGAGACTCAATTTCCTCATTTGTGGGTGGGAATACTATACAAAAGTCCTGCTTCATAAGGCTGCCATGAGCATTGAGTGAAACCACACACGTCAGGGGTGTAGACAGTGCCTGGAATACATTAAGCACTCAGGAAACCCATTGTTGTTGTTTACATTTATAGAGCAGTTTTGAAAGGTGCTTTCAGACTATTCGTCTCATTTCACCCTTGCAACAAACCTTTGGGATAGTGCTATGGTTTGAATGTCCTCATCCAAAACTCATGTCGAAACTTCATCCCCAATGTGGCAGTATTGACAGGTGGGGCCTTTAAGAGGCGATTGGACCCTGCGGGCTCTGCCCTCATGGATGGATTAATCCATTCATGGATTAATGGATTAATGGGCTATCATGGGAGGGGAACTGGTGGGTTTGTAAGAAGAGGAAGAGAGATCTGAGCTAGCACGTTAGCACACCCAGCCCCCTCTCCATGTGACACCCTGCGCCCGAGACTGCAGTCCCCACCAGTAGGAAGACTCACCAGATGCGTCTGGCTCCACAGCCTTGGACTTCTCAGCCTCTATACATGAAGAAATAAATTCCTTTTCTTTGTCAATTACCCAGATTCAGGTATTTTGTAGAAGCAACGGAAAGCGGACAATTATAGATAGGCATGTGATTGCTCTGTTTTTCAAATGAGGTTCTGAGAGGGTAAGGAGACTTGTCTGGGGTTACCCAGAGCTGGTGCTGAGTTCACCAGCTGGTGAGCTCAGCACTAGATTTGCCCAAGTCCAAGATTTTGACCCCTGCACCTTCTCTGCCTTGGCTTCTGGGTGCCATGAACCATGCCGGGGACTCAGGAAAATGATCCCATTTCATTCTCACCACAAACAGGGGTTAGTGTTCAACACAGAGACGTGAGTGTTCAGACCCCCATTTTGTAGATGCCTATGGTGGGGAGGAGATTTGCCTGTGGTTTCGCAGTTAGTGAAGTGCTGGATTTGGGATTCAAATCGCATCAGTCTTTCAGCTTCTAAAGCCAGTGCACTTCCTGCTGCGTGGCTCTGCTCATCACGGGCCAAACTCTAACATTAGGAAAGTGTCATCTCTTTGGGCTACTGTCCTACAGCTGTAAAATGGGTTCCTGATGCCAGTAACTTTGGAAAGTGGTGAGGATTAAGTGAAATCACAGGAGTGAAAGGGCCCAGAAAACTCCTTAGCCGTGTGGGGTCCACATTGTTCCCTCTCAGTGTCTCCAGTCCCCACAGATTCCCAGGCCTCTCCCACCAGGGGCCTGAGAAACTGATTCCCTGAAAGTGTTCAGTGATTGACGTGATGCTCCTGACAGGGATATTTGCATTTGAACCTGTACAACAGAGAGAAGGAAATGCTCAGCCCCAGTGAATCAGTCATTGAGGGATTACAGGCATGGGAGGAAGATAACTTGTGATGGGGAAGGAGAACGTATGCCACTATCTGCTCTGGCTGCCATCTGGCAGTGGGGCATTCTGGAATTAGGCAGAAATGAATCTAAATCCTGGCTCCCCCACTTGTTAATGTGGCCTCTGGTGTTCCTTAGCCTTCAGGGTGTCCATTTCCATGTCTATAAGCACAGGTGTGCTCATGCCCTGCTAGAAGGTCTGTTGGTGAGACAGGGTAAATGCGAACACCATTGAGATTCTTGTGTTAGAGATTCTGTCTGCTCCTCCACAGCCATTCTCTGTCCCTTCTGTGCCCAGCTCTGGGCCCTGAGAGCCTGATCTGCAAAGACCGCTTTGGCCTCCGTTTCCAGGTGGGTTCAGCCAATGGAAGGCGCTGAGAGGAGATCAGAGGGCAGGGAAAAAGAGAGGCCAGGGCACTGAGGTGGCTGGGCAGCCTCAGCTTTTGTTCAGGTTCTGGGAATTGCTCCTCCCCTCACTCCCGCCAGCCTAGGCGGTAGCAGCTTGGCCTCACTGCCAGCACAGAGGCCCTTCACTGGCCTGGTTAGTTCCCTTCCCTTTACCTGGAATGCACCTTTGTGTATAGTCTCTTTATTCAGTCACCCCTGTGAGACCACCCACTGTTTCCCCTCAGGTTACCTACCCTGACCACTCCCACTTTACAGAGGAGCAAGCTCAGTCCTAGAGAGCTTTATCTGGGTCAGGAGGGAGCACTGGAGAATGGGTGACACATTTTCTGTCTCTGCCTATGCGTGGGCACAAGCAGAGCTGGTGTGCCTGAGTGATGTACCTGTTGCTCGAGTAAGGCTGAGAACGACTCAGTGAAAAAAAGGTTTCCAGGGCAGCCTGACCTGGGAAGGTGTTTCCTTGTGGGCTGTGCAGCTGAGGGAGGGGCAGGGGAGGCAAGGGGATCCCAAGAAAGAGTAAGACCCAGAGTAAGAATGAGAGTGGACCTTGGAAGGCAGCAGAAAGAAGTGCAACCACTTATCCGGAAGAGGGCTTGGAGGTCAAGGAAAGAGGGGAGGGGCTAAACCAGCTTTAAAATGATGCTAAGTTCAAGTCTAGGTGGTGGAGGAAGACAGCCTCACAACCAAGGCAAAACAGAATGAATTCAAGGTGCAGCAAAAGGAGGATAATAGGATGGACACAAGAGAGGGCGTCATTTCTATAAAGATGACAGGGCCTAAGAACATAATTCTCCAAGGAGGACTCTCGGGATATTTTAAAGAAGTCTGCAAAAGAAGTATCTGGAATGGGCAGAAGGCTCCAGGAGGTCCTTATAGACCATCACTGTCTCCATGCCCACTGTTTATAGAGCACCAACAATATAGGAAGTTCCTTAATATAAGCATCTCCACTAATCTCATGAAGACTATACTGTTGTTGAGTCATTGTACAGATGAGGAGACAGGTGAGAAGATAACTTGCCAGAGCTGGGATTCTAATCCATACCGATGCCTCCAAAGTTCATGCTCATACCCCTTGAACCATCCTGCCTCTGAGCTCTTGGAGGCTGTTAAGGATAACGCAGCCCTTGTGCAAGATATCAAAGCCTTCTAAATACTGTGTCCTGTCTCACATCACTGGAGAATTTAAGGCCCTTGTCTCAGAGATGTGGTTCCTCATGCCCATGGGTAGTGGGCAGGGGTGAGAGGGTGGATCACAGAGGTTTGGGGCAGGGCAGAGGCTGGGCCTGTCATCCGGAAATCTTTACTGCTGGCCAAAGGCTGCAACCATGAAAACGGCTCTGACAGTGACATCAACTTGGAGAACAAAAAGTCGTATCCTGGGCACTGCCGTTCAAAGTGAGGGCTGGCTAAATTTATCCTGGGAAGGAATGTGAAGGGAACAGGGAGAAAAATCAAAGCGGACTTGGTTTTTCTCCAGCACCTGCCTTCCAAGAGGCAATAAGCATGGTAAGATCATTATCTCACCAACCACCCACCCTCTGAGGAGGGTTGGCAGGGACTGGTTCTCTTCCCGGGTGGAGGGAGGAGGAACAGAGCTCAGGGAGTGTGGGCCCAGGCTGCAGACAGAGGGGGTAACCCAGAAGTCCCAGCTTCTGCACTCTCCTGTGGCCGATGGGGATCACAGAATCTGCCCACCCCTGTGACAGAGACAGCTCATTGGTCACCAGGGTCTGGTTATCTCCTCTCTTTGCAGATGATTAGACCACATTTCCCAGTCCCCTGCATTTAGCTGGGGCCCCATGACTAGTTTTTGCTGATGAAATATGAATGGCCGTGAGGTTTGTTACCTCTGGACTGAGGTAGTTTAGAGCAGTGTACCTTCTATGTCTTCCCTTTCCTCACCTGATGGCCAGTTGCTCAGGAGTCAGGAGAGGACTCTGAGGCTCTAGAGAGACTGAGTCAAGATGGCAGGAGCCTAGATCCCTGAATGACTGCATGGCGCTCCCCACCCCCACTGGCCCACAGTGCACTGTGCCATAGGTAAGAAATCAACCTTCACATTAAGCCACTGAAATGAGGGGTTTGTTTGTTATAGCAACTAGCAATGCTAACCCTGACTGTTGCAAACTCTCAGAATTTCATGGCTGAGAGATGTAATTTGCCAAGGGACAAAGAAAGAGCTGAAGTTGGGGAGTTACTCAGGATTAGACAGAGGGCACAGTCCCATGATGCTATATCCCAGGAGTAAACCCTCTAAGGAGGCCCTAGGGGATCTGGGTGTGGTGCTATGGCTGTTGTGAATTAGCTTCTTGATCTTGGGAAGGTCATTCGACTTCTCTGAGCTTTTTACTTCAACTGAAAAATTGGAGGAAAAAGAGCTCTGAGGAGGATGAGTTGAGAGAGTGTCCATATATAGTCCGTGCTTAAAACACATCCCTTATCCTAGCATAAAGATAAAATGAAACAATATCTACATTTACTTTAATCATTACACTCTCCTGGCTCCTGTAGATAATGATATTAGTAATAATAACAGCCAACATCTACTGAGTACTCCTCTGTGACCCGACACTGTGCTAAGTGCTTATGCTTATTAGCTCATTTAATGCTCACAACCACCCCATTGCATTTAAGTACTGTTGCTATTCCCATGTCACAGCTGAGGAATCAAGATCAGAGAGGTGAAGCAACTTGTCTAAGGTCACAAAACCAACAGTGAGTGAAGCTGGGATTCGAACCCAGGCAGTCCAGCTGTCGGACCCACACTCTTAGCCAGCATTCTACACTGTTCTTTTGTTGCTTGATTTCTGTTGGGTCATAACTAATTTCGTTCTCCAGCTGGTGCATCTTTTTGCATTTGCTAGGTGGGTCTCCATACCCAGAGTCACTGGCTGGGAGCAGAACAGGAAGCCTGGGGGGCCATGCAGTGTCAGGACAGAAGGACCCTGTAGCCTCCTCATCTAAAAAGGGGAATGGCTCAGCTACATACACCATGCCCAAGCCTTGATTTTCCCCAAGTCCTCTGGTTCTTACCAGATCATTTTTATTTTTTTGGTTAGGATTGGGGTTGGTGAGAATGACAGGACCATTCGATACCTTGACTCCTCCCGACCTGGCCCAGTCCACCTGCCTTATCTGCAAGCTCTTCTCCCTGCCACACGCTCAAGTTCCAGCCACACCAGACTACCTGCCTTCCTGCATTTCCTGAACACATCCCACAGACACAGATGTCTATGCTTTTGCCCATGCTGTTCCTCTTGCCTCCCTTTTCCACCTTGCAGACTCCTATTCATCCATTAGAGCCCAGCTCAGATGACCTCTTGTTCTTTCAGCATTCAACAAACATTTGGAGCACACCTGCTCTGTGCCAGATACTGTTCTAGGTACTGCTGATACCTTGCCAAGCTCTGCTGTCATGAGAGGGAGAGAAATACTAATTAACCACACAAGCCCATAAGTAGCTAAAATCGGACATAAGGAAGGGTTGGGAAGGAGAGGAGTGCCATTCTATGAGCACAGTTAGATGTCTAACCTAGGCTGGGGGTTAGGCAAGGCTTCATGTGAAAGTGACCCTGAAACCGGCAATACCATTTAACCCAGCAATCCCCTTACTGGGTATATACCCAAAGGAATATAAATCATTCTATTATAAAGATACATGCATGCATGTTTATTGCAGCACTGTTCACAATAGCAAACACATGGAATCAACTCAAATGCCCATCAATGATAGACTGGATAAAGAAAATGTGGTATATATACCATGGAATACTATGCAGCCATGAAAAGGAATGAGATCATGATCTTTGCAGGGATATAGATGAAGCTGGAAGCCATCATCCTCAGCAAACTAACACAAGAACAGAAAACCAAACATTGCATGTTATCATTCATAAGTGGGAGCTGAACAATGAGAACACATGGATACAGGGAGGGGAACAACACACACTGGTGCCTGTTGGGGGTGCAGGGGGAAGGAGAGCATCAGGATAAATAGCTAATGCATGTGGGGCTTAATACCTAAGTGATGGGTTTATTGTGCGGCAAACTACCACGGCACACGTTTACCTACGTAACAAACCTGCACGTCCTGCACATGTATCCCAGAACTTAAACTTAAAAAAAAAAAAAGTGACCCTCAAGCTGGGGCTTGAAGGATGGAGAGTTAAAAGGGCAAGAAGGCCAGAGGCAGGGGCCGCTTTCCTGGCTGAGGGATCTGCAGGCCCTCTCACGGGAAAGAACGTGGTGTTTCTGAAGCAGCTGGAAGAGGGTTGGTGGGCTGGTGGGTAGAGGCAGATGGAAGTGGCAGCAGCTGGGTCCACACATCCCAGCTGGCAGCCAATTGTGTGCATCTCTTCCCAATTCCATGTTTAGTGACTTCACCTTGGTAGCTTGAAATTGACCATCCTGGAGTATTTACCTCACAGAAATCCAGCCAATGCTACAAACCAGGGGCATGAGCTGGGGTTGGGACATCCCCCAGGGCTGCCTTTTCTCTCTCCATTAGGATTCAGGCCTCTACTACAGTATCTGCCACACCAGACTATAGCTAATAATTTGGACTACGGACTATGAGCCATATCTCGCTGTTTCTTTTTCTTTCTTTTTTTCTTTTTTTTTTTGAGACAGAGTCTCGCTCTGTCACCAGGCTGGAGTACACAGTGGAGCGATCTCGGCTCACTGCATCCTCTGCCTGCTGGGTTCAAGTGCATCTCCTGCCTCAGCCTCCCAAGTAGCTGGGATTACAGGTGTGCACCACCATGCCCAGCTAATTTTTTGTATTTTTTTTAGTAGAGACAGGGGTTCACCATGTTGGCCAGGATGGTCTCCATCCTGACCTTGTGAACCGCTCACCTCGACCTCCCAAAGTGCTGGAATTACAGGAATGAGCCACCGCGCCTGGCCTCATATCTCACTGTTTCTGTTTGCCCAAAGGCCTAATGCTCACAGTAGGGGGTTGAGTAAATGCTTGCTAGAAGAATAAATAATTTCTGAGATTCTTGACATCTCAAAGATTGAGTTTAGGTAGGTTGTCCTCAGGGCTCCCTCCTGCTGCCACTGGTTTCTCCAAATGCTCCTGATTCTGCAGGTGGAGCTAGTATAAGGTAGTAACAACAGGCTGCTTCTCTCCCCAGCAGAACACAGTTAGATTTGGCAGCTAGCTAGGTGGGAAAGTGGGTGCCACTTGTGGGAGCCAGCCTCTCGATAGGGGCAATGCGGGAAAGAGTAGGAAAATATATGTGGGACAGTTACTCCTGCTAAGCACTAGGCTAGAGGCTTCCACACCTGTTGTTTCATTTAGGCCTCACAACAGCTGAATGAGTTAGCTGGCGGCTTACGCACTTTGAAATGAGATAGTCCTGGGCCTGAATCCCGGCTGTGCCACCTAGTTTATATGACCTTGGGTGAATTACCTCTCTGAGTCTGTTTTTCCATCTGTAAAATGGAGATGAGAGCAGTAGCTCTAGGGTTGCCTAGAGGATTAAATGACTATGGAATGTGAAGGCTGAACATAGTACCTAGCACACAGCTTTCTCTTAATATTGGGTACTGGTCATCAGGCAACATGCCTGATTTTACAGGTTGGGGAAAGGCACAGACATGCTCCATAGGCTACTCTGCCTGCAAGGGGCACAGCTGGGATCTGAAATCTGGCTGCTTGACTCCAAAGCCCTTGCCTACCCCTACTGCCTCCCTAAGAGAGGAGCCAAAAGGAGTTCCTTGCAGCCTCAGTGGGCAGGGAGCTTGCTAAGCTGGTGTCTGTGAAAACACCTCAGCTGTGGAGAAAGCACAGCATGGCTGTGACTGCAATGATGCCATAGGCATCAGAGGAAAGAACAGAGCCCGAACAGCTGCCAGCGCTGAGCTGGAAAAGGGGAAAGCAGCCCAGAGGCACAGGCAGGGCCAGAGTTTTCAGGGTCGGGGGCTCCTCTGACAGGCGTGGCTGGAAGGGCCACTGGAGCCCAGACACTTGAAGGGCAGCGGGGATGGTTACCTGGTGGGCCAGAGACTCTGCACTTGCCCCAGGAGCCAGTCTCTGGTCTGGGCAGCCCTGCAGGTGGACCTCTGCAGCCCACATTCCCTGGCTTCCTCCCCCCTGGTTTCTGGGGAATTTGGTCAATGGGCGGCACTGGCAGGGGACCCGAGGGTGGGAAGGAGGGGATGGGGTATGTATCTGCTCGCTGCTTCCCTGCTCTGCCTTGATTTTGCCTGTGGCTGTGTCACTTTGACTGCTGCTCCTGTCAGGCACCCCAGCTCAAAACCAGGCTCCCATTCCTCCCGCGGGGGCGGCAGGTCTACAGTGGTGACGGCTTCCCACTTTGTTCATCCCTGTGTGCCTCGACTCCCATGCTGGTTCCTGTTGTGTAAATTTCTTCACAAACCCCAGCTGAATGTGCTTTGCCTCCGGGGCCTTCACTGAGACACCCCTAGCTGTGACCAGACAGGACACCTCTAACACAGGACTCAATCGAATGATTCTGAGGCCTAATAGTGCTGGGATGTTGTGCGTGTGAGTGCGTGTGTGTGTGAGTGTGCGTGCGCTCCCTTGTGGCATTACCAGCAAGAGATAAAGAATGAGTAAGTACAAACGTCAATTACCATAATAAATCATTTGTCAGATGCGCTTCTGCAGGGCAGGGCTGGAGCTCCATTCCAACGTGATTGTGATAGGTCTATAAATAATAGTGCATGCTTCAGCAGCCCAAATTTCCACAGCCCTTCCTCAGACACCCACACATGTTGATTCAGACTTTTAGGGCTTGAAGGAGCCTAAAAGATCATCATCTTTAACCAGCCCATTTTACAGAGGAGGAAACTGAGGCCCACAGAGGCAATGAGACGTGCTTAACATCACATCCAGGATTAACAGCAAGGCCTGAACTGTAGCCCACATCCTTCTGCTTTACTTCTGCTTCATCCTGACCATCCTTGGCTTGCCCCAGCATAACATATATATATTTCTTTTGTATAAGCATTTTTCGTTATTTGGATTCAAATTTATCATCACTATATTAAAACTTGCTTGATTCTAGGAACTGGTCTTGTTCATCTCTGTATTCGCCACAAAGCCCAGCATGTGATATAATCTGGAAGTTGAAAGAGACCTTCAAAGTTCTCCCTACATTATCTACAAAGGGTTTCCCTGCCGATGCCTGAATACATTCAGTGCAAGGAAACTCACTACCTGTAGGAGCAGCCCAAATTTAGCTTTGGATAGCTCTAACTGTTAGAAGTACTTCCCCATGCTGAGCTGACATTTGCAGTAGTCAGCAGTCAATAAACGTTTGCTGAATGGAGAAGGGTTTTTTTATCACGATGTACAAATCCCTTGGAAGCTCTCAGACATCTGTTTAGAAATGATCCATCCTCTCATCGAGTGGTGGAAATTCCTTCTTAAAGCAGGGACACGTAACTGTTACAGCAGCAGGAAAAACAGCAACAAACTTGCCGGAGCCGGGTTTGACTTGCAAGGGAAAACTTGGGCCTGGAATTTGGGTTTCTAAGTGAAAGTGGTGGTGTTCTCAGCAAAGCTTTGCCTGGTGGGAAGTAATTTTGCCAGCTGAAATACACTTTTACAGTTGATTTTATACTGATAGGAAAATATCTCCTGGCAGACTCTTTGCTTCAGGGTGGGGCAACATCCTTAGAACAGGCTGGAACTCTTCTCCTTAGAGAAGGGCCCAAAGCCATACTTATTTATTCATATTCCAGGCACCAAATCAACCTCAAAGGCAGGCATTAAAAAAAACGCTTCTTGTTGATCTTTAAAAATGCATTACTATTAATTTATCTTTAATTAATAAGGTAGGGAAAGATCAATGGACCTGGAGCCAGAAGATGTACCTGAGAGCCAGTTTACTCGCTCTCTGCTCCTGAGAGGGATCTTTTTGGCCTCAGTTTCCTCATCTGTAGAATGGGCGTTACCATACTGGTCCTACTTGTGGTTGCAAGCACAGGTTCTGGAGCCAGACTGCTAGGGTTTGAATTCTGGCTCCAGCAGTAGGAGCTGTGTGGCCTTGGACAGGTAGATGAAACCCCTGAGCTCAGGTATCCAGTTCTAAAATGTTCTCTTGAGTTGTTATATCTTTTTTTATTTTTTTGACAGTCTCACTCTGTCACCCAGGCTGGAGTGCAGTGGTGAGATCTCAGCTCACTACAACCTCCGTCTCTGGGTTCAAGCAATTCTCCTGCCTCAGCCTCCTGAGTAACTGGGATTACAGGTGCGTGCCACCACGCCTGGCTGATTTTTAAAAAAATTTTTAATAGAGACAGGGTTTCATTATGTTGGCCAGGACAGTCTTGAACTCCTGAACTCGTGATCTGCCCGCCTTGGCCTCCCAAAGTGCTGGGATTATTACAGGTGTGAGCCACCACACCTGGCTCTAAAATGTTCTCTCTTCAGGGTCAACAAGATAATCACACAGAGAACCTGCTAATTCTCTGGCTCACTGGTAAGTGTTCAATGAGTGTTAGCTAATATTTTCTATGAATAATACTGGTTGCTGTGAGAATAGGGTAGACATGAACATGATAAAGGGCTATCTAAATCCAAGATCACTCTAATTGCATCACTTCCACTGAAACCTAAAAATGATGAAGAAAATGGATTATGGAGAATTCAAGCAAGTACACTTCCCATGGAAGAGGGCCTTCAAGTGTTTCTGTGGAAATGACGGTGCTGGCTGCTTTTAACGCATATTCTATGGCTTTTGGAAAGAGAAAAATCCAGATTGTAGAGAGAATGATCAAAGCCAAGGGTGCACTTCGATTCTGTCTCTGTCAATTGGCCTAAGATCTTGCTGATCCACACGTTTCTGCCTGGAAGCAGGACAGGCGCCAAATCTCCGAGCTTCATGAAAGCTGCTGTGGGTACATTTCCAACATAAAACGATCACTAGAAACACCTACCGCACCAGGAACATCTAGCAGCTGAACAAATGTTTTTTTGTCCCAGACACCAAAAGAGGAAATCCAAAACTGCGTTGCCTTTTAGTAGCAAAGCTGTCTTAGGAACTCTCAGAGGAGAAACAAGAAATCAGGCATTTTGAAATGCAGTTTCGATTCTCTCCCGTCAATCACACCAGCCATCACTACCAGGTATATCTCTTAGAGCTATTTTTTTTTCCCCTTTTTTGCAGGCCATGTGATGGCGCAAGGCATGCTGGAAGCAATGGATATAGATCAAATCCCTGGGTTTGAGTCCTGATGTGCCTCTTAATTAGGCTGTATAATCTCAGGCAAGTTTTGAAATCTTTCTGAGCCTACCTTGGGGGTGGGGGAAGATGGTGAGCTGTGATCTGTCAAAAATAGGTGTGAAAGGGCTTTGCAAACTTAACTCTAGGGCTCTTAATCTGAGGTGCAGGGATAGGCTTTCATTTATTATTTATTTTTTAGAATTTTTAATCTTATTTTTGTAGAGAAGGAGTCTTGCTATTGCTGCCCAGGCTGGTCTCAAACTCCTGGCTTCAAGGGATCCTCCCGCCTCAGCCTCCCAAAGTGCTGGGATTACAGGCAGGAGCTTCCACACCTGGCTACGGGATAGGCTTTTAGAGGGCCTCAAAGTCTTGGAATTTTATGCTGCATAAATATAAATGCATAGAATAAGAACTGGAAAGAAACTCATTAAACCGTCCCAGATGTTAATTCCCTGCAAAGGGTGCAGGCCTGGGGGAATGAAGGGGACTTCCCATGTCATTACTTTGTATATATCAGTATTGGTTGGATTTATTACTCTGAGAATGTATTTGTATCTTATTTGTAGAAATGAAATAACCTGGCTAGGCGTGGTAGCTCACGCGTATAATCCCAGCACTTTGGGAGACCAAGGTGGGTGGATTACTTGAAGTTAGGAGTTCGAGACCAGCCTGGCCAACATGTTGAAATCCCGTCTCTACTAAAAATACAAAAATTAGCTGGGCGTGGTGGCGGGCACCTGTAATCCCAGCTACTGGGGAGGCTGAGGCAGGGGAATTGCATCAACCCGGGAGGTAGAGGTTGCAGTGAGCCGAGACTACTGCACTACTGCATTCCAGCCTGGGCAACAGAGCAAAACTCTGTCTCAAAAAAAAAAAAAAAAAAAAAGAAATAAAATATCCTTTAAGAAGAGAACTTGCCTGTGAATTTTCTCATGTCTATGAATACATGCATCTTCCTTGGACAATGGTCCCCATTTTCATCGGGGGCATAAAGCAGTTAGAGACCTCTGAAAGTTAAGGAAGGGCTGTAATTTCACAGATGAAAGTTGTCAGGACTTGTCCTGGACATCTCTGCAGGTGCCCCTCAGGTCCGTGCTCCTCCCTTCCTCGCCCTGCCCTGGGCTGCCTCAGTGGGCCACTTTGCCTCAGCTCTGGCTTCTGGTGGGGCTCTCCTGAGTCACAGCCACATGTCAGGCTGTCCTCTGCTCACAGCTCTGTCCGTCTCCATGTTCCTGTCACTGCTTCCTCTCCTCGCCTCTTCAGACCTGGGTGGTAACCAGTGTCCTGTTTCTGGCCCTGGCACTGCACTATCTGTGTGGTTTCCGTACACCCTGCCCACACCTTTGAAACAGTCCCTTTATTAAACTCTCCTCAGATTACCCAGTTAGAATGTGCCATCTGTTTCCTGCGGGGACCCTGACGGATACAGTATTTTTAATCTGTCATTGCACCATCAATGCCTATACACTCACGCACACACACACACACTGACACACTCACTCTCAGCCTCACACATTCACCCACTAACAAATACACCCACTCTCACGAACTCGCATGTGCACACACACTCACACACACACACAACATCACCTGTTCCCAGGACTTTGGGAAATATAGTACTCTTGTTAAAATCCTGCTCCTGTGAATTGAGGGTCTACCTGGGCCTCAGAAACCTTGCCAACAGAGAAGAGAGCCTCCTGAAGAACTGCAGGGCTCTGCTGAGGGCGCCTTTCACTTGTGCAGCACTGAACTGGTGACTCTCAACAGTTCTTATTTTTAGAAATTGCTGCATTTTGTCTGCTAGAAATCCAGATGACCCCACCAACTGCAATCTCAGTGTGCTTAGAAAGAGGCTTCATAAAAATACTAAGTTAAAGCGGCCCACGGAGTCTTTAGCCACGCAGAACAGACCAAGGAGTAAAAATAAAATGTCTCCACTAAATTTCAGGTAGGGGAAGAACAGAATCTTTAGGGGATCACAAAAATAAAGATTAACTTGCATGGACAGCACCAAGTACACTGGAGAGGATTTAAAGGGAGGCACATTTTGGCTCAATTTGAGGTCACCTTTCCAATGAATGGAGCAGGCCACTTTGCTTGCCACGGAGATCAGATATCCCCCAGTGTCAGGGTGATTACATGGGCCTGTAATCTCTTACATGGGTCCGTAAACTCCTTTAAATCACAAGGGTCACATTAGGAGTTGAGATCCAATGACCTTTGAGGCTACTCTAAGATGCCCCCTTTGGAACTTCCGCTTCCTCATCTGTAAAGTGACCGCCTTACTCTGGGTGACTGCAAGGGGAACTTCAACAGCTATAAATTCTCAAAATCTCTGATTCTGCAGGCAAAGAGCTACAAAAAATAGGGGCGGGGGGGGGGGAGTGACATTTGGAAGGGAGCTGCGAATGTAATTAGTGATGGAAATGTGAATCTCTAGCTGCCTCTGGATGTCTTAGTTAGCAGATTCAAACACGGCCGAATCTTGGCTGAATAATTCCATTCCCTCCAGAGCAAATGGCAACAGTAGGGGTGTTGAAAAATCTGCCTCTGTTGGAGGGAGCAGCAAATGAATTGTTTGGGAGACAAAAGGCCGGGCTATGAATTGTGCTGCCAGCATCTGCTAGTCTTGAAATCTCCTTGGAACTTAGATTCTTTGTTTTTAAGCTGGGATGAAAGTGTCAACCACATAGGCATGCTTTTTTTTCTGAGGATTAACAAGTACAAATGTCCCTAGTCTTCCTGGCTGGGGTGGAGATCATCCAAAGAAATATGTTTTGAATCCAGGCTCCCCCTCTTGCTTGCTTTGTGACTTTGAGAATGTTATTTAACAGTGAGACTCCATCTTCTCCTTTATAAAGTTGGGGGGGATATTGTAGCATCTACTTCGTAGGGCATGCAAGGAATGCTGAGCTGAAGCACACAAAACGTTTTGCACACAGGGTGACTAGTATGGTTTCTACTGATAAGTAGCTTGGTGAGATTCTAAAAAACAGCGTACATCTTACCATATCATAGAAAGTGCACTGTGACCCGCACTGAACCTGGCTTTGTGACCCTTTCTCTCTTATTCAAGCATTCAGAAAGACAGCTTTGCAGCCTCCCACACGTGGGCTCTTAGCTTAGCCTTGGGTGCCAGTAGTTTGAGGTTGCATGAGGGTGGTGGGTGGGCACCCAGGTGAAGGGATGGGAAGGGGCTTGGGCAGAGCCCTCTGCTTGCCACTGATATCAGATGTCCCCCAATGTCAGGGCTATTACTTGGGCCCTCTGGAAACTTTTAAATCACAAGGGTCAAACTAAGCAGCTTTGCCTCCTTCTTCTCTGGCCTGGGGGACTTTGTTGGGGGAGTCAATTATCTGAGATCCTAAGAGGGGGTGGTTTCTCTTAGGCCTCTGGGAATTATGCAGGCAGGGTCTTTGGGGATATTCCGTCCTGCCTCCCCAAATACCCTCCAAGCTTATTTAGGACCAGGTCTATCCCGCATCCTTCTGTGCTCAGGTGGGGAGGGAGGGAAGGCAGCCACAGTGCAATAAATTGGAGATAAAGAACTCCAGACCAATTCTTATTTAGATGAGAGATGCTGTTCTAAAACTGTACGATATCAGTAGTTGGGGGTCTTTATAATATTCACATTCTTCATAAGCTTTTCTGCCAAATGAGTTATTTGGAGGATTAAAGAATTCCCAATGGCCAAAGGGAAGTTATGAAGATGAAAACTTGCATTTTAGATCATGAGAATTTTATTAATATGTTACTATTTTAAGCCACCATACAAATATCCTTTGTATTGATCTCAGTGTGATATACCAACTGAATAAATATGCCAATTTCTGCCAGTGAGCCGCACAGTATTTTTAACCTACTTTAAAATATGTGTTGTTTCCTATGGTTTTTTTAAAGTTTGGAGTTGATGATGAAAGTACTTCAATTTTTAAAGATTCTTCTTTCCAGAGAATATACATGTATATTTTAAACTATTAAATATAAAGCTTAATGGGGTGGGTGATTATTTTTTTAAGTTATAAATTAACAATTTTAAAAGGTGAAATGATTATTTTTGGCTTACGTATGCCATTGTATCAGAGAATACCACCTCAACAAAGGAAATTTGAGTAACATTTATTTGAATATATTCAAATATACATTCTTATGTTCAAATGTAAATGAAATATATTCTTATGTATTTTTTTCCCCTGGTCACTCCCTATTTGTTCTATTTAAGCTGTTTAGTGTATAATGCTGTGTACTTAAACAGGGCCCTGCCAGAAACTTCAGGATCTTCAAAAACTGGGGGAAATCCACAATGTATACATGTATCAAAACATCACATTGTATCCCATATATATGCAATTGTTATTTATCAATTAAAAAGAAAACAAAACCTTTAATAAGTAGTGTTGACCTTGTAGTCTACACTTTGAGAACTGCTAACCTAAGATAACTGAGTACGGTCCTCAGCACGTAGTAGACAATTGGTATGTGTTTAATGGATGAATCAATAAATGAATGATTCAGAAAAAAAAGAAGAGAGAAACAAAACAGAAAGCTGAAGCTTTTCACACATTGGTTAATTGAATCCTGAAGATCACAGTGGTACTATCACAATTTCATAGGTGGGGAAATTAGGATGGGAGAAGACAAATGGCTTGTTCAAGCGCTTTCAGTTGCTTCCAAACAGTTTGTCCTCTAATTCCTCTCTCCCTTTCTTCAAAATGGAAAAACAAAACAAAACAAAACCCGAAAAGATCCCTGAAGTCTCAAAGCCATTGGGATGATATTTAAAGACTGGTCTGAGTTCTTGTTTGGAGAGGCATTGAAGAACCAGAGACAATTATAATTGCTACTGGTGACACACGTTTGCGGAGAGAAATGCAAAGTTGCCATCTTGTAAAATGTAAAATGATACCAGTTATCACCCTTACTTTGTAGAGCGAGAAACCTTAGAAAATTCAGGCCCAGGGCAGGGAATGGGCCTATCTGGAAGTCACTTAAGCACGTCACAGTTTCAGGCCAGTGTTAGGAACAGGCAAAGAATCGCAGAACCCTAGCATTTCAAGAGACCTTGGCCCTCTCTTCTAACTACTGACCTGCAGCAGGAATCCTTGGCGTGGTCCCCTTCAGTGATAAGGAGACACTGTCTCCCAGGACAACCAGCTAGATCCTAATGGCTGTTAGAGAGTCCTTCCTGATTTGAAATGAAACCTGAGGTGGGACTTGGGGCCAGGGGTGGGTGGATGGATGTGGGATCTTGTCTCCCCAATAAACATTGCCGTTAACAGCCCGCACCTTCTTCTCCTGGTGTCCCAGGAGACAGGGAATTACCTGAAGTTGTAGCCTGGGGACACGCTGCTTTTCTCAGAAACGCTGTCGAGCCGGGTGAAGGAGTATTTGGGGATGCACTGGTCCCAGGCCTTGTCCAAGTCGCACACCCAGCCGATCTTAATGCCCAGAACTCCCCCCTGAAGAAACGGGCCGGGTATGAGCTTTCCCCTCGCCCTCTGACTCCCTGCTCTGGGCCAGGGTGGGGGTGGGGTGGAGGTGGTGACAAATGATTTCCTCCCATCCTCCAGGTGGGAGACGGAGGCAGGGAGAACGGAAAGTGACATGTCATATACTGCTCAGTAAAGAAGTGCTGTGGTGGCCGGGTGCGGTGATTCACGCCTGTAATCCCAGCACTTTGGGAGGCCGAGGCGGGCGGATCACGAGGTCAGGAGATCGAGACCATCCTGGCTAACACGGCGAACCCCTGACTCTACTAAAAATACCAAAAATTAGCCGGGCTTGGTCCCAGCTACTCCGGAAGCTGAGGCAGGAGAATGGCGTGAACCTGGGAGGCGGAGGTTGCAGTGAGCCGAAATCGCGCCATGCACTCTAGCCTGGGAGACAGATCGAGACTCTGTCTCAAAAAAAAAAAAAAAAAAAAAGGTTGTGGCTCGGATGCGAACATTGGAGCCTCTGAGTCCTAATTTTGGGATCTTCAGTGCTTTAGCTACAACACAGGAGAAAGTGGCCACAGGTCTACTTTCCCGTCGTTTGGGGCTTATTACAGATCTAAGGCCTTTGCCTGAGGTGAAGTGTGAAGATGGGAGTGGGAAACTGAGGCTTGAGGAAGGTGGACTCGGCGGAGGCGGGGGGCAAGATCGCTCTGCGCGGGGAAAGCAGAAAGGATTCAGGCACAAAGCCAGTGGCGGCCTGGGATGCTTCCACCAGGTGGCGCTGTCTCGCGGCGGCTCCTGGCCAGTGCCGGCCAAAGGGCCCTGAAATCTGGGAAAGGGCTGAAGGTGGGGAGTTTGGGGTCGCGGAAGAATGGCTAGGTCCTCACCGTGCGCGCCAGTTTGGCAAAATCCTGCCCCGCAAACTTGACCACGTCCCCTACCCGCAAGATGGGGCAGAAAGGGTCCTTGTCCGGGTGGAAGCGGCAGGTCTTCATGTCCCTGGCTGTCAGGTTGGGAAGGAGGTTTCCCCTGGGGAGGAGCAGAGAGAGAGGTCAGCCCAGGGTTCATGGGAAGATCGTCTTGTGCAATCTCTCCCCGCCTTCCGGAGCCCAGGCCTAGGGGGGATCTGAGCCCTCAGCCTTCATCTGGACCTCGCCATCTCCCTCCCCTCTTTCCTTTCCCTGCATCTTTCTGGTGCCCCATCACCGCCTTCCCTGTGTATCAGGGTGATGTATGTCGGTGACTAATCTCCAGCTGCCAGGCTGGGAGTTCGAGAGGGCAGGAATCATTCTTGGTTACTCTGTGCATTTTTTTTTTTTTGAGACGGAGTCTCGGTCTGTTGCCCAGGCTGGAGCGCGGTGGCATGATCTCGGCTCACTGCAACCTCTGCCTCCCAGGTTCAAGCGATTCTCCTGCCTCAGTCTCCCAAGTAGCTGGGATTACAGGGGTGTGCCACGGCGCCTGGCTAATTTTTTTTTTTTTTTTTTGGTACAGACAGGGTTTCACCATGTTGGCCAGGCTGGTCGCAAACTCCTGACCTCGTGATCCACCCTTCTCGGCCTCCCAAAGTGCAGGGATTACAGGCATTTGTCACTGCGCCTGGCCTAGTGCACTTCTGTAGTGACTGGCATTGCCCTCTGCACATGGCCAATGCCCACTGAGTAGCTGTGGAATGAGTAAGTCAATGAAGGGGGGCTGAACTGACTAAGAGAAAAGGGATTTCCACACATGGGCTAGATGTGGGGAAAAAGAATGGGACGAGACCGAAAGGGTTTCAACCGTTGAAGGCATCCTTGACCCACGACTAGGCCTAAGTTGTCCCTCTCCTACCCCAAGCAAAACTCCCGTTTGGGTCTGAGCCCCAAGGTGGGGAGGCTGGCAGAGAAACTGACCCCAAAGTTCACCTGATCCTCAGTGGCCAAGGCCCGCTGGGAGATTGGGAATGGTAGGCCCAGGGAGATGGGTCAGTGGAGCGAAAGTGGGAAGAACTGTGGCGAGGGGGCATCTCCACTTCCCTGAAAACAGGTTGGCAGGGCCGGGGGTGCCTGCATCTTGGCTTTAGGGAAGGAGTGGGGACTCACTTCTCAAAGTTGAAGAGGGGGAAACGGATGCTGTTCTTGATGAAAATAGTGAAGTTCTCAGCTTCCATCATGATGGGCCTGTGGGTGAGCACAGGAGGCCTTAGCTTTCCAGGAAGAAGAGGGGGAAATGAAGGCTTTCACCTGAGGGCGACCTTTCCTGGTGGATGCCTCCAAAGGGAGACCTCTTATAGATAAAGGGCACTTTGAGAGTGGGCTATAGGAAGGGGCTGTCTGTGCCTGAGTGTCACAGCAGGAGGAGGAGGCAGGTGGGTGGGCTGGGGAAGATGATACCCTGGGCCTGAGGCCACCCCCCACACCAGGAAGGGACAACACTGGAGAAAGCCACAGACCCTCCTCAAGCTCAGAGACGCACGGCTCCCACATGGGCAAAGGGGAGCTGAGGTGGGGGCCTGTCTCCTCCTGTCTGGCTTGGAGCCTTACGTTTCCACTGTGTCCACCTCCGTGGGGCACCAGCCCTGGATCTCACAGGTCCGGAGCACAGAGCTGTAGTTCACGCAGCGGCCAGTGAGGATCCCTAAAGTGAGAGCCACAGCTGCTGGGTGGCTGCCTGCCCTTTGCTCCTCTCCCTTTCCTTCCTCCCTCTTCCCTTCCCCCCATCAGGGACCCTGGCAAGTGGGGGAAAAGAGCAGGCAGGGAAAAGGGAGCTGACTTCTCTCCTGCTGCTTCTCCTGAGCCCCAGACCCAGCCAAAGGGAGGTGACAGCCTTCCTTTCATGTGCTCCGAGCCCCAGCAACCCTGAGGACACCTCTTCTTCTTGTGCTTCCTTCCTTGCCTCTGAGTCTGTGCTGCAGCTGTTCCTTCTGTCTGGAATGAACTTTTTGAAGCCCCCTCTGTCCTGCCAAATCCTATTCATCTTCAGGGACCATCCCAAATGTCACCACCTCAAGGAAGCCTTTGGGTACTGCTCACCCAGAAGCAATCTCTCCCCCTCCCCCAGGCTCAACAGTCTTTTGTACCTCCTGGACAGCACAGGCCACTTCAAGCACCCCTGTCTGTCACCACCATCCTAGACTGGGAACTCCTCTGGGGGCAGGGGCCATGCCACCTTTGTAGCACCCACTGGGTGTGGCACCCAGGGAGCAACTGTAAATGCCAGCAGAATGACATGGAACAGGCTGGTTCCCACTCCCTCTCCAACGACGGGCTCTCCCCCATGGGTCCCACTAACACTTGGGATTGTGGGGTGGGTAAGGGGCTGGACTCACCCCCACCTGGCAAGCGCTCAGGCCCGCACTGGCTGTCTGATACACAGCGGTATTTCTCCTCACTCTGTGGGCAGACGGGTCACAGGTTGGTGAAGGACACTGTCCTGGCCTGGTGAGCTCCGCGACTCCCTCGACCTCCCCATAACCAACAGCCTCAGGAGGGTGGAGGTCCCAGGTCCCAGTTGCAAGGTCAGACTTGGGGCCTCTGCTCATACCTCCCTGCCACTGCTCCCACTCCCACCAACATTTTCAGCCTTGACCTGCTTCACCCAACCTCTGTCCTCCCCTCACCTCTGGGCAGAATCCTTGCATCTGATTTTCAGTAACAATCATCTTGGTGATGATGACAAAGACCGAGGTGCCCTTGGGAGGAGAAGAAGGGAGAGAAAAACATCCAACAGTCCCAATCAGTGAGACAGGGACTATAACTGATTATCCCCACTCTACAGATGAGGAAAGCAAGGCTTGTGTCTAGTGACTTGGCCAAGGTCACAGGGCTGGTGAGGGGCAGAGCTGGCTCTTTGCAGCCACCCACATGGCCCCCTTCTCCCATGTGTGTTGTCCTTGATTGCATTACAAGTTGTGGCAGAGCCTGGAGAGGAACCCAGCTTTCCTGATGCCCAGCACCGCAGGCCCAAGCTCTCACACAGCTCTCAGCTGCTGGGGGAGAGGTCCTCTGGATCAGTGACATCATGGATTCTAGTTTGGGAATCCCATTGGCACTCTTTGCTCGCTTTCTCCCTTCCAACCTGCCCAGTGTCTGGACATCCACATGCCTCTCTGGGTAGGGGTACCATACCTGAGGTGGCGTCACGTAATCAGACACATCCATGACTCTGTTGGCGTAGAGTCCGGAGCCCTTCACCTTGGTTACCACCGAGGACTCAATGGCTGTGTCCCGTACCTGGTAAGCCTTCTCGTGCAAGAAAACCCACCTGGGGCAGGAGAGCATAAATGAAGAGAAAGAGAGGAGTCCATAGACCCAGCAGACAGAAGCTGGGAGAGGTCACCTTCCTGCCAACACTTGGCCATGCCTGGCAGGGTGTGCGGATGGTTCCTTCCAGAGGCGTGAGACCTAGAGTGAGCCCTTGGTTGACTTAGAATAGCGTTTCTCCACCTTTTGTCCCATTACTGCCCCTCAGGTGCCTTTCTAGACATTTTCTCCCCTAGTGGTCCCCCCCTCCATGAAACTTTGATATCACAGATATCTGTTTATGTACTGTATGCAAATTTGTGCTTTATGCATAAAAAGAGTGAGAACCAATTTTCACCTCCTTGGGGGCCATATGGCCCCATTGAGAATGCATGGCTCAAAGTCATTCCATGCTGCTGATGGGGGCCACTTCTCTGGCAGGCACCCAGGAGACAGAAGGACAGAGGATCCCAGGCCTCTGCTCCCATGCATTCCAGCCTTGGCCCACGGCTGTACCCTAAGTGTCCAACACAAAGTAGCTCAGTAAACAAATCAATAAAGGTCCTTGGGAGCTCGGTGCTTGGCAGAATCTATCTGCCCAGGTGTCAGATGAGAACAGAGGAGGAAGCGGGGGACAGCGGCTGAGCTTTTACCTGGCAGGTAAAGGAGCTCGGTTGAAGGTGGGGGGGCTGGGGGAGGAGGGAGGGAAGAGTCTGATCTTATTCCCTGGATTGTGCTGCCACCCAGTGGTCATTTACCTGTACTGGCGCCTTCCTACAGCTTTAAGCCATAATGGGACCACGTGGATGAGGCCTTCCCTTTTTCCATCCCTATCTTCCTTCTCAGACTTTCCTGGCCTCGAGCAAAAGGGCCTGCAAATACCTGCTGGCAACTCGTGCCTCTGCTTTCCTATAAAGTGCCTGCCTTTCCATTTGAAATCGCCAATCACAGCCCTCAAGGCTGAAGTCCCCGCTCAGCCTCACTTAATCCCACACTTCCAGCCTTTGGCAAGATTGCCTTTATTCCTGATGGCACACTGGGAGGTAGATGCTGCCACCATTCCCATTCGACAGATGAGAAAACCTCATCAAATACGTTTAGAAAATGCCATGCAACCCTCCTCCCTCCCCGAGAAACATACGATGTAAACAAACAAATACATCTGTTACATTTTGTTAACCTCACTGTCTCCCAATCTTATTTGACCACAGAAGCCAGTCTTGGAGAAATACTGGTGACGTCTCATGGAACAGAGGAGCACACTTTTGGAAATGCTGGGTGAGGGCATTTTCTGCTTCTAACCAGGGTGGCACGAGGTTGGAAAACCACACCAGATGAAGGTGAGTGGAAGGAATTTGAGACTGTGTAGCCCAGAGAAGACAAAGCCGTAGGAGTTAGAGGCTGGGAAGCTGCAGAGCCAGGAGCTGGGCTGACCTGAGGATTCTATAAGGAGGTGGGCGAGGACTTCAATCCCAGAACCGCCTGCTGCGGAAAGTCACCACACGCGTGCCACACGTCTGGGAAGACTCCAGGACAGCATGTTGCTCACCTGGCAGGTGTGCTGAGAGGAGGCCCCTTCCTCAGGTGGAGGCTGGACTGAATGATCTCTGGGGTCACCTACTGTTGGAACATGCAAACAGCAGCAGCTCCCAGAACGTACCGGGGGTCCCAGCCACTTATAGTTTGGACACCACAATCCTATTTACTGCAAACCCCAGCGGATATTTGCAAGTGGCTCTTCGTTCGGTTTTCAGTGAGAGGGTTTGGTGTTATCCCCATCATGGGTCTTCCTTTGCTCACTGGAATCTTTTTTTCTTTTTATTCTAATTTAAGTTTAAATTTTTGATAAATAAATACTATTTATTATTATTATTTGAGACAGAGTGTCACTCTGTTACCCAGGCACTGGCGCCATCTCGGCTCACTGCAACCTCTGCCTCCCGGGCTCAAGTGATTCTCGTGCCTCAGCCTCCTGAGTAGCTGGGACTACAGGCATGCACAACCACGCCTGGCTAACTTTTTTGTTTTTAGTAGAGACGGGGTTTTCCCATGTTGGCCAGGCTGGTCTCAAACTCCTGGCCTCAAGTGATCTGCCTGCCTTGGCCTCCCAAAGTGCTGGGATTACAGGCGGGATCCACCATGCCCAGCCCTATTTATTATTGATAAGTAATAATTGTACGTATTCATGGGGCACAATGTGGGTGTTTTGATATGCCTATACCTTGTGGAATGATTATGTCATGCTAATGATCATATTTACTACCTCACATATTTATCATTTTTTCAGTAGTATTACTGGCTTGAATTCTGAATGATTTCTTGAGCAGGAGAGAAAGGGTGTAGTCAAAGCACCAGCATATGGCTTCAAACCCGTTACCTGCTTTCCTATTGCTCCTTTAGAGCAGGCAGGCGGCATCCTGATTAACGCACCACTTAGAGTGACTTGCGTGCTTGTAAAATGCTCTCATGCATACCGCCTTCTATGGGGCTTTGTGGTGCTGCTTTATCTCCCAGCACTTTTCTTTTCTTCTTTTTTTGGAAGGGGAGGGGTTTCATTCAGATTTCACAAGGAAGTATGCCTCACGTAGAAATCCCATCTGCCAAATTACGTCCTTGAAGAAGAGAAGGGAGCCTCCCTGTCACAGGAAACCCAAATGAGCATTATTAGCTCACAGCCTGGGGCCCTGCAGAGTGAAGGGAGTGAGGTCTGGGGCCTAGGCTCTCTGCTTCCAGCTAAGATGGCTGTTGGCTGTACATTCGCAGAGTGCAAACTGTGGTCTAAACACACCCTTCTGGAACCGAGCTTCAATGTGCCTAGCCACAGAATAGACATATTTCTCAGTGTCGACCTAAGGAAATGGTTTTCTGAGGCCCCTGCCCTGCGTCCTTAAAGTCCAGGAACATTTGGAGATGCAGAGTTCAGACTAGTATTATATAACCAATGCGGCACTTGCTAAGCCGAATCTTTCACTACATTCTTACTGAGACAGCTTCGTTATTACCTTCATGTCATGAATGAGGAAACTGAGGCACAGAGAGGGTGCTAACTTGCCCAGGATTGCAAAGCTGGTATGTCAGCTCTAACCAGACAACGTGCTCCAGACCACTCACAGCCTCTTCACTCGAAGGTCTCTAGCTGTGTCCCAGCTCAAAGCCAGGCCATGCTGGCCCCCTGAACCGGACCCTGTGCTTTTCCTACCAGCTCCTGCTCCATCACCAGTGAAAGCATCTCCTGGCTTAGGAAAGTCTCAGGAGGAAAGGGCCGAGGACTCCAAGGAACAATCAACCAATCTCCTACCTCCTCCTCCTCCTCCTTCAAGGCTCCTTCTTGTGCCCAGTGGGGTGGAGAGGCCACATTAGAATTCTCTCTCTGACTTAAATAACAAGTGGAAGAATTTCAATGGCCTCACAGGGCCTCGGGATGTCATCAAGGCAGCTAGAAAGAAGGGGATGCTTCATTTCCAGAACGGAGGGGCTGAGGCTGTCTCTGGAGGCCAGGGCTCAGGAGCTAGGGCAGGCCTGAGCCTTCGATTCTTGGCATTTACTCTGCTGCTCTGACTATTTTCTTCTCGCATTCATGGTTTATTATTTATAGAGCGGAAGGCGTGTGGCAGCTCCTTGGCAGGTGGGATGTGCAGGAGAGAGGCCAGAGCCGCGCCCCAGCACCCTCCCATCCGCCCCCAGGGAGCCAAGGAGGAGGCTGGGGAGTGGGTGTGAAGAGTGCACGCTGTGTGTGTGGGAGGAGGAGAGGGGTCTCTTAGGAAGGTGTGAGCTGGGCAGAGGGAAAGGGGGAGGGGTGATGGGGGGGTCTTTGTGAAGTAGTCGCAGTTGCCATCTATTACTGAGTCACCATCTCCGCAAGGCACTTGACATATGTTACCTCCCCTCCCTATAACTCCCAGGGAGGAGGTATTCCTAAATCCATTTTCCAGATATGGGGACTGAGACTTAGAGATGTAAAGTCACTCTTAGGAGGCCCTCTCCTAGTTGGTGTCAGAGCCAGGCTTCTAACCAAGTGCTCTACGTTCCATATTGGGGGAGAGGGCAGGCAGGAATGAGAGTCACTCCTCTCTCTGGACCAGGATGACTGGTCCAGATGGGGCATCCAGCCAGGCATGGTGACTCATGTTGTAATCCCTGCACTTTGGGAGGCCGAGGCAGGTGGATCACTTGAGGTCAGGAGTTCGAGACCAGCCTGGCCAACATGGTGAAACCCCATCTCTACTAAAAATACAAAAATTAGCCGGGCGTCGTGGCACAGGCCTGTAATCCCAGCTACCGGGGAGGCTGAGGCAGGAGAGTCGCTTCAACCCAGGAGGCGGAGGTTGCAGTGAGTCGAGATTGCACCACTGCACTCCGGCCTGAGGGACAGAGCAAGGCTCCGTCTCAAAAAAAAAAAAAAAAAAAAAAAAAAAAAGATGGGGCAGCCCAACAGTTCTTCCCACCATAACAGCTCTTTCCACCATATCTGTCACTTAATTGTGCTGACAAGGTGCCTCACAGTGATACCCTGGGCTGAGAGGATGGAGTGGAGAGCCAAGAAGGCAGGATTCTAGACCCTTCTCTTTAAACCAGAGCAGCTCCTCCCTTTCACCTGCTTTATGTATTGAACTCCCACCTAAGATCTGAAATGAGGCTGAATTTTATGAACCAAAGCATGGGGCTGTACAGATGGCAAGTTTGTGGACTGGGTCTTGTATGGGGGAGGAACAGGGCAGGTAGGGCAGGGCTGTGGTGGGGTCAGAGGCTCCAGCAGCCACCAGTGACCCTTCAGCACAATGGGGCATCAAAGGCCTGGGAAGTCCCTGGCCTCCTAGTTTGCAAGGAGGCAGCTTCCTCCAGGAAGGCCCTGGAAATCAACCTCAGGCCAAGCACAGGCTATTGCTTCCAGGGACTCAGATCCTAGGGATTTCCTTCAACTTCTCAGGTCCCCAAAGGATCCAGAACGGGGATGGGCTCTCGGGAAGTCCCACTCCACAGAGGTGAGTGGGGATTACCACGTGGACCCAGAAAAGATGTGAGAAACATCAGGTAAGTCCAGGCCTCTCTGTGTGCCCTGGAGTGGGTAAAGGAAAATAGTGATGAAATGGTGTCAACCACAGACAAGCAGCTGAGGCCAGGGGCGGGGGTGAGAGCGTATGTGAGATGACCAGGTGGTGTGTTGCTGAGAAGTTCTCAGAGAAATGATGGACTCATGTTAGGCAGAGTCTAGGTTGTTGACCTGGTTGGGATGATGGGGAAGAGATTGAAGTATCAGTGAAATATTAACACTATAGCCTTAAAAATCCCTTCAAATTCGATTGGGTCCAAGCCACTGTCACCTCTCTGCATAAACTGCCTCTTAGCAGGTTTTCCTGCACCCACTCCTACTCCTTCCACTTCCAGGGAATCAGCCCAGGTGCTCTTCCCAACTCAGATCTCATCGTGTCTGTCTCTCTCTCTCTCAAACTCACGTGCACACACACACAAAAGTGCACACAGACACACGGGTTAAAATGCTTCCATGGCTTCTGTTTATTCATCTCCTGTAAAAACAAAAGCTCTCTAAGGGTGTCTGAGGTCCGGCCTCTGTGTGTGTTCCCATCCACCGTACACCACCCTCACTCATCTCTGCTCCCTCGGCTCCAGCCACAATGACCTTCTTTTCTTTCCCCTGTTTGCCAGCCTCCTTCCCTTTGCAGAGGTGGGTTTCTCTGCCCTGAACTCTCTTCCTTCCCTCTTTCACCTGGGCTGCTCTTACTCATCCTTCGGGTCTTGGCTAAAATGTCACATCTCCAGAAAACCTTCCCTTACTCCCTGACTGGGCCAAACACCTTCACAGAAGCGGCTCTCTATAACTGTGCACCTCTAAGCCACAGTTGACATTTCACGTTTGTGGAGATCATCAGATGAATGCCATCTCTTGCCTTCCGCTGTAAGCCCCAGGAGGGCGAGGACCCTGTCTGCTTTTGCCCACCATTCCGTCCTCAATCCACAGTGCCTGGCATGCAGAGATGCTGGTACATTTTTGCTAAATTAATGACGGTGGACTCATGAAGTCACAACGTGCATGGGTTCACATACACGGAGATGGGACTCAGGTCAGGGGGCTGGGCTGCAGAGGGCGCTGATGTAACTGGAAGGCAGTGTCCCGTGGGGAGCTGTCAGGCTAGGAGATGGATGGGGTTGGAAATTAAGATGCTAAAGAGCTTCGCACACTCGCTCCAGCAGGCTGGGCTCCAGCCCTGAGGACTGGAGGATTCTATCTGATCATGATGAGACAGAGACAAGGGCAGTGGGGGCTGAGCGGGCTGGTCTAGGAGCCCACTCTCTCCCCCATCAATCTCTGCCTGGAGCCAGTGGAGCCAGGCCAGAAGGGGAATGTGCTGAGCCAGATTTTGCACTCACCTGGGCCAACATACCATCTTGTGGCTATAAACAACCACAGCATTGAATATACACGTGAACACAGAACATTTAGGAACCAACTTTGAGCCAAGCTCTAGAGATGCAGACAGCGAACATTTGCAAACCTCGTATCTCACAAAACCTCAACATTGGAAGGGAA
Source organism: Homo sapiens (assembly GCF_000001405.40). Lineage (NCBI taxonomy): Eukaryota > Metazoa > Chordata > Mammalia > Primates > Hominidae > Homo > Homo sapiens. The sequence goes on along the minus strand of NC_000011.10, from coordinate 57,340,018 downwards.
CTTTGTGGCCATTTAATGCTATTCCAAAGCTTGAATCCCTTTTCTAAAATCTCCCAAAGGAGCACTGGATGGTACAGCCTTTTTACAATACCTGCCCACTGAAGCCTACCAGGGCTTGCCCAGCACACAGAGCAAAAAATCACCTAAAAAGTCACATCTAGCCACCTTTCCCTCCACACCCTCGCATAAACTTCAACATTTCAAGCAAGCAGGTTTGCATGCAGCTTCAGCCCACAGGCACACAGGATTCTCCTTTGACCTGCTTGAACTAACTCCTGACAGTCAGTGGATTGCTGCCTCAAATGCAAAGACCCATTGTCTGAAAGAACAGCATAAGATTGGAGACCCGCATGCCAGGAAAGAAAACCTTCGAGGTTTCTGCCTGTATTTCCTGGTGCCCACCAGTGTGTGGAAATGACCACAAGAAGGACAGGACCTGCATTCTTCCCCAGCCATTGTCTGCTCCACAGCCCTTTGTGTGCGTGTGTGTGTGTGTGTGTAGGTGTGTGCTTGCAGGCGGTGGGGGCTGAGGGGATGGTTGCACCTTCCTGGCTCTTAAGCAACTCCTAGGATGGGTTACATGGCACAGGGTCAGGGAGAGGTAGGGAACTTACACTTTTTGACAAAGGGGAGCATTTCTGGATTCCTGGGGAGGGAGCGGCACTATGTTCAGAAAAGCTCCTTTTCTCCTTGGCCACTCTTCCCTTGGGCCTCTGTTTGTTTCCTCATCAAGGGGCAGTTCCCTCTTTGTCCTCCCCTTCAAGAGCAGAGGGCTTCTCCCTTGCCCTTCTCTCTCTCACCATCTCACCCATCCATGCCAGAAGGAAATTCCTCATTCTAAAACAGATCCAGTTCTCTCTTTCCCTCCCGGCCACCAACTTGATCAACCTGCCACCACCCCCTTGTCTCAGTGCCTTCCCTTCCCTATTCCTGTGCTGTCTTGTCTTTTTGAGACCCCGAAGACTTGACTGAGGGGAATTCGAAGATGTGGGAGGGGGTCTGCCTGTTCTCTTGTTGGGGAGATGAGAGCAGGGAGGGTGGAGATGGAGCTCCTGAGCCCTCCCTCGGTGGAGGGCAGTGCCGGGGCAGGGACCCTACTACTCCGAGCGTGTGTCTTGAAACCAATCTCAACCCTGGAGGACGAACTGGGAAAAGAATTCACCTGGGTGAATTTAGGCCCTAGGTGGGGGTGGCAGAGGCCAGTCTTTAAGACTCGGCTCCACAGAAGAAACTGTTTCCCCCAGGAGCAGAGGAGCTCAGGAAGCTGGATGGTAGCACCGAGGCAGGAGGGTGAAGACGGGATACCAGGCAGCCCACCCCGCCAGGAACCTGAAAGGCCACAGACTCACCCTACAAAGTAGGAGATGATCAGAAGCTGAACTACTCGGTTGATGATCCCGATGGTCCAGCTCTTCACAACCACCGACTTGGTGGTCTCATAGGTGAAGAAGTCGGATATGCAGTTCATGCTGAGAGAGTGCTCAGGGGACACTCAGAAGGGGGCCCAGTGGTGGCCTCAGGAGAGGGAGGTCCTACAGGACAGGGAGACGAGATCACGACCTGGAGGGGGCAGCTTAGAGGGGTTGGAGGAATGGGGAGCCTGTCCCTTTAAGCCATGCAATCCTAGTGAGATTCTCTGCTCTTGATACTCTGGCTTCCAAGAGGCCAGGACCAGGGCGGGGGACCCCCTTTTTGTTCGTCTCCACTCCACTCCCCTGTGATGTCACAGCAGGGGTGGGGTCTCCAATCCTGGGCTCCTGATTGCCTGGGATGTAGCTGGCTGGAGCCCTCTGGGACTAATGTTTTATCTGCACTCTGTCTACTGTTTCTGTTCTGTTCTCTTCTGCAGCATCCTCATCCCAGCTCACCAGCTGCTCACACTCTCCCTAAAGCCCCTTGCAATTTCCCATCCCCCAGTCACCTAATAGCCTGCCTGAGCTAAGGACCCTCTTCATTCCTGAGTGTCTGCCAAATTCCACCCAGTTCTGCGCCGTCCCCTCCTTTCCTGAGTTGCCCCCAGTGGCATGGGTCAGGGGGAAAAGGTCTCTTGAAAGTTTTTCTGGGTCTTCTGGGGTGTGATGAGTAAAGAGTCACATATTTCTAACTCCAGCTGGTAATGAGCTTCGCTCTACCTGTAGCATAGCAGTTAGCACGTCTTTTTTGTTTTGTTTTCTTTTTATTATTATTCTTATACTCTAAGTTCTATGGTAAACCTGCACAACGTGCAGGTTTGTTACATATGTATACGTGTGCCATGTTGGTGTGTTGCACCCGTTAACTGTAAATATACCCGTCATTTACATTAGGTATATCTCCTAATGCTATCCCTCCCCACTCCGCCCACCCCGCGACAGGCCCTGGTGTGTGTGATGTTCCCCACCCTGTGTCCAAGTGTTCTCATTGTTCAATTCCCACCTATGAGTGAGAATATGCGGTGTTTGGTTTTCTGTCCTTGTGATAATTTGCTCAGAATGATGGAGTCCAGCTTCATCCATGTCCCTGCAAAGGACATGAACTCATCCTGTTTTACAGCTGCATAGTATTCCACGGTGTATATGTGCCAACTTCTTTTTTTTTTAACTGTCACTTTATTTATTAAAGTCATTTGTTAGATTATGTTTTCCTGAAAGGTTGGGGCTGGGTTTTTTTTTCTGTTTTTTTTTTTTTTCTTTCTTTCCTTCCCTTCCTTTTTTTTTTCTTTTTCTTTCTTTCTTTTTTTTTTTTTTTTTGACAGAGTCTCGCTCTGTCACCCGGGCTGGAGTGCAGTGGCACAATCTCAGCTCACTGCAACCTCTGCCTCCTGGGTTCAAGCAATTCTCATGCCTCAGCCTCCTGAGTAGCTGGGATTATAGGCACCCGCCACCACGCCTGGCTAATTTTTGTATTTTTAATAGAGACGGGGCTTCACCACGTTGGCCAGTCTGGTCTCAAACTCCTGACCTCAAGTGATCTCCCTGCCTTGGCCTCCCCAAGTGCTAGGATTACAGGTGTGAGCCACCGTGCCTGGCCGGGGATGTTTTCACCTTGTTCAAGTTTCCTCAAATCTGAGAAGTGTGCTAAAGTAGTAATAGGCCCTCAATATCTATTTATTAAACCCAGTTGAATTTATTTTGCTAGATAATGCTGGAATAGCCACTACTCAGAGGTTAAAGCTATGAGTTCAGGGGAGAAGGGTGCATTCCTGTTGTCTCTTACCCCAGGATTGATTTAGCAAGCTGGTGTATTGATTGTCAGGGAAATCTTGAGCTTACATATTCTGTACTAATGTCTTCATGTAGGACACATATCAATAGTCATTCTGAACATACAGTCACTGTGATTATGACAGAAGATAACTGGACTGGTGGTGTTAAGGAGGTCTGGGTCCTACCTAGCCTTGTTGCCAACGCACTGAGACCCTGGGCAACTCACTCCCCTTTGGGTCTCAGTTTTCCCATCAGTAAAAGGAGGTTGGGGTAGAAAAACTAAAACATCTTTTCCAGGTCTGGTCTCTGATGTTGCAAAATGCACTCTGGGATTATACGGGGGAGACCTGGCTTCCGCAACCACAGGATGATGTGGTTTCAAATCAGTTCTGGCTCCAAGGTGAATCTGACACCAGGACTTGAACTGGATAAGGCCGTTTGCCAGCCTCTTGGAGGTACCTATAATTTTCGGTTAAGGATGTGAAAATTTTGGGTGTAGACAGTGAACTTGACAGTTCAGCCAGAAAGCAGTGCACCCACGATGACACCAACACCCGCATACTCTCCGCAGCCAGTGGGAGAGGTCGTTTCCTCCCACAACTGTTCAAATACTTCTCTTCTTGTCCCATCGACTCCTTTCCATGACATAGAAACTATTTTGCAGAGAAACGGGCACGCATCATTCCAATACACACCCCCACCCCACCCCTGTACTAAGTCTGATACAATAAAACTACACAATTTCTCTTTAGTATCTAGTCTCGACTGAAGAAGTGTCTGTAGTTTCTAAAGAGCCCTACACACATTTTCTAGGCCGGATTCCCCCTGGGTGAGAGAGGCTTCACGGCAACCACCCTTCCCTCAGGTCCTCCAGAGTCGCTGACGCTCTATGCGACTGTCTCGCAGGCGGGCCCGACTCGCGTCTCTCTAGCCAGCTCATCCTCTCTGTGGCCTGTGTACGGCTTCCGGTGGCGGGACGCGGGGCCGCGCACGCGGGAAAAGCTTCCCCGGTGTCCCCCCATCCCCCTCCCCGCGCCCCCCCCGCGTCCCCCCAGCGCGCCCACCTCTCGCGCCGGGGCCCTCGCGAGGCCGCAGCCTGAGGAGGTAGGTGGTGGTCGTCCCCGGTCCCAGGAAGGCAGGGGCCCCGCTCCCCCACGGGACCCTCGACATGGACCATTCCGCGTTCGCAACCGCGGGGAGCGGGCGAATCCATTATGTGGGGCGGGGGTGAACCGTGGGTCTGGGGCCGCGGGGTGGTGGGAGCGGTGCGAGGGAAACCCTGCACTCTGAGCTGGATTGGGTCGCGTGCGATGTGCGGGCTCCTGGCAGACCCTGGGGTTCCGCTGCTCGTTGCCATGGCTCCCGCCGGAGCGGCCAGAGCGGGCGTCGGGTTGGGTGTCAGCGGTATTCCGGGCCCGGTTCTCCACCCAGGCCTGGACCTGGACCCTCGGGCACTGCAGCGTCCGTCTGTAGGTTTCCAGGCAGAGGAAATCCTGAGACATCCAGGCGCAGCTGGGAGTTGCTACCTGGCTCCATCCGTGAGCACAGCGAGGTGCTGTCTTTCATGCTTATCTGTCTTCCTCTTGAATTCAGATTCCCAACCTGCTGAGCATCCGCACACCCACTCAGGAGTTGGGGCCCAGCTCCCAGTTTACTTGGTTTCCCTTGTGCAGCCTGGGGCTCTGCCCAGGCCACCACAGGCAGGGGTCGACATGGCAGAGACACTGGAGTTCAACGACGTCTATCAGGAGGTGAAAGGTTCCATGGTGAGAATGGCTTGGACAGGTGATACAAGTAGAGAGAAGGAAGGAGGGTAGAGTTTTTGTCCATTAATGAGAGCTTGCTTTGGTAACGTTATTTTGGAAAAAGAAGACTCAGTATAATGTGTACCTAGTGTCTCCACCAACTCAAGGCAATACTGAGAGATAGTCTCAGAGTTATAGGGACCGTATATGCTGTTCAGTTCCCAATTCCTGTTTTACAAATGAGGAAACTGAGAATCTGTTAAGGGTTCTAGATACCAGAGTCTGGTTTAGAATCTAGACTCCTTGGCACCCTCAGCTGTTGCTCCTGCATTGATAATCTGGCCAGTCCACTTGCAGCAGGAATGTGTGTTAGGTAGAGCTGTAGAACCCAGGACATGCTGTGTACTGTCTCCATGCATCTGGGCCTGCTTTTCTTACAGAATGATGGTCGACTGAGGTTGAGCCGTCAGGGCATCATCTTCAAGAATAGCAAGACAGGCAAAGTGGACAACATCCAGGCTGGGGAGTTAACAGAAGGTATCTGGCGCCGTGTTGCTCTGGGCCATGGACTTAAACTGCTTACAAAGAATGGCCATGTCTACAAGTATGATGGCTTCCGAGAATCGGTGAGATGTCCCATGGCTATAAGCCTCCTTTTTACTGCATCTTCTTATTTTAATCTTCTAGAGACTCGAGGTTCCTTCCTCATGTAACCCTGTGATTGCTAGTTTGGGCTCCTTAGAGCAGGGCTGTGAGGCCATCAGGCAATCAGTGTTTGGCTTTGAGCGTTGAAGTCTTGTGAATTTCTGTGTGCCTTGACTCCAGAAGATTTTCTTCTGTCTTGATTTAGATAGTAGTTTCTGCCTGTGGCTTTTATCAAGGTTCAGAATCTTAGCTTGATTTCTTTGTGTGTATGTGTGTTTTTGGTTTTTTTTGGGGACAGGGCCTTGCTCTGTCACCCAGGCTGGAGTGCAGTGGCGCAATCTCGGATTACTGCAGCCTCCGCCTCCTGGGCTCAAGTAATCCTTCCATCTCAGCCTCCTGAGTATCTGGTACCACAGGCACATGCCACCATGCCCAGCTGATTTTTAATAATTTTTGGTAGAAACGGCGTTTTGCCACATTACCCAGTCTGGTCTTGAGCTCTCAGACTCAAGGGATCGCCCACCTTGGCCTCCCAAAGGGTTGAGATTACAGGCGTGAGCCATTGCGCCTGGCTAGCTTGATATCTTAAAGTGTGGGTTTTGTTTTCCTTTTTGAACTGCTTGAGTTAAAGGCTTTATTTGATTTTAATTTCCACTTTCATTAAAGTAATACCTATACAAAGTTTATAAAGTCAGATGGCCCGTAACCAGGAATGTCAGATCCAGTGGCTAGAAGCAATCTCTTTCAACAATCTTACCATGAGCTGGGTTGCTAAGTCAGCATGGATTTCTTATAAAGCCTATTTGGGGCAGTTTCTCAGAAATAGATAATCCCAGGACATTCAAGTCGGTGTTAAGGCCACCAAGGTTTACTGGGATTGTGCTTTCTTCCCTCCACCCACAGGAGTTTGAGAAACTCTCTGATTTCTTCAAAACTCACTATCGCCTTGAGCTAATGGAGAAGGACCTTTGTGTGAAGGGCTGGAACTGGGGGACAGTGAAATTTGGTGGTGAGTCCTGGGGAAGACTGAGGTTTGGGGAGGAAGATAGGGTGAAGGGTTTCAGCCTTTTACTTGTTTTGCTCTTTTCCCTCTGCCACTGTCTCTGGTTTCCTATCTATTTGCATGTTCATCATGTGTTTATTGAGTACCTACAGTATACTGCCTGGGGTTGGGGTTATAGTCTAAACAGACTAACCGCAGTATCCTGTCTCTGTGGAACTCAGTTTGGTGGGAATATTGCTTATGCAGACTTAAGGGGAGGAGCTTGTGGCTGGATAAGCCCTTTCCTCACAGGGCAGCTGCTTTCCTTTGACATTGGTGACCAGCCAGTCTTTGAGATACCCCTCAGCAATGTGTCCCAGTGCACCACAGGCAAGAATGAGGTGACACTGGAATTCCACCAAAACGATGACGCAGAGGTGTCTCTCATGGAGGTGCGCTTCTACGTCCCACCCACCCAGGAGGATGGTGTGGACCCTGTTGAGGTGAGGCTTCCCCTGGTTGCCTTGGCAGCAGATGGTGCTGAGCAGGCATTGGCTGGCCTGGGAGCAGGGCCTGCTGCTTGGCTACCAATATGTGCTTTTGCAGGCCTTTGCCCAGAATGTGTTGTCAAAGGCGGATGTAATCCAGGCCACGGGAGATGCCATCTGCATCTTCCGGGAGCTGCAGTGTCTGACTCCTCGTGGTCGTTATGACATTCGGATCTACCCCACCTTTCTGCACCTGCATGGCAAGACCTTTGACTACAAGATCCCCTACACCACAGTACTGCGTCTGTTTTTGTTACCCCACAAGGACCAGCGCCAGATGTTCTTTGTGGTAAGCAGAAACCCCTATGGCCGGATAATCCTGGTTTTTGCCTAAGTGTTAAGTAGATGGATCTCACTGGTGTGCAGAATTCTACGTTGGTTAATTGCAAGTTGTTGTAGAGTGTCAATTAGTACTCTTCCTTACTAGATCAGCCTGGATCCCCCAATCAAGCAAGGCCAAACTCGCTACCACTTCCTGATCCTCCTCTTCTCCAAGGACGAGGACATTTCGTTGACTCTGAACATGAACGAGTGAGTGTCTCCCTGGACTCGTTTCCTACCACTGTCCAGGCAGGAGACAGGTGTGCCATTAGAAGGCAGTAGTGTTGTGACCTCACCTTGCTTTCTTTGTAGGGAAGAAGTGGAGAAGCGCTTTGAGGGTCGGCTCACCAAGAACATGTCAGGATCCCTCTATGAGATGGTCAGCCGGGTCATGAAAGCACTGGTAAACCGCAAGATCACAGTGCCAGGCAACTTCCAAGGGTGAGAGTGTGGGCCTGGGATCCTGCCCTGCCTGGGTATGGGAAATGCCGTGTCTCCTTGGTAAACCCTTCCTGAGATGGGAATGCGGCCTCCTAGAGGCCTGGATGGGACCTTGTGTCACAATAGGTGCCAGCGCCTCTGTCAGAACAGCTCAGTGAGGTTTACTTAGTCGAGGACATGAGCACTCGTGTCGCTGCTGCTAGATACGCCCTTTGCCTCTGCTGAGGTTGGCACTAACCAGGCTCCCTGCACCCTCTGTCAGGCACTCAGGGGCCCAGTGCATTACCTGTTCCTACAAGGCAAGCTCAGGACTGCTCTACCCGCTGGAGCGGGGCTTCATCTACGTCCACAAGCCACCTGTGCACATCCGCTTCGATGAGATCTCCTTTGTCAACTTTGCTCGTGGTACCACTACTACTCGTTCCTTTGACTTTGAAATTGAGACCAAGCAGGGCACTCAGTATACCTTCAGCAGCATTGAGAGGTGAGAACCTCCACCTGTCACTTCCTGGGCATCCTGGTCCCGAGCCAGCTTTGTCTAGGAAGGCTGGCGTGGCCTGGGGCACTCTCCAACCCTAGAGCAGAATTTTTCTTTTGCTACATCAGGATTTGGTCCTTTTCCCTGGAGTGCTCAGACTTTAGAAACCTCTCCATTGCTTTCTTTCTGGTCATTAAAAAAACAAAACAAAACAAAACAAAAAAAACTTTTTCCGTATTCTGAAAGCTATATGTCTTCGCTACTGGTCTTTTTTCTCCTCCACTCCCCACCATGATGGAAATGCTATCTCTTTCTTTCCTGGAATGAGCTTTGTGCCTGAGAACATAGCGGCTAATGCTTATTGAGTGCTCACTGTGGACTAAACGTTTTATAAGCATCTTCACGTGTAATCCTCATATCAACCTTGTGAAGTATGAAAAAAGATGACCACGTCCCCTGCCCCACACTTACTCCCCTCTGAGCTTATTTTGTAAACAGATGCGCACCCCTCCCTGCCTTTCCTTTCCCAGAGTTCTTCAAAGCCATGCAGTTCTTTCAGGACTAATGTCTGGCTCTGGCTCTGCCTTACTGCTGTCCTCTGGGGGTTTCTAAGCTGTTGGGTTGGGTAGCATAGTCAAGAGCTCCAGGCTCCACAGTCTACCCCAGCTCATGGAATCAGAACATTGTTTAGTGTGCCCCTGTGTTGGCACTACCTCTCTGGTAACATGGTGCATGTCCCCTCACAGGGAGGAGTACGGGAAACTGTTTGATTTTGTCAACGCGAAAAAGCTCAACATCAAAAACCGAGGATTGAAAGAGGTACTTCTGTGTGGGGAGGATGAGACCCTCTCCTGGTCTTTCTATAGGGGAGAAAGGGGTGGAGATTTTTTCCGGCTTCTTTTTCACTCTTTCTTCTCTTCTTACCCTTATAGAAAAAAGAGGTGCGTGTGACCCTTTCCCCCTCCTGGTGCAGGTTTCCTCTGCATGACCTTAGACCAGTCTATGCAGCCCCTCAGGAGCCCCCAGTGGGGCTGGGAGAGGGAGGGGCTTGGGGCTTGGACTAACCCAGTTGGCAGGAAGTACTTGGGCATAGGCCCTGCACGTTGGCTGTGTGTGGACAATCCAGCCCCAGGTCTTCTGGGAGCTGCTGCTCTGACTTGACAGGCATGGGGGTGTGCTTTTGAGTGTGCAGGGATTCTGGCTCGAGGGTGAGTTGGCCCCACCGTGAACTCTTCCCTGGCTAGGGCATGAACCCAAGCTACGATGAATATGCTGACTCTGATGAGGACCAGCATGATGCCTACTTGGAGAGGATGAAGGAGGAAGGCAAGATCCGGGAGGAGAATGCCAATGACAGCAGCGATGACTCAGGAGAAGAAACCGGTGGGTTAGCCTCCGTGCTGAGCACGAGGATGGTCAGACGCTCCTCGCTGTGGCCCGGGCTGGACTCACCCTTGGGCCAGAGCTGGGTGCCTGGGTGAGGTGGGGGGATTTCCATTGGGGCAGAAGCTGATGCATCCTGTGCCCTTTTTCAGATGAGTCATTCAACCCAGGTGAAGAGGAGGAAGATGTGGCAGAGGAGTGAGTTTTGGTGGTACCTTGTGGGGATAAGATGGTGACCCATAAGCTTAAGGGACCAGAAGATTTCTGGACATTTCTCAGGTCCCAGCATTAGCTACTGACCCAGAATGGGAGAGTGACCTCCAATGAGGTGATATACGAAAATGTTTTGGAAATTGTCAAGGGCTTTGTAAGTGCAAGACATATTTTGAAGTCGGAAAAGTATAGTGGGATCTATGGCCATACCGCCCTGAATGTGCCAGTTGGGGCTGGTTCGTAGTTGGATGAGGAGAGAATGGGAATGAGCTGGTGCTTGCCACTTACTTGCTGGGGGTTGTCGAGTAAGTCATTGAATCTCAATTTCCTCATCAGTAGAAATGCAGTAGTACCCCTGCTAAATTGGTTAAGACTTTTTGTTAGCAGTGTCAGAAATGTGATTCACTCTCACTTTAAAAGGGAACATATAAAAGGGAATTTCATAAGTTCATATTACTGCGGAGTCTGGGGATTTAATTGGCTTCAGACACTACTGGATTCAGGCGCTCAAATCTATTTCTTCCGATTTCCTTAATTAAAAATAGGTTTACCCCATGGGGTGCCCAGTGACTCTCAGAAGCTCAGGGCAGGCTTAATCCTACTGGTTTAAAACAACACCAGAAGTGCCTCTTTTGGTGAACAGCATAGTGAACACAGTGGTTACCTGCCCCTTTCTAGCCTGAGTTATTAGAATGGGCTGGGGTCTGATGGGCCAGAAATAGGCCAAGTGCCCACCCTTAGAGCCTGTGGTTGGGGTAAGCCCTTCCTGAGTGGGGGCAAGGTGGTTCCCAACAGAAAATTGGGACTCTGCTCTCTTAATCCAGAAGGATTGTAAAAGAATGTCGGGCAGCAAAAAAAACACCCAACAGGAGTCCTCTAGTTCAGCCTGCCACATGCTTATGAAGGTTTATGAAGGTTTAATGAGCAAATACTTGTGAAAGTGCCTTGAAGACTGTCCAGCAGCATACAGGTGTAAGGTAGTTGCATTGTTTGAGGAGTTTCACATATATCAGACAAGACTGTCAATTACAGGGGTAGGCACTGGGTTGGACTGAAGTTGGTTTTCCTCTTTTTGTAGTAACTGATTATCTTTTCATCAGAAGACTGTAGGGGCCAATCCTTTTGTAGTTCATAAACATAATGGTTGGGTGTTACGTGCGTGTGTGAAATGTGCCACCCTCCAGCCTTGTTACGATGTTGACACATTACCCATCTGACATGGAAAAAAAAAGAAGACAAAAAAGACTATAGGGTAGATTAAGGTGATTACTCCGAGGGAAGTGGTGAAGTGGATTTGGGCCATGTTCCAGGCATGAATGAGGCAGTGTTTCTGCCAGTGGTGTCCTGGGGATGGACTAGGACCTGGTTTGGCCATGCCCAGGGAGATCCGCTGAAGCTCATTGATTTGTTTTTCATTCATTAATTCCAATCAAGTAACCAATTGCTGTGGCTGGGTCTGGAGAGGGCATGGCTGAAGCCACCACAGTGAATGGGAGAAAGCAGTGTTGGGGATTGGTGGTGGATACTGTCCTCTGGTCTTCCTCCCTTGCCCCTTTTGGGTGGGTATCTTTGGATTTGTCTTCCTCCTGTCCTGAGGCCGTGGGGTCCTGTCTTCCCTCCTCAAGTCTAAGCCTGGCTTGTTCTCTGGCAGGTTTGACAGCAACGCCTCTGCCAGCTCCTCCAGTAATGAGGGTGACAGTGACCGGGATGAGAAGAAGCGGAAACAGCTCAAAAAGGCCAAGATGGCCAAGGACCGCAAGAGCCGCAAGAAGCCTGTGGAGGTGCAGACTGTAGATGGGAGGGCCTGTGTGTGGTGCAGTGGGTGGGGGGCGTGGGAGGCATTCTCTTTACCTTCTCCTGTCCACCACCAGTAGGACCTGTTCTTCCTTGGGGCTGTTTTTTATAGCCAGTGATTATAGCCTTGAGGGTTATCTTCTTGGAAATTTTTCTCACTAGCCCTGAGATTAATAAGCTTCTGGAAGGTCTGAATTAGGAGATGGGCTTCTGTCCTGGTAAGCTAGGCACTGAATTGCAGAGGGGAAGGAGATACTATCCTTGCCCTTAGGGAGCTCTCGTCTCGCCTGATGCTATTTAGTCCTCCACTTTTTCTCCAAGTTAAGTGATCTAAATAATTTATTTGGGAAAATGTATGGGTTCTGTGGGAAATAGCTGAAGGCATTTGGGTTCTTATGTAGGTGAAGAAGGGCAAAGACCCCAATGCCCCCAAGAGGCCCATGTCTGCATACATGCTGTGGCTCAATGCCAGCCGAGAGAAGATCAAGTCAGACCATCCTGGCATCAGCATCACGGATCTTTCCAAGAAGGCAGGCGAGATCTGGAAGGGAATGTCCAAAGAGAAGAAAGAGGTGAGTAGCAGCAGAGGAGGGGTGATGCCTCTCATGGGCTGGCGAGAGGTGCTGTCTTGGGGTGGCGAGTCTCATGACTGATAGGGGAGCAGTATGAGCCATTGGTGGGACTTTCTGTATCGATTTTGCCTGCATCAGGGGAGAGGGGAGATGGGAGAGGTCTTATTCTTAACTGTTTTTTTCTGTGTGTGAGACAGGAGTGGGATCGCAAGGCTGAGGATGCCAGGAGGGACTATGAAAAAGCCATGAAAGAATATGAAGGGGGCCGAGGCGAGTCTTCTAAGAGGTGAGTGTCGAGAACATGGCCCAGTCACTGATTTTTGTGGCAGACTTTTTTTTTTTTAACAGGCCGAAGTTGAGCATTGGAAAGTTAAAGACAGCAGAGATGCTTCTGACTGCAGTAGGGTAGTGCTTCTCAAACCTGGGTAGGCCATTGCCCAAGTATGGGTGACACAATAGGGCATTCAAGTCACTGGGGAAATATGGCCTCTTTTCCTGGACCATTTTATTTGAAGGTATGGGGGAACGAAAAAAATACTATTATGGAGTGCAGTGCACAGTTTGCATGAACTCTAAAAGATAAAGCAAGAAATATCAAGTAGGTTTTGCACATTGGGCTGCTTTAGGCTGTGCCCTCTGATTCTTCTGGTGTACTCATGATACTCTCCCTTGGTGCCCTCCAGGCTGACGCAGCTATTTACGTTCAGAGTGAAATGGGCTGTGTGGCTGGGATTGGGAAAGGCCTTGTTAAAGCTGGGAGAGGTTTGGTCATGGTGACAGGGGACCTGAAGGCCCAGCTCCTCTTCCCTCTTGCCAATACAGGGACAAGTCAAAGAAGAAGAAGAAAGTAAAGGTAAAGATGGAAAAGAAATCCACGCCCTCTAGGGGCTCATCATCCAAGTCGTCCTCAAGGCAGCTAAGCGAGAGCTTCAAGAGCAAAGAGTTTGTGTCTAGTGATGAGAGCTCTTCGGGAGAGAACAAGAGCAAAAAGAAGAGGAGGAGGAGCGAGGTGCGGCAGGAATGTGGGGCCTGTGGGCTGGGCAGGGTGAGGGGCATGTGTGTCTGTGTGGGGTTGGTCTGTAAGAGTAATGAGTTGGAGTGGATGGTGGAATTCTGAGGTTCTGAAGGGGGGTGCTGTAGTTGGGGGCGGTAGGGAATTGCGGGCCCTTCACTGAAGAGTGGGTGGGGCACCCAGGACTCCAGCTTTTCCCTTAAGACACCTTTGGTTTTCAGGACTCTGAAGAAGAAGAACTAGCCAGTACTCCCCCCAGCTCAGAGGACTCAGCGTCAGGATCCGATGAGTAGAAACGGAGGAAGGTTCTCTTTGCGCTTGCCTTCTCACACCCCCCGACTCCCCACCCATATTTTGGTACCAGTTTCTCCTCATGAAATGCAGTCCCTGGATTCTGTGCCATCTGAACATGCTCTCCTGTTGGTGTGTATGTCACTAGGGCAGTGGGGAGACGTCTTAACTCTGCTGCTTCCCAAGGATGGCTGTTTATAATTTGGGGAGAGATAGGGTGGGAGGCAGGGCAATGCAGGATCCAAATCCTCATCTTACTTTCCCGACCTTAAGGATGTAGCTGCTGCTTGTCCTGTTCAAGTTGCTGGAGCAGGGGTCATGTGAGGCCAGGCCTGTAGCTCCTACCTGGGGCCTATTTCTACTTTCATTTTGTATTTCTGGTCTGTGAAAATGATTTAATAAAGGGAACTGACTTTGGAAACCATGTCCTCATGCTTTCTTTGTAGCCTTGGTGTGTTGCTCCCACTTTTATTGGTGGTGTTTACTGCTCTGGTCAGACTGGGCAGGGCCTTCCTGGCCAGCCGGGAAGCAAGTCTCGAGGTACATCCTGTTCTGTTCCCGGCTGGACGAGCATTGGTTTTCACCCGCCTCTGCCCGGATGGGCCACCTGAGAGTCTAGAAATGAGAGCTGATCTGATTAGGAAGTTTCTCCCAGTTACACTCCATTAGCCAACCAAGCTAGGGGGAGGCAGCTCTTGGCTGCATCCTTACCTATGAGTCAAGGGTCTTCCAAGGCTTTCGATAATGAAATCAGGATTGACTGTCCTTCCCGCAGCCGGGGGAGTGGAAACCTGAGCCTGGAGAGTCGGGGAGGATGAGCGTGTGCGTAGAGTGGTGGTGGTTGCAGCCTGGTGGTGGTGCAACAAAGTACGGAGTTATATGTGAAGCTTTTGTTCTTACGGGAAGAAGGGGGTATACAAACTTCAGTGTAGGGAGGAACCCATGTCTGAGAAGGGGCCTAAAAGGAGATAAAGGTCACTAATGAGGAATGCAGAGCTGCCAGACTTCTTCACGGTGGCTCTAAATCTGAATTGACACAGGAGGGTGGCCACGTTGCGCGCGTTCTCAGCACTCAGGTGGTTGTATCAGGAAGCCGCTTCAGTCAGCCGGCGGCTACCTTCTTGCCGGCGTAGCTCGATGATACTGTGCTCTGTGCAGGCGGCGGAGCCCGGGAGGGGCCGCCAAGGCAGTTTCTCTAGGCAGTCGTCTCGGTGGCCATTTTACCCGAGCGCTCCCGGCTGAATTGCGTCAGTTTCGCCCCGGTCTGAGACTGGGGCGGGCCCCTCATCTGCAAGCCTCATGAATAATTGAGTGCTGGGCCGCGCCTGTTTGCCGACGGTGGGACGAATTCTGCACGGGCTTCCCACTCCCGGGTTCCAACCGGCTCATGCATATTCATGAAGCGCCCTGGGGGCGTGGACCTGGGCGGAGTTGGGGCGGGGCCCCGCCGGGGCTCGCAGTGGCTTCGTCCCGCGGTGACGGCGGCGGCGGCGGCGGTAGCAGCGGCGGCGGCGGCGGGGACTGGCATCGGGGCCCCGAGCCGAGCGGAGCCGGACCCCGGGCGAGCGCGTGAGTGCGCGGGGGCGGTCGGGCGAAGGAGGGGGCGGGGTCCGGGATGGGGCGGGGGAGGGGCATGGAAGGAGTGGGTGCTTTCCAGCCGACACCTCGGGTTGAGGTGGTGGTGGTCGGGGGGTCACCAGGAAAGTTTGCAGGGGCCGAGGGCGCTGGGGACGCTGGAGGCCCGGGGGAAGGTGGCGCGTGTGCGCGGAGGCGGAGGGCGCATGGCTTGGAGCTCGTGCTGGCAGAGCCAGAAGAAAGGGGGGAGGGGGCGAGGGCTTGGGGCGGGGCCGGGGGCGGGCAGAGCCGCTGGAGGGACCCCTGCCTCCCCTTCCTCCGGGCCGCGCTAGCCCCCTCCCCCGGCTCCTTCGGCACGCCCCCAGCCACCCCAGTCCGCCCCCACCTGATCGACGTCTGCAGCCCACCGTCTGTTCGCCGGCTGCTTCACAGCCCGCTCACAGGTCCTCCGCTTCTGCCGCCACCGCAGCCCCCTCCTCCTCCTCCTCTTCGGCTGCCGCCGTCCCTTCTGTGTCCAGAGCTCCCCACTGGGCCCCTCCAGACAGCCCATTGCCCGGGGCTGTTCCATCTTCCCGTTGGCCCTCCCTCTTTCCAGCAGTTTACGTGCTGTCCCTGCCGACCTCTCTAGCCTCGGATCCGGCTGGAGATCCTGGGGTCCATAGGGGCGACCCCGCCTGCGCCGAGTCCCCTCCGGGGCTGGAGCTGCCCAGCCCTTCTGGAGGCCTTATCTGCCAGGGGTCAGCTCGTTTCTACCCTGCTACCCTCTACCCCCTGGTCTCTTGAGGGTGGGGAGTGCTCAGAACCGCTGCGAATCGCAGCTTCTGGCCACAGCCTTGGTGGCCTTGGTCACCTGGGGCCCCTGGCTGGGGTCTCTGAGTTGCTGTGGCCACCTCCGCACCTGGGGACTCTGAGCCCGCCTTCATTGCTGCAGCCCCTCATACCGCAGAGGGGCCCATCAGAACCCCAGGTGAAAGGATTTTTTTGGTTCTGAGCCAATTAATTTCCATCTCCAACCACCCACACTATGTTCCTAGTAATAATGTTCAAGGACAAGGAAACAATCTTGTGTTTTAATTTTATTTTTTCTATCATGTGCCCCTCCCCCCACCACACTTGGCCTGGCTCTGCACAGTTATTCACCCACCCACAGTGGGCAGTCTTCCGTGGTGGTTAACTGACCAATGGGTTGACAGTACTGGGTTTCTCTACTGTCTTCATACCCTCTCCCATCTTTGAAACACCTGGGGCAGGGTCAGCGTTAGGGGAGGGGTGTTGGATTTTGCAGAGGATGAGCACTGGGGGTCCCTTTTAAGGATTTGGTGCTGTCTTCCCAGACCAGCTGGAGTGGGTGACTTTAAGTGAGGCAATGCCCCTTGCAGGTTGGAGAAGTTTGGGTTGTCCTCAGGGCTCTGCATACCAGGTGAGGGAAACTTCCGCCTTGCATGAGAGGTGCAGGGCCCTATCCCCCAGGGTCTCCATGTTTTTGTGGGTGGGAGAGTGCTTCAGGAGTCAGGATGGGAACTGAGGAGGTGGTTGGAGTATCTGAAGAACAGGTGACAGGACTAGGGCCTGGGAGAGTGAAGGAATGGTCTGGGAATGCTGGTAGCCTGGGGTCAGGGAAGAGGAGGAGGTGGTTATCAGGGATGTTAGCTCATTGGTGACACTGAATGGAATCACAGTAATAATAGGCAACATTTGTTGAACACTTATTATGTGCTAGGCATTGTGCTAAGCCTATTTCATGTACTATTTCATGTAAGCCCCCTCAGGGTCTCAATAATCCCATTTTTCAGTTGGAGAAACTGAGGCTTGGAGAAGTCACAGGGCTAGAAAGTGGTAGACCCACCCAGCACTGAATCTTGGTATATCAGATCCTGAAGCTCATGTGACAGGCTTCTACCACCAGGCTGTGCCTCTTGGTTTAATTTCTTCTGTCCCCCTCAGAACTCCTTAAAGCCAACCCTAGGCTGGTGAGTGAAGCCCACATAACCCCTTTTCATACATAGGCTGTGGCTGCTCCACCCTGACTGTCGTGGAAGGTGGAGCCCCAGGGAATTTTCCCCCAAGTCACTCCACCCCCCGGATGTTCTCAAGCCCTGTCCCGTTCTCCCAGCCCAGGCCTGGGCCGGCTCCTCCTTCCTCTTGGCTAGGCCCTGGAAATCCAGTGGGAGGCCATTGCTATGGCAACAGGACTAGGCCCTGGCTTTACCTCATCAAATTCCAAGCTGAAGCCAAGCGATTGAGAAATTAAAGAAAAAAATATATTCCAGATGTTTACTTTTTATTCCTTATTTTTCCGTGTTTGGATGAGACAGTTCTGAGGGAGGGGAGAGAGTGGGGCAGGGATGTGGAAGGAGAACAGGGAGAGGGGGGAGAAGGAACCACTCCCAGCTGCGGGAGGGAGGGAGAGAGGGAAGGAGGGTGAGTGGGAAGGGGGAGGCAGGCAGTGGGGCGGAGCCCAGGTTGGGGAGGAGCGGGTTTTTCCCGTCTCCCGTGAGGTGATTCACAGACAGACTTCATACTTTGCAGCTCTCTAGCTCTGCTTTGAGTAGACACCTCCAGCGGGGCCGTCCTACCCAAGGGGCACTGTGGGGACTGTAAGTGGGGTGTCTTGGAGAGCTTGTCAGAGGAGGGAGCAGTGAGTGACTCCCTGAAGCGCTAGGACTTTGGGGTTAGGAGATAAGAGTTGGGGAGGATCTTTGAAGAGTTGAGGATATGGCTGTTGGGAACCTCCCTTGACCTCCTCCTACCCCCCCCCCCCCACTCCAAGTTCTCTCTTCCTGTCCCACACTCTGCCTCTGTTAGAAATAGGAGACTTCTCTCTGCTAAACCTACTGGCAACGCCCAACTCTTTTTTTCCTTCTCTTCTCTCTCTTTTCCTAGGTCTGCAGCCACCCCAGCTCATACCTCTCTGCCTCCCCGCTCTCAAGGAGGGTCTGCCGCATGTGATGAAAGTGTCTACTCTCAGGGAAAGCTCAGCCATGGCTTCCCCACTGCCCCGGGAGATGGAGGAGGAGCTGGTGCCTACTGGCTCTGAGCCAGGTACCAATGGGTGCAGGGTGGAGCCAGGTGGCTGGGAGGGGGGTGGGAAGGACAGAGGCTGCCCCCTCTTTCTGTCTTGGGGGGTGGTTGAGTGATGATTCTGTTGAGATAGGGAAGGAGTACCAAGGCAGTACAGGATGAGTTTGAAAGGTTCTCAGCTTCTCTTGAGACTCTTCAGAACTGTTTGGGATCATAAATCTCCAACAGGTGTAAGAGCAGACAGGGACCTTTGAGATGATATGGATCAAGCTGCATGCTTTGCAGAGGGGAAAACTGAGGCCCACAGGGAAAAATGGAGTGTACAAGTGGGAGTTTGAACCCAGACCTCCTGGCTCCTTGTGTAGACTCTTTTCTTCTATTTAGCCAAATGTGTAGGAGGTACGGGATTCCATCAGGAGGACTGTGGACGAGGGTACTTCCAAGGTCATTTAGCTTTATATAGAAGGTAGATTTCTGGTCCTGTTTTTTTTTTTCTTCCCATAGCAGATTTACTTTTGTTTGACTTGGGTCAATAGTAAGTTTGCATTCCCAGTCACACACCAGATGACAGTGGGGAGGTGGCCTGGGAGTGTGCTGTGGGTGGGGGAGGAGGCAGCCTGGAGGCAGGATAGAGAAGCTCAGCTGAGATTGAAAGTTTACTATGGATGATAGAGAAGAGTGTCACATAAGGTGAAAAAACTAGATTGGGAATATGGGGGGGCTGACTGCTTGATAGGGACAGGCAGGCATTTGTTTATTGGCTCATTTGTTCATTCATTCTTTTGTTTAATTATAACTTATGCTAGGGGCAAAATACAGTACAGGAAGAAGTAAGGTGCCAGGTGGGTCCTTAAATAGCTTCAGCTTAAAAGGGGAATTGGCTAAAACATTTTGGGAGTTTGAAGAAGGGAGAAGATGCTTTGGGGATGTGTGTAGAAAATCAAGGAAGGCTTCATGGAAGAGGTGGCATATGACTTGTGCCTAGAAAGATGTGAATATTCTTAAATCGGAGGGTGGGAGATGAGGTGGAACAGGAAACAAAGAAGTTCTGCTTCCTGGTTCTTCTGACAGCTCCCCCACCAACCCTTTCCTTTTGGTAGGTGACACTCGGGCCAAACCCCCTGTCAAGCCCAAACCCCGGGCCCTGCCTGCCAAGCCAGCCCTGCCTGCCAAACCCAGCCTGCTGGTGCCTGTTGGGCCTCGGCCTCCCCGGGGTCCCCTGGCTGAGTTGCCTTCTGCCAGGAAGATGAACATGCTGGCAGGACCCCAGCCCTATGGTGGCAGCAAGCGCCCCCTTCCCTTTGCACCAAGGCCTGCGGTTGAGGCCTCCACTGGAGGAGAAGCCACCCAAGAGACTGGGAAAGAGGAGGCTGGGAAAGAGGAGCCACCCCCTTTGACACCCCCAGCTCGATGTGCAGCCCCAGGGGGTGTACGGAAGGCCCCTGCCCCTTTCCGCCCAGCCTCAGAGCGCTTCGCGGCCACCACGGTGGAAGAGATCCTGGCCAAGATGGAGCAGCCTCGGAAGGAGGTCCTTGCCAGCCCCGACCGCCTGTGGGGTTCCCGCCTCACCTTTAACCACGATGGCAGCTCGCGATATGGCCCCAGGACCTATGGCACGACCACTGCTCCCAGGGATGAGGATGGCAGCACCCTCTTCAGGGGATGGTCCCAGGAGGGGCCAGTAAAGTCTCCAGCAGAGTGCCGGGAAGAGCACAGCAAGACCCCTGAGGAGAGGTGAAGGGTGGGAGGTTGTATATTTTGTGGCAGCCTGGAGGTCAGGTGGGGTGGGATTGGGTGGGGGCTGGGGACCAAGTGCATGGCCCCATATAGGGTTGTGACTTTTACCTGTAGGTTGGTTGTGTGCTGTGAGTACAGGCAGATCCCGATCTAGGTCACAAATCATTCCCCAGCAGATGGTGTTATCATTACTGTATGCTTTTAAAGTTGTAGTTTTCTTTACAGAGTTGATGCAGGTTTATGTTAGAGAGTTCAAATGTACAGTATAGAAGTTTAATAGACAATAGACTTTTTTTTTTTTTTTTTTTGAGATGGTGTTTTGCTCTTGTCACCCAGGCTGGAGTGCAGTGGTGCGATCTCGGCTCACTGCAACCTCTGCCTCCCAGGTTCAAGTGATTCTCCTTCCTCAGCCTCCTGAGTAGCTGGGATTACAGGCGTGGGCCACCACGCCCAGCTAATTTTTTTGTATTTTTAGTAGAGTTGGGGTTTCACCCTGTTGGCCAGGCTGGTCTTGAACTCCTGACCTCAGGTGATCTGCCTGCTTCGGCCTCCCAAAGTGCTGAGATTACAGGCATGAGCCACCACGCCCGGCCAAGAAGTTTAGTTTCTATATACTGAGAGCTGGGCACCAAACTTTGCCTCGTTGGCATCCTGTTTGTTCAAGGGAGTATTAGATCCATTGTAGAGATGAGGAAACTGAGGCTCAAAAATGACTCCATAGTCTCGGCAAGTTAAGAGGCAGAGACAGATGTTTGTTTGATTCCAAATCCTCTGCTCTTAAGTGCCAGCTCTTACAGTGGTCAGAGCAGTGTGCCAGTCCTGGGGTGGGGCTGCGTGTGTCAGGATGAGTAGGGCACAGTCTCTGCCTGTGAGGTGGAATCTGATGGGAGAGGTAAGAGAGGAACACATCTTTTTTTTTTTTTTTTTTTTTGAGACGGAGTCTCGCTCTGTCATCCAGGCTGGAGTGCAGTGGCGCAATCTCGGCTCACTGCAAGCTCCACCTCCTGGGTTCACGCCATTCTCCTGTCTCAGCCTCCCGAGTAGCTGGGACTACAGGCGCCTGCCACCACACCCGGATAATTTTTTTGTATTTTTAGTAGAGATGGGGTTTCACTGTGTTAGCCAGGATGGTCTCGATCTCCTGACCTCGTGATCTGCCTGCCTCGGCCTCCCAAAGTGCTGGGATTACAGGCGTGAGCCACTGCGCCCTGCGAGAGGAACACATCTTGATGCCAGGCCAGCTAGTGTCTGCACAGAGATTTTGGCTGGTTGGAGATATTTGCATATGATACGCTTCTCCAGAGTTGCCACTAGTGTAAAGCAAGGCTGGCCAGGAGGTGCTTCTTGGGGTGCTGGGCACGGGACTTTGGAGGAAGAGGCTGAGGCATCTCAGGAGCCATCAGCTGCACAGAGGCTGTCCTTAGTGCTGGGAGAGCCAGCTTGAGGTATGGCTGGCTCCTTGGGCCTTTAACAGCTCTGCTGGGCTCAGAGGCTCCCTTTCTCTTCCTACTGCTATGAAGGCAAGAGCTGGTGTGGTCTGGGCTAAGCGGGAAGCTGAGGGTCCCTGCCCTGCCCTGCCCTCTGGCCTTGCCCTTCTCTCACCTGAAAGTGTCTGGAGCCTTGGCCCCAGAGCTAGTCCTTTGCCTGTCCCAGACCAGGGTGCTGTGAGGTCACACTCTTGCCCAGGCTGGGTTCCACCCGCCATCTTCCTTCTCTCCCTCACTCCAAGTAGGGCTTAAGAACAACTTCAACCCTGGAAAATCACTCTTTCCTCTTCCCCTCCCCCACTGCAATTCTTCAAGAAGTATTGGCAGGGCAGCAGGACCAGCTGCACTCTTCCTGGCTAGAGGAGAACTTTAACTCCTTATGGGTTAAAGGAAAGAGGAGTTATCTTTTTAGGAGCTGTTGAGAGGTCTGGGCATCCAGGATGCTTTTCCTAAAGTAGCTGGGGAATTTAACCCTTCATGCTCAGGTAGGGAATAAGCACTGTTTTCTGGGGCACTTGCCGAATGGAAAATGGACAGATTCTGTGTCCCTAATAGTTGCAGGCAGGGCTCAAGAGTAAATGGCTAGGAGGGTTTAACCTTTGGGTGCTGTTAAAGTTGCACTGGGAGACTCTCCCACATTTTCCATTCTGTGACAGACTCTAACATTCCGTGCTTCCATTTCCTGTCCTCGTCCCTCACAGGAGCCTTCCTTCCGACCTGGCCTTCAACGGGGACCTGGCTAAGGCAGCCAGCTCGGAGCTACCTGCTGATGTGAGTTATCCTCCAGTTATGAATCAGAATCACGTATTTTAGAGCTGGAAGGGTCATATGAGATCATCTTTTCTACTCCTTGTAGTTCAGATGGGGAAACTGAGGCCCATGGGGAGAGTGACTCACTGGAGGGCTGGCCCTGGGATTTTTCGACTCCTGGGCCAGTGCTCTTGATCACCAAAGTGGCTAGGTGTGGTTAAGGCCATGAGGCCATTCATCATAAACAGTAATGATAGTATCCACAACAACTGCCATTGATTAAGTCCCTACTATGTGCTGGGCCTGTCCTGGGAACGTTAACCAACTCAATCCTTGTGATAACTCTGGCTAGTAGACCTGGTTAGTCCCATGTGAGAGATGAGAGCACCTGTACTCACAAAGGGTAAGTAACTTAGGCTGAGGCAGCAGCTACTGTGTCTGCCTCCCATGCTTTCCCTGGCTGGGCTGCCTTTTCTGAGTTCAGAAGAGGGGTGAGTCCTTTTGCTGAGATTTTCCCATCATACTCCCGTTCTTGAAGATGGTCAGCCTGCTTTCTTGAGTAAACAAGGTACAGGATGGCCCTTTTTGCTCATACAGCCCTTGCTAGCTGGAGATCTGACTTGATTCATTTGTCCATCCAGCAAGCAGTGACTGAGCGCCTGTTAGGAGCTGGATGTTGGAGATAGCTGTGAAGGTAGAGTAGAGAGTGCAGGGACGAGTGTGGTCAGGGAAGGTGTCACTGTGAAGGGCAGAGGCTGAGCTGTGTGCATGTCTGGAGAGCAGCATTCTTGGTAGAGGGCACAGCAAGTACAAAGGCATTGGTGCTTTCCTGGCAAGGAGGCCAGGATGTCTGCCTGGCAGTGAGAGAGGAGTTAGGTGGTAGTGAGGACCAACGGGTTGGGGGGTTGGATTGTGTCAAGTCTCGAAGGCCTCTAGAAAGACTTTGGCTTCAGTGAGAGCAACAGGCCATTTGAAGGGTTTGCAGGAGAGGCATGGGATGCTGCTGTCTTAGTTGTGAAGAGTCACCTGGCCCACTGGATTAAGAATCAGTTGCAGGGAGGTAAGATCAGCAGCATGGACCAGTCAGGGGGCTGTTGGAATAGTCCAAGTGAGAGATGATGACGGCTTGGACCCTGGAGGTAGCCTACGGTGGAGATGGGGAGAAGTGGTTGGTTCTGGATAGAATTTGAAGGCATGGTGGAAAGGACTTTCAGATAGATAGAGAGCACAGAATCAAGGGTGACCCCACGGCTTTTGGCCTGAGCAACCGGAAGGATGAGTTTATGGTTGCCGAGACGGGGACTTCTAAGGGTGAAGCAGGATCGGGGGAGATGGGAGGAGTTTGCTTTGTGGATTTGTTGAATTTGAGATGGTTTTCAGACATCCATGTGGAAACGTCAAGCGGATGGTTGGGTAGTCGAGTCTGGCCTTCAAGGGAAGTGAGCAAATTTGAAAGGAACACTTGGGAATTGTCAGAGTAGGAATGCTTGTGAAGACTGGCTGAGATTACTGAGAGTGGGGATGGTGCAGGAGGGGAGGGCCCAGAGGCACAGCCAAGGAGACTGGGAGGACAGTGAGAGAGTCCACCAAGTGGAGACAGCCTCCAGGACTGGGGGAGGGCGCCATCAGCTGTCAGATGCCACTGACAGGTCAAGTAAGATGAGCACAGAGAATTGGATTCAGCTCCAGGGAGGTCATCCGTGACCTTGACGAGAGTAGTTAGGTGGCAAGGTAAAGGAGAAAGCCTGTTTGGAGTGGTTTCAAGAGAGAAGGGGACAAGAAGAACTGTGGATATTAATAGTGAATATAGACAGGGCTTTCAAGAAAATGGATGGTAGCTAGTGAGTGATGTGGGGTCAAGAGTGGTTTTTTGGTTTGCTTTTTTGGCTTTTCAAGACAGAAGAAATTAGAGCAGTTTGTGTGCTGATGGAAATGATCCAGTAGAGAGGGAAAAAAAAATCGATGCAGGAGAGAGAGGAGGGATTGACCTCAGCCCCAAGCGAGGACAGTGCCTGATAGCAGAAGGGGAGGCAGAGTGCTTGGGCTCCCATGCAGGAAGTAGGTGGTGTGTGTGTGTGTGGCGGTGGGGGGGTTGTCGGGGGTTCTCTGCTGGTGGCCTCTGTGTTCTCAGGGAACAGGAAGCAAGGCCATCAGCTGAGAGAGGATTGGGGGAGGTGTGGAGGTCTGACGGGAGAAGATGCTAAAACATTGCCTGGGAGAGTCATGGAGTGAATGGCAGGGGGAGTGCCGTGGGATTCTGGGCAGCTCTAGGGCCGGCTTGAGGTCAGCAGTGAATCTGGAGTGAGACCAGCTGTCACGATTGTGTGTTTTTATCCAGCCACATGCAGCTACTCAGGTGCTGGGCTAGGATTGGCCCAGCTGTATTGGAGAGCTGTATTTAAACAGGTTAAACAGTATGATGAAGCAGATGAGGGAGTTGAGTGTTGAGTAAAAAGTGACGTTAATGGTGATAAGAAGAGAGGTGAGGGTATGAGGGGAGTGGGGGACAATGAGAAAGAATTAGGGTTAAGGGGCTGTGCTATGAGAGGGGCTGAAAATAAGGGCGTTGGGGAAATAGAGTGAGCCGGTCAGATAGGCGGTGGGGGTGGGCAAGTGGGATACTTGGGATTGAGATGATGCAGAGGTTGCAGCCACTGGTAAGGATGAGGTCTAGGGTGTGACCTTGAGAGGATGGGTCGCACAGTCACTGAGGAAGAGGAGGTCAACGAACCAGAGGCTGGAAGGGTCGCATCTGGCTATGGAGATGACTGTAAGCTATCACAACAATGATGGAGAGGGTTGCAGTGATGCAGCGGTTATGGTTTTCAAGGAATGATGGGTGCGTAAGGGTCAATAACAAGAAAGAATTGTGGGTGCTGTAGTTTAAGGGCACGAGCTTTGACATTAGAACGTTGCAGAGGGGAGTGAGCATGGAGGGAACAGAAGGGACCTTGAGAAGCAAGCAGGACCCTTTATTTTGCCCAGGCCTAGTAGGTGATGATGTGGGAGAATTAACGACATGGGAGAGGGCGGCCAGGGAAGTGTGACCTCTGCAGAGGGCAAAGGTCAGATGGAGCCAGAGTCACTTCATTGTCTGGGGACAGGTGGAGTGCCAGGTGCTTGGTGCCTTGTTTGTCCCCCTCTTCTCTCCACGTCCTCCCCACTCTCTGCCGCCATCATCCCATGAGTCCTATGCCGAGGGGCCAGTGCACACATTTCCCTTCACCCTCACCTAACTGGGAGATGAGCATTGTTGCCACCAGCCCTAATGTACAGATGGGGAAGCTGAGGCTCAGAGAGACCAAGTGTCTGCCATATGTGAGGGAGGGCACATGCTGGTAAGAGGCAGTGCTGGGACGGCTCAAGCCAGGCGCTGTCACACCCCCCAGTGCCTTTTGCCTGGGTCCCATAGCCTTCCTGCTTCCTTGGCACCTTCTGTGCCATGAGGGGCACCCCCTGCACGCTGTAGCCACTCCCCCGAGCTGCTCTGTAGCTGCACTGCACCTCGAATCCTGCTTGGACGCGAAACCCTCTCTCCCCTCACGACTCCCACATGCTGAGGTGCTTCAAGAGCCAGATTCACAATGTTCCTTTTCCCTTTATAAAGCAGGTGTTATGGACCCCGAACTGTGGCCTCTGAGGAGATCCTCACATGAGCTTTGGGTTGAGTGGGTGAGGGGTTCCAACCACCTGAGACGAAAGGAATTATGCTTTGTGAATAAGGATAGGCGCATTCTGGGGAAGAAGGTCTAAAGGGGGCTCTGTGAGAAGTCCTGCCTTGAGTCGTCTGTGGGGCCCCTCCCAGCTATCCCAAGAGGACCCCCTCGGGTTCCAGTTGCCTCCTCCCAGCCTGGGAGAAGCTGACCTGGGGTCTGTGTGGGGTCGGAGGGGACCCTCCCCGCCCCGCTGAGAGGTGAGTGACGGATCTTGACCTTTCTTTCTCTTGCAGATTTCCAAGCCCTGGATTCCCTCAAGTCCAGCCCCCTCCTCAGAGAATGGAGGCCCTGCCAGCCCAGGCCTCCCCGCAGAAGCCTCAGGCTCAGGCCCTGGCTCTCCCCATCTTCACCCGCCTGATAAGAGTTCTCCCTGCCACTCACAGCTTCTGGAAGCCCAGACTCCTGAAGCTTCCCAGGCTTCTCCCTGCCCCGCTGTGACTCCATCAGCTCCAAGTGCAGCCCTGCCTGACGAGGGCTCCCGCCACACCCCCAGCCCGGGGCTCCCTGCCGAGGGGGCTCCAGAGGCCCCCAGACCCAGCAGCCCACCCCCTGAGGTCTTGGAGCCCCATAGCCTGGATCAGCCCCCTGCCACCTCACCCCGGCCCCTGATCGAGGTGGGTGAGTTGCTGGATCTCACTCGGACGTTTCCATCTGGCGGGGAGGAGGAGGCCAAGGGTGACGCACACCTCCGCCCCACCAGCCTGGTTCAGCGCCGATTCTCTGAAGGTGTGCTCCAGTCACCCAGTCAGGACCAGGAGAAGCTGGGGGGCTCGCTGGCTGCCCTGCCCCAAGGCCAGGGGAGCCAGTTGGCCCTGGATCGTCCCTTTGGGGCAGAGTCCAACTGGAGCTTATCACAGTCCTTCGAATGGACCTTCCCCACGAGGCCCTCGGGTCTGGGCGTGTGGCGGCTGGACTCCCCGCCTCCCTCCCCCATCACTGAAGCCAGTGAGGCCGCCGAGGCTGCTGAGGCTGGCAACTTGGCCGTTTCCAGCAGGGAAGAAGGAGTGTCTCAGCAGGGGCAAGGGGCTGGGTCAGCTCCAAGTGGGTCAGGAAGTTCCTGGGTGCAGGGGGATGATCCAAGCATGTCCCTCACCCAGAAGGGCGATGGGGAGAGTCAACCTCAATTCCCAGCTGTTCCCCTTGAGCCCCTGCCTACAACTGAGGGCACACCTGGATTACCTTTGCAGCAGGCAGAGGAGAGATACGAGTCGCAGGAGCCCTTGGCTGGACAGGAGTCCCCTCTCCCCCTGGCTACCAGGGAGGCAGCCTTGCCCATCCTGGAGCCAGTCCTGGGGCAGGAGCAGCCAGCAGCCCCTGACCAGCCCTGTGTTCTCTTTGCTGATGCCCCTGAGCCTGGACAGGCACTGCCTGTTGAGGAGGAGGCCGTGACCCTAGCCCGGGCTGAGACCACCCAAGCCAGGACAGAGGCTCAAGACTTGTGTAGGGCATCCCCCGAGCCTCCAGGCCCTGAAAGCAGCTCCCGCTGGCTGGACGACCTCCTGGCTTCACCACCACCCAGTGGTGGCGGTGCAAGGCGGGGAGCTGGAGCTGAGCTGAAGGACACACAGTCCCCAAGTACCTGCTCTGAGGTGAGAATGGGCATAGGGAGAATGGGACTTCTGGGGACAGAGGCCAGGGCTTGGGTGGGCTTCATTCTTTGAACATGGATTTTACATGTCGAGAGCTTGGGCTGTGGTAGTGAGCAAGGCAGCTGTGGACCTGCAGATTGTAGCTCTGCAGAGCCACACAGGACGGTGTGTGTGTGGGGTTTCGTGTGAGGCTCTATCCCAGCTCCAGCAATCGCTAGCTGATTGGTCTTGGGAAGAACGTACCTTAACTGCTGGGCTTCAGAGTGCTTTCCTGATAGTAGCATTGGCCTCTTAGAGTTATATTGTGGGTAAATCGAGGTGGAAAGCTCTCGGCACAGTGCGTGGCAGGTGCTGAGTATTCAGTCTCTCATTATGGGAATATCGTTCAAGGCAAAATAGTGTAGCCATTTAGAGCGTGGGCTCCTGGGTTCATCTCCTGGCTCTGCTTTCCTTTGCCCAGGTGTGACCTTAAAAGAGTGACTTTTCTGCCCTCTGCCTCAGTTTCCACATCTGTAAAATGTGGATAACAAGATGAGTTCTACCTCCAAGGGTGTTGGCAAGGGTTCAATGAGCTGTAATGTCTAAAGTGCTAAGAATAGTGCCTGGCTCATCCTAAGTGCTTAAGAAGTGTTGGCTTTTACAAACGTTATTAACATTGAGCTCCAGACCTGCTTTGTAGACAGGCAGCTGGGCCTCAGAGGAGGTTAGCCTTGTGCAGTTATCCAGCAAGTTGGTGGCTGGGCCCGGGCCAGCGCCGTTTCCCGGCCCAGTGCCCTTTCTCCTACCAGGCTGCCTCTGAATTTAAGGGCCGGGGGCCAGGTGGCTTTCGAAATTTATTTCTCAAGCCGGGCCTGGGCTGCAAGGGGCGGGGCTGCAGGAAAGGAGGAGCCAGGGGGCCTCTGGGGGCTGCGGGGCGGGGAGAAGGAGGAGCAGGAAGGGGTTAAGCTGACTCCTGTAGTAGGTGTGTCTGTCCCGGGATGTGGGTGACTCAACTGGCTCCTGGGCGGGGCTGCCCAAGCTGCAGCTGCTCCGGAGGGAGCAGGGCCAGGGTGAGGGAGAGCCAGCGCCAGAGCCGTCGGACAGGTCCCAGCGCGGGTAGCAGCCCAGCTCTATCCCTGCGCCCGGCTGGCCGCACCCAGCAGCCCCAAGGCGGGTTGGGGGCGGGGGGCCATGGCCCAGCCTGGGGATGGGGAGGCCAGCATGTCTATCCTGGAGCGGCTGCTGGCCAACGCTGCGCTGAGGGATGAGGCTGGCCGGCTCCGAAGCCCTGAGCCCAGGGCTCTCCCGCCCACAAGGGTGAGTCAGGGAGCGTGAGGTGGGGGGTGGGGTGCAAGAAGCCCTGGCTGGGATTTTCCCCTGTGCCAGAGGCTGCCCCTCTTGTCTTTCCTGGGCCAGGGTGAGGGCTGAGAGGTCTTCCTGGGGAAGATTGAGCAGACGGCACTTTGGCTGGGGAAGAAGGGCCTGGGTACTTATAGGAGGATGGGGGTCAGATGGGGCATGGGGGAGGACGGGCTGGAAAAGCTGTCATTGGTGTTGGAACCTTGCCTTGCAAGGGAAGTCGCAGAGAGGCTTTGAATCTTGACCTCTCCTAATCAAAAGGAAAGTGCACTGCCTGCCATTCCTGTGTGAAGACCACTCCTCTCCTGGCTGTTAGCCAAGTATTGCCCAAGAGTTGTAAACATGACCATGGGACCATCGATTGAGTGCCCACTGCATGCCAAGCACTATGCTGAGTGCTTGGTCTAAATGATCTCATTTAATCCTCTCACACCAGCCCCATGCAATAGGAATTATCCTCGTTTAAGGATGAGGACGCTGAGACCCAGAGTGGTTAAGTGATTTGCTCAAGGTCACACAGCTTTCTGTTGCCAAAGTGGGGCTTTCAGGCACTAGGCAGCGCTGACTCTGCTGGATTGACTCCCACCCTGATGGAATCTAATCGTTGTTTCTTTGTCTGTTTTTTTTTCTTATTCCCAGGGACTCCTTGGCTGGTCCCAGAAAGATCTGCAGAGTGAATTTGGGATCACAGGAGACCCACAGCCCAGCAGTTTCAGTCCTTCCAGCTGGTGTCAAGGTGCTTCTCAGGACTATGGCCTTGGGGGTGCAAGCCCTAGAGGAGACCCAGGTCTCGGAGAGAGGGACTGGACCAGCAAGTATGGGCAAGGAGCAGGGGAAGGGAGCACCAGGGAGTGGGCCAGCAGGTGTGGCATCGGCCAGGAGGAGATGGAGGCCAGCAGCAGCCAAGACCAGAGTAAAGTGTCTGCCCCAGGGGTGCTCACAGCCCAGGACCGGGTAGTTGGAAAGCCAGCCCAGCTTGGCACTCAGCGGAGCCAGGAGGCAGATGTTCAGGACTGGGAGTTCAGAAAGAGGGATTCCCAGGGCACTTACTCCAGCCGGGATGCAGAACTCCAGGACCAGGAATTCGGAAAGAGAGATTCACTGGGTACCTACAGTAGTCGAGATGTAAGCCTTGGGGACTGGGAATTTGGGAAGAGAGATTCTCTGGGTGCTTATGCCAGCCAAGATGCCAACGAGCAGGGCCAAGATTTGGGGAAGAGGGACCACCATGGTAGGTACAGCAGCCAGGATGCCGATGAGCAGGACTGGGAGTTTCAGAAGAGAGATGTGTCACTCGGCACCTATGGCAGCCGGGCTGCGGAGCCACAGGAACAGGAGTTTGGGAAGAGCGCTTGGATAAGGGACTACAGCAGTGGTGGCAGCTCCAGGACCCTTGACGCCCAGGACAGAAGCTTTGGAACGAGACCCCTGAGCTCTGGGTTCAGCCCCGAGGAAGCCCAGCAACAGGATGAGGAATTTGAGAAGAAGATTCCAAGTGTGGAAGACAGCCTTGGAGAGGGCAGCAGGGATGCTGGCCGGCCAGGAGAGAGAGGATCCGGGGGCTTGTTCAGTCCTAGCACTGCCCACGTGCCGGATGGGGCACTCGGGCAGAGAGACCAGAGCAGCTGGCAAAACAGTGATGCTAGCCAGGAGGTGGGAGGGCATCAGGAGAGACAGCAGGCAGGGGCTCAGGGCCCTGGCAGTGCTGACCTGGAAGATGGGGAGATGGGAAAGCGAGGCTGGGTCGGTGAGTTTAGCCTCAGTGTTGGCCCCCAGCGAGAGGCAGCATTTAGCCCAGGGCAGCAGGACTGGAGCCGGGACTTCTGCATCGAGGCCAGTGAGAGGAGCTATCAGTTTGGCATCATTGGCAACGACAGAGTGAGTGGTGCTGGCTTTAGCCCTTCTAGCAAGATGGAAGGTGGTCACTTTGTGCCTCCTGGGAAGACCACAGCTGGCTCGGTGGACTGGACTGACCAGCTGGGTCTCAGGAACTTGGAAGTGTCCAGCTGTGTGGGTTCTGGGGGCTCGAGCGAGGCCAGGGAGAGTGCCGTGGGACAGATGGGCTGGTCAGGTGGCCTGAGCTTGAGAGACATGAACCTGACCGGCTGTTTGGAAAGTGGAGGGTCTGAAGAGCCGGGGGGAATCGGAGTTGGGGAGAAGGACTGGACTTCTGATGTTAATGTGAAGAGCAAAGATTTGGCTGAGGTCGGGGAGGGAGGAGGCCACAGCCAGGCCAGAGAGAGTGGCGTGGGGCAGACTGACTGGTCAGGTGTGG
Source organism: Homo sapiens (assembly GCF_000001405.40). Lineage (NCBI taxonomy): Eukaryota > Metazoa > Chordata > Mammalia > Primates > Hominidae > Homo > Homo sapiens. Next base: position 57,308,920 of record NC_000011.10, on the reverse strand, counting down.
AGGCCGGAGAGTTCCTTAAATCAAGGGAGCGTGGAGTTGGACAGGCAGACTGGACACCTGACCTTGGGCTGAGAAACATGGCCCCAGGGGCAGTCTGCAGTCCTGGAGAGTCCAAAGAGCTTGGGGTGGGCCAGATGGACTGGGGTAACAATCTGGGCCTGAGGGATTTGGAGGTGACCTGTGACCCAGACTCTGGAGGTTCTCAGGGGCTACGGGGATGTGGAGTGGGGCAGATGGACTGGACCCAGGACTTGGCGCCCCAGAATGTGGAGCTCTTTGGGGCTCCAAGTGAAGCCAGGGAGCATGGGGTGGGCGGGGTGAGCCAGTGCCCAGAGCCCGGCCTGAGGCACAATGGCAGCTTGTCTCCTGGCCTGGAGGCCAGAGACCCCTTGGAGGCCAGGGAGCTGGGGGTTGGTGAGACAAGTGGGCCAGAGACCCAGGGTGAAGATTACTCCTCGTCTTCCTTGGAGCCACACCCTGCAGACCCTGGAATGGAGACAGGAGAAGCCCTCAGCTTCGGAGCAAGGTAATGAACGGAGCCCCATCCCAAGTGTGGGAGGGAACATGTGAAGGCTGTCCAAGAAATCGGAACCTTTCTGAGGAGGGAAGAAACAGTTTTTCCTGAGGACTTTTAGTGTTTGGGTAATTGAGACATTTTGGACTAAGAATTTTTAGTTCTACTTAAAAATAATTGAAATATGATACACATACAGGTGAGTTCCTTTTTTGAAGGATGACTAATGTGTTACTTTTGCAACCCATGTTTGAGCTTGGTGATTTGGAATTGTGACTGTGACGGGGGAAATGGTGCATGTCATAGCTTGGATGGTTTCTGATGGGTTCTACTCTTGTACACAGTAGCCGTTCCCCAGGCCTCTCAGCCCTGAAGCCACAGGTGGTTTCATAGGTATAGGGCAGAGAATTCCGTGTCTTCTTGGCTGGGGCCACCACAGCCAGGAGTGGAGTGGACAGTGGAACCCACGGGTTCTCAAAGAGGTTAGGTACTTGGTGCTTCTTGCCTGTCCTGTCTTGAAGCCTGGAATAGCAAGTTCAAGAACCTGAAGGGTATGGGGACCTGGCCCCATGACCTTGGCCTCTGTGCAAATTTGCTGAAAGAACTTTCCAAAGGCTTTGCAAGGCAAGCACAGTCTGTTTCATGGATGTTTTAAAACCAGCTGAGATGGTTTTGCAGCTGAGAAACGTGCTAAAAAGGCATTGCATCCGTTTTGTTAACATTTCCATCCATTGAGATTCGCTTTTATTCCCTTTAGTGAGCAGAAAATGTTACCTTTTCCAGCCCCACAGTGGGAGCTTCTCACTGGGTATGTGGGGAAGGCAAGGGAAGTGTGGGGCAGGGGCTTTTATAAGTGGAAGGGGTTGGTGGTGGGAGGAGAGGAGCAGGAAGGGGCTAGAGCATATCATGGTGGTCTTGGGGACTCTGGAGAGGCATTTGGGATGGAGGAGGAGAAGGGAGAGAGGAAGATGGGCCCAGTGAGATGCCCAGGGGGATTTGAGGAAGTGGAGCTTCCTGACGACTCAGGCTGTTGACGGGGTGGTGACGGAGCACAGGGAACCACTGAGGCTGCATTGAGGACTGCAGGGACGAGGGGAGGGCGCAGGACTAGGAGTTGGGAGGCCCTTGTGGTCCTGGGCAGGTTGCTGGGCTCTGAGCCTCAGTTTCTCAGGGTTTGACTCAGGAAGTGCAGAGTTCCAGCTTTAATGTTCTTGGTGCAGGGGAGAGTCCAGGCTTGGCGTGGTTGTTCCTGATTTCTCTTCCTGGGACTCATAGAACTTTGCACACCCCATGCTTAACCACACGTCTTACCTCATTGATCTTCACAGCTGCTCTGTGAAGCAGGAAAGTGATTTTTATCCTCTCCGCTGGAGGGTCGAAAGGTGGTGTGACCCCTTAAGGGCAAAGAGTCAGGAGTACCTCTTTCTCACTTGTATATGTTAACTGCTTTCAGGTGTGGCCACTGTGGGACCACTGCCCCCCTCCCACCCAACCCCCCCCCCCACCACCACAGCTCTCTGCCTTTCCGTTCTGTGTGGGGTGGCTCTTAAGAAGTGGAAAGTGATCATCTTGTTCCCTTAGTTTAGGATGGAGGGAGGTGGGGCGGGGATTGTGATGGGACTAGGTTAGGGGAAGAGGAGGATAGTGTCATCATTGTGTCTTTAAAACACCCAGGCTTTTGTGGTTGTGTTACCGTAATCTGGCCAGTGTTGACTTTAACCCGAGTTCAGGGGTTAGCCGTGATGCCATACAGGTGAGCCTCATTGTATGCAACAGAAAGCGTGGCTCCTAACAGAAAGCACGGCTCCTCAAAAAGCCGAACGAAAACAGTTGCTTTAGAGAGGAGTTCGAGGGGCTTGTTTGAATTTTATGCTTTCGGGCAGCCTTTTCTAAAATGTGTCCTAAAGAATACCAGTCTGTGAATATGTTTGGAAAATGCTGGGTACTCTGTGGCCGTACAGAAGACTTAGTCTGTATATTAGCATATATTAGTACCTTAAAGACAAGTAATGCAGTATTTTCCAAGCTAATTTGGCTAATGTCCAAGAACCTAGTGTTCTGAGCAGGGAAATTCTGATGTAGGGAAATTCTACACTATGGGCACTTTCTCTTTTTTTTTTTGAAACGGAGTCTTGGTCTATCGCCCAGGCTCCCAGCCTGAAGTGCAGTGGTGCGATCTTGGCTCACTGCAACCTCTGCCTTCTGGGTTCAAGCGATTCTCCTGCCTCAGCCTCCTGAGTAGCTGGGAATACAGGCGCACATCACCACGCCCGGCTAATTTTTGTATTTTTAGCAGAGATGGGGTTTCACCATGTTGGCCAGGCTGGTCTTGAACTCCAGACAGACCTCAGGTGATCCACCCACCTCGGCCTCCCAAAGTGCTGGGATTACAGGCATGAGCCACCATGCCTGGCCCACTATGGGCACTTTCTCTTTAAAGAAAATTTTGGAGGTTCCCTTTGTAACGAGAAGTCCTTGAGAATAGCTCAGAGGGGTCTGGCTCTGGGTCCATCTGCCAGGCTTGCGTTCTGATTCTGTCACCACCTCTGTGACCTTGGGCAAGTTTGTTCTCTTCTGCGGGCCTCCGATTCCTCGTCTGTAAGTTGGGAGTAACTTACTCCCAGTACTCATGGGGTTTTGTTAATTGTTCCTCACAAAAACTAGGGAAACTGAGACCCAGAGAGGCAGTGTGACTTGCACCGGTTCCCACGGCTGGTGGCTGTGGGTTCTTCTTGTCTCCCTGGGCCCAAGCCGTGCAGTCTTCTCTGGGCACCCTCCCTGTCTCTCTGGGGTCAAGGTCAGCTGCTATTTCTCTAGACACATCTTTCCAGCTTCACCCCTCCCTCATTTCAGGTCTCAGAACACTGGGATATTCACGTTTTGTAGTTCCAGCGCCATGTTTGCCTCTGGAGCAGTGGTGGAGGGTGGGGTGGGATACCGTCTTGGTCCTCAGGGTACTCTAAAGTTTAGACCAGGTGAAGGGTGTAGATGCGACAAGATGAGGCACATCCTCTCTGGCCAGGGACCCGTGTTGAGGATGATAATGACTATCCTAATAATTTGTTGTATTTGTCAAGTGCTAACTATGTGTTAGGCACATATTTCTGCCAACAAACTAGAACAGTTTATGTACTTTTATTATCCCCATTTTACAGATAAACTGAGGTTCAGAGTGGGACAAATAACTTGTGGTCAAAGCCACAGGCATAGGAGGAGACAGAGCCTAGCTGTGTCCTGGAGTGGCAGGACTCAGTCCCTGTGTTCCTAACTACCCCTCTTTCCTGCTCCCATGCCGGGAGGGGCTCAGCTTATACATGATCTGGGTGCTTAGGGGTAGGAAAGCTGCTTCTAAGATGGGGTGAAGGGCGAGTGGGGTTTAGTCCGGCGGGGTGGACGTAGCTGCACTTTCTTGGGTTTTCCCCACTCGCCACTCTCTGCTCCTCAAGGCCACCTCCAGAGCTCACTGACCTCTGCCTGAGTGGCTTGGGCCACCTCTCGCTTTAGGAGTGGATTTTTTTTTTTTTTTTTTTTTTTGAGACGGAGTTTTGCTCTTGTTGCCTGGGCTGGAGTGCAGTGGCGCGGTCTTGGCTCACTGCAACCTCCACCACCCGGGTTCAAGCGATTCTCCTGCCTCAGTCTCCCCCAAGAAGCTGGGATTACAGGTGCCTGCCACCATGCCTGGCTAATTTTTGTATTTTTAGTAGAAACAGAGTTTCACCATGTTGTCCAGGCTGGTCTGGAACTCCTGACCTCAGGTGATCCGCCTGTTTTGGCCTCCCAAAGTGCTGGGATTACAGGCGTGAGCCAGGGCATTTCACATCTCTTTAGCTCATGGGGCCTGCCCTTAGCCTTCTTTTGCCCCACCCCAGGGAGAGGCTTTGGGCCTGGCCTCTGTAGTCTGGGTGGGGTGCTGTTGCCACCCCCTCCCTCCAAATTCTCCCTGATTTTAAGCTGGCTGTCAGGGTGAGCTGGCTTTGGCCCCCAGCCAGGGCTGCTCCCAATTCTGCTGCCTTGCTGTACTTCTGCTGCCGCCACTGCCTCCTCCCCCAATGTCTCTCCCCAGACCACTTTAATTTCCATCTGTCAGCAGCTTGTGGAAGGACAGACTACCACTCATGCTCTCTCTCCCTGCCCCCTCTTCCTGCTTGGTATTGACTCACCTGCCCCACTCTCCTCCTGCTTTAATCCCAGTGGGAACCTGGGGCCTGGCTTCCAGGCACTGCCGTGCCAGGCTTTCCCACACCTCTGTGCGTAGTATGAGTGTGTGTGTGTGGGGTGGGGGTGTGGGGATGCGGGGATGCGTGTGTTTGTGTCAGGTGTGGCTCTGTGCCGTGCCTGTAGATGTGGTGGGTGCGAGGTCCATCTGGGGGAGTGACAAACAGCGCACAAGCTCTCTGCCTGAGTGTGTGTGATGGTGATGAATGTGAATGTGTCATTTTGGGGAGTGGCCGCTGGACAGGGCGGGCAGTATGAGTTAGTGAGAGAGTGTGTGGTGTGCTTGTGCCGTGTTTGTATTTTGTTTTTAGATGGGGTCTTGCTATGTTGCCCAGGCTGGTCTTGAACTCCTGGGCTCACGTGATCCCCCTGCCCTGGCCTCCCAAGTAGCTGGAATTACAGGCGTGAGCCCTGCACCCCATGTCCAGCTGTATTGTGTTTTGAGGAAGCAGCAGACAGAAGATGCATATGCTGCATGGAGGTCCAAGGTGACCCAGCCCCTCATTTGCTTGGCAAACATTTGCTTAGTCCGGCGCGTAGCCAGGCTCTGGGTCAGGTGCTGGGGGCATAAAGGCAGAAAGGGCCCCGTTTTTGCCCTTGAGGAGCTCACCGACAGGCTATGGGGACAAAGAACCACAGGAAAGAAGCAGGAACTGGCATGGATTGGAGCCCAGGGCTGGTAGGGCTGAGGCGGCCATGGTGGCTGGGAGGGGGCAGGGCAGCTTCGGAAGCAGAATTGAACCAAGGGGACAGTACCACCAGGGACGGTGTGGTGCGGGGAGCTTTCCAGAAGAGGGAGCAGCTCGTTCAAAGCCAGCAGCATGTGAGGGCCGGGTGTCTTCTGATGGTCCCTGGTTGCTCTGTGAGCCTGGGGAATGAAGAGGCATAACGTGGGGGCTGAAGACAACATGAGTCCGGAGAGGCAGGTGGGCCAGTACCTGGCTCACCCCAAGGAGTGTGACTGCCCGAGCACGTGGCCCTGGGAGGGAACACATTGCTAGCATGCAACAGCAGCAGGAATAATGGCTGCTGCTTCTGCGGTGCGTGCTGACCAGGACTGTGCTAAGTGCTTTAGATTTTTCTTTCATCCTTGCAGCGACTCCGTGCAGTTAGAGGAGCCTGAGCTGTTTCCAGGGGAGGGGGCTCACCCGAGGTCTCAGGGATTTGAACCTGCCAGACTGGCTCAGCTCTTCACCTGTGTGCTGTGTTGCTCAAGGCCCTGACCGTGTCCTTGGAGTCTGGAAAAAGCATGGGAAGGAGGGCAAGGGAGAGTTTGGGGGCTGGGGGAAGGAGCTTGTGAAGTAGGCTTCAGGGCAGGGAGATGGGGCCTTACGATGATCTCGTTCTCTCTCTGTCCCCTTTACAGCCCTGGCAGGTGCCCGGCCCGCCCCCCACCCTCCGGCTCCCAGGGCCTGCTGGAGGAGATGCTGGCAGCCAGCAGCTCCAAGGCGGTGGCTCGGAGGGAGTCAGCGGCCTCGGGCCTTGGGGGCCTGTTGGAGGAGGAAGGAGCCGGGGCAGGTGCTGCCCAAGAGGAGGTGCTGGAGCCTGGCAGGGACTCTCCACCCTCCTGGAGGCCGCAGCCTGATGGTGAGGCCAGCCAGACAGAAGACGTGGATGGCACCTGGGGCTCTTCAGCAGCCAGGTGGAGCGATCAGGGGCCAGCACAGACTTCTCGGCGACCCTCCCAAGGCCCTCCTGCCAGATCCCCCAGTCAGGACTTCTCCTTCATTGAGGTCAGTGGAGGGTGAGCCCATGACAGTGGGTGGGTGAGGGCGATGCAGCGAGAGCCCCATTCCTGGAGCTTCCCTGAGCAGTCCCAGTCCAGGAGGCAGAAAGCGGGTTGTAGGTGCGTCACGTGAACGTGAAGCTCCGGCTGCAGGAGGGGTCCAGCTCCTGGTCAGCTACTGTTGAGGGGCTCCCGTGGGATGAGGCAGCAATGGCAGTGGTGTCACCATTGCCCCAAGCAGGACACCGAGATCCTCGACAGTGCCATGTATCGGAGCCGTGCCAACTTGGGGCGCAAGCGTGGGCACCGGGCCCCGGTCATTCGGCCTGGGGGTACCTTGGGCCTGTCGGAGGCAGCAGACTCGGATGCACACCTGTTCCAGGACTCTACAGGTAGGGCTGATGTATTATTTGGTGATGTCTCTTGATCTCTAGGGCATTAGGCCAAGCTTTTGCAGGGGTTATGGGTTCGGGGAGTCTGGGTGTGCTGCCTTTTCTGAGCCCCTTTCCCGGGCCTTTGCAGAGCCACGGGCATCTCGGGTGCCATCTTCAGATGAAGAGGTAGTGGAGGAACCTCAGAGCCGCCGGACACGGATGTCGTTGGGCACCAAGGGGCTGAAAGTCAACCTCTTTCCTGGCCTGAGCCCCTCAGCCCTGAAGGTACCATCTGATCATTAAGCAAACATGTCCAGCCATCTGGCCAGGTGGCCACCTTGCATGCTGTCTTTCTTCTCTTCATCCATCAATTCATTCCCCTGTCCCCCTCTCCCATTCCTCCTCTCACTCTCCTCTCCATCGAGGGCTCCAGAAGATCCCTTTGTGCCCCGCCGGGCCCTATGCTGTGTGCCAAATGGGATGGAAAGAAGAACAAGATGTGTTCTTATTCTGGAACCTCAGGGGCAGTGGGAGACATGATGCCCATAATTAGCCTGGATGAGAGAAGAAGTTTAGGTGTCCCTGAGGAGAGGCACAGATAAGGGCTGGGCCTGTTCAGAGAGAGAGGAGTTATTTCCTAACAGCAGAGTGGAGGGGGATGGGAAGGGAGGGTGGATTGGAGAAGGCCTCTTGTATGTATTTGATCTTAGCCGGCGGCAGGCACAGGAGTTGGCTCCTGGAGCTGGGATGGTGGGGTGGCATTGCAGGCAGAGGGAACAGGGGTGGGAAGTCACCACTGGCTTTGTCCCACCCAGTTTGTCTGAATTCAATCCTGCCATATGTTTTTGAGGACAGAAAGGTGTGCAAGGCATAGCTCAGTTCTGCGGGAAGTGCATCTCTAAGTGACTTCCCATCCTTTGGGGTGAAAGGACTGCAGAGGGGTCTCTGCTTGATTCTGGGGACTGCACACTCTTGAGATAAGGTCTTACCCCCTGAGAGTCCTACTGCCTGTCCCTCTACTATCTATCTGCTTCTGGACTTGCTTCTCAGGCCAAGCTGCGCCCCCGGAATCGCTCAGCTGAGGAGGGAGAGCTGGCTGAGAGCAAGTCGAGCCAGAAGGAGTCCGCGGTCCAGCGTTCGAAATCCTGCAAGGTCCCAGGACTGGGAAAGCCCCTCACGTTACCTCCCAAGCCAGAGAAATCCTCAGGGTAGGTGACCTAAGCTCTGGGCATCCGCTGACCTCACTGTATTACCCTGATGAAAAGGGAAACTCTCACTTCACAGAAGAGGCAAACTGAGGCTCAAAGAGGAACCTCAGTCGGACATGCCCCAGATGAACGGTATGAAGATGGTGTCAGAATTTGGGTCCCTGCAGCCAGGCCCCAGACTGCCTCTTCTGGTTAGAGGGTGGTTTCTGTCCCTATCACGTCTCCTTGTTGTGTTCAGTTTCCTCAAAGTTTGCATTCTGGACCTTTGCCGTCTGCCTCCTAGGTCAGAAGGATCGTCGCCCAACTGGCTTCAAGCCCTGAAACTGAAGAAGAAGAAGGTCTGAGAAGTCACTGAGGTGAGGACAGGTTCCTGGGCTTGGATCCAGTCTGAGGAGGGCCTGCCCTGGAGGCTTCGGAGGCCTCATGCCCCTTCTGTCCCTTAGCTCCCACCCCTTTCTGTGCAAGTTTAGAAACAGCAGGTGAAGCCAAGCTCCAGAGACTCGGTAGGCCCTTGGCTTCTCTAGATTTTGTCCACAGGGAGGTCAGGTTGTTGTCTGGCCTGGTGTGGAAGAGGAGAAGGGCTACCATCCTGGCCTGCTTCCCTGTGCTCAGGGACAGTCCCCCCATGCTCCCTGGCTGGACGGAGAGTGGTCAGCCAGCCCTTCTGGTCTGGGACCCTGTGGGCACTTACCAGGCTCCATGACCAGGCTTAGCTGGGGGCACCAAGATGGGTGTAGGGGAGAGGAAGCTGAAGCCTCCACAGTGTCCTTCCCTGATGTCTTTTCCTCCCTTCCCATTGCAGGTTCTTCCCACCTGGCAGTCTCAGGCAGTGCCCATTCCTGTGGGGTCCCTGGGTGAGGAGACGGCTGGAGCCCCACCATGCCCCAGGCTGCAGCCTCTGTCCCCTCCACCTCTGAGGAGCGTCTGGGGAGGCACATTTATGCACTTTGTATCACCCTCCGAACTCCCCCCACACCTTCCCTTCCCTGGATTTCATCACTAGTGGTTGAAGGTTTTGTCCCTTCCTCTCCTCCTTCCCTCTCCCTCTCTGCTTCCTCCTCCAGCCTCCCTTGGGTTTTCTTTTGATACCAATTTATAGCATTTTTTATAAAAGCCTTTGATTTTTATAATGGGTGGGACTGTATCCCTGCCTCACCCCAGGTCTCCGTCTGCCCCGCCAGGTACCCCACAGAGACCAATGACATTTTGCCACTTGAAACAATAAATAAAGTTTTTTGGGAATTGGTGCTGTCCAGGTGGTGGTACGTGGTCATGGCTGCCCATTTCCTCTTCCAAGGCTGTGGTTGGAAAATGCTGATTCCCACTCTGCCCCACCAGGGGCTCACTCTGACACTGGATGTGTCACTTCCCTTTTACTGACATCACTGAGAAGGGTATATTGTTTACAATAGGCTGATCAAGAATTCAGACACCCTCTAAATCTTAGTAGTTTAACACAAAAAGGTTTATATTTCATCCATGACACAGTCCAGGGTGGGCTGGTGATAGGGGCACTCTGCACCTTGATGTCATTGAGAGCCCAGGCTCTTTCCCTGTTGTGGCTCGGCCATCTTCAGGGCTTGGAGTCTTCTGCCCCATCTAATGGAGAAAGGGGGAATCTTTTGTGGGAGATACTCTGAGTCCATTCAGGCTGCTGTAACAAAATACTGTAGACTTGGATGGCTTATAAACAACAGACGCCTATTTCTCACAGTTCTGGAGGCCAGGAAGCTGAAGAACAAAGCACTGACAGATTCAGTGTCTGGTGAGGACCTGTTTTGTGGTTTATAGAGAGTGCCTTCTTGCTGCATCCTCGCATACATGGTAGAAGGGACAAGGGAGCTCTCTGGGGCCTCTCTTATAAGGGCACTAATCCTATTTGTGAGACCTGCAACCTCATGAACTAAACATTTCCCTTTTTTTTTTTTTTTTTGAGATGGAGTCTTGCTCTGTCACCAAGGCTGGAGTGTGGTGGTGCAATCTCAGCTCAGTGCAACCTCCGCCTCCCAGGTTCAAGTGATTTTCCTGCCTCAGTCTCCCCAGTAGCTGGGATTACAGGCACTCACCACCACACCTGGCTAATTTTTGTATTTTTAATAGAGATGTGGTTTCACCATCTTGGCCAGGTTGATCTTGAACTCCTGACCTCAAGTGATCTGCCCACCTTGGCCTCCCAAAGTGCTGGCATTAAGGCCTGAGCCACCTTGCTCTGGAAAGTCCTCTCTTCCTAGTAGCACCTTAGAGGTTAGGAATTTAACAACATTTAACAAATGTTGGGCACAAACATTCAGACCATGGCTTTCTACCCATCTAAAGTCTCATCTTAATATTATCTAATGCTGGGCGTGGTGGCTCACACCTGTAATCCTAGCACTTTGAGAGGCCAAGGTGGGCGGATCACTTGAGATCAGTAGTTCAAGGCCAGCCTGGCCAACAGGGTAAAACCCCATCTCTACTAAAAATACAGAAAAAAAAAAAAAGGTATGGTGGTGTGTGCCTGTAGTCCAGCTACTCAGAAGGCTGAGGCACGAGAATCGCTGGAACCTTGGAGGTGGAGGTTATAGTGAGCTGAGATTGCACCACTGCACTATAGCCTGGGTGACAGTGAGACTCTGTCTCAAAAAAAAAAAAGATACGGATGAGACTCAAAGCATAATTCATAATTCATCCTGAGGCAAAATGTTCTCCAGCTGTGAACATGTGGAATATGTGCTTCCAAAATACACTGGTGGGGTAGGTAGGCATAGGATAGACATTCTCATTCCAAAAGGGAGAAATAGGAAGGAAGGGGTAACAGATCTCTAGCAAGTACAAAACTTTAAGGCTGGAAAATAGTCATCTTTGACTTGAGGCTCTGCCCTCTTAAGTCCACAGGGGTAGAGAAGTCCTGTCTTCTGGACCCACTGGGGTGGTGGTCCTGCCTCCATGGCAGTTCTGTCTTGTGGTCCCATTTTCTGTGGAGGCTCTGTGCCTAGGTTGTACACCTGTAGCTATCTTGGGCTGGGATCACACACTGGTGGCCCCACTGGTCTGGGTTGTAAGGTAGCCCTACTTCCGTGGCTCCCCTGGGCATTGCCCTTGTTGGGGCTTTCTACAGTGGCCCTGCCCGTGCGGTGGTTCTTTGGCTGGCCCCTTACACTCTCTGGAGCATCTTTGAAATCTAGGTGAAGGTAACCATGTCCCCACAGTACATATACTCTGTGTACTGGCTGAGATGGCATCATGCGGATGCCACCAAAATTTACCACCTATGTCCTTTAGGGGTGGGAGGAGGGTGGGCACTGGAGCTGAACTTGGGATGGTGAGGAGGACTACACTGAAATGCAGGGAGCAGAGCCTTGAGGTGATGCTGGACAGTGAGCACTGAGGGCCTGTGGCTCCTCTTTTGAAATCATTCTGTTCCTTAGGCCCTGGCACTCTAGGCCTGTGATGGAAGGGGCAGCCCCTATAATCTCTGAAATGCCTTTGGGGCCATTTTTCTATTGTCTTGAAGAATAGTGCGTGTCTGATTCATGCTAGTCTCTGTAGCAAATGCCTGAGCACACTTTCTCATTTTTTACAATATAAATAGGCTGAGACGTTTCCTAATCTTTAAGTTCTGCTTCTCTTTTGATGAAAAATTCCATCTTTAGAGTTTGTCTTCTTGCATTTTACTATAAGCATTTAAGAAGAGCCAAGTTGCACCTTCATTACTTTGCTTGGAAATTTCTTCAGCCAAATATCCTATTTCATTGCTCACAAGTTCTACCTTCCACAAAACAGTAGGACATGAACAAAAGCCAAATGTCTTTGCCACTTTTTAACAAGGGTCATCTCTCCTCCAGTTTTCAATAAGATGTTCCTCATTTTCATCTAAGACCCCATCAGAACAGCCCTTACCATCTGTATTTCTACCAACATTCTGATGACCACTTGGGTGATCTCTAAGAAGATTGAGGCTCTCTCTATAGCACCCCTTTTCTGAGACCTTACCAGAATCACCTTTAATAGTCTGTTTATGGCAATGTAGATTTTTTTTTCTAGCATTCATCTCAAAATTCTTCCAGCTTCTACTCATTACCCAATTCCAAAGCCTCTTCCACATTTTAGATATTTGTTATAGCCGCACCCTACTTCTTGATACACATTTTCTGTTGTTAGTCCATTTGGGCTGCTCTAACAAACTACCTTAAACTGGGTGGCTTACAAACAACAAACATTTATTTCCCATAGTTCTGGAGGCTTGGAGGTCCAAAATCAAGGCACTGGCAGATTTGATGTCTGGTGAGGGCCTTTTCATATGAACCCATTATATTAGTCTGTTCTCACACTGCTGATAAAGACATACCTGAGACTGAGCAATTTACAAAAGAAAGGTTTGTTGGACTTATAGTTCCATGTGGCTGGGGAGATTTCACAATCATGGCAGAAGGTGAAAGGCATGTCTCACATGGTGCAGACAAGAGAAGAGAATGAGAATCAAGCAAAGCGGGTTTCTCCTTATCAAACCATCAGATCTCGTGAGACTTATTCACTACCACGAGAACTGTATGGGAGAAACTGCCCCCATGATGCAATTACTTCCCACTGAGTCCCTTTCACAACATGTGGGAATTATGGGAGTACAATTCAAGATGAGATTTGGGTGGGGACACAGAGCCAAACCATATCACCCATCCTGTTCATAGATAGTGCCTTCTCACTGTCATATGGTGGAAAGGGCAAGGGAGCTCTCTGGGGTCTCTTTTGTAAGGACACTAATCCCATTCATGAGGGTTCCACCTTCATGACCTAATTACCTCCCAAAAGGCTCCACTTCCTAAACCTATCACCTTAGGGGCTAGGATTTTGGGGAGACACAAACATCCAGACCATAGCAGAGATCCACATTCCACTGGGCAGAATTCAACTCATTACCTCCGCCAACTGCAGGGGAGTGAGAAATGAGGTTTAGCTATGTGGCCAGAGAGAGAGGACCTGACATTGGTAAAAATTTACCCCTCTTGCCAGAGGTTTGCCTTCATTGATATCTAAGGGTCCTTTCAGCCCAGGTATTCTAGAATTTCCCCTAACCTGTGTCATTTCTCACCCAAGCCCATGGCCATTGCCATCCTATTGTCCCTCAGCCTAGTTCTATGTCATCCTGGTTTCCCCCAGACTTGCCAGCCTTTTTCAAGGCCAGCCTTGTCTTTCTCTGAGATTTGGTAAAAGGAGAGCATCCTGGGGGCTTGCCCTGATGGGGGCCTGAACAGGGTCACCAAGTTGTGGCAGGTCAGAGCTACAACTGAACTTAGGAATCATCTCATTTACTAGTGCTTCTTAGCCTTTTGTTTTAATTTTTAATTTTTTTTAGAGATGGCCTCTTGCACTGTCACCCAGGCTGGAGTGCTGTAGCATGATCATGGCTCACTGCAGCAGCCTCAAGCTCCTGGGTTCAAGTGATCCTTGAGCCTCAGCCTCTTGAGTAGCTGGGACTACAGGTATGTGTCACCATGCCCAGCTAAGTTATTATTTTTTTAAATTATCTGTAGAGATGGGGTCTTGCTATGTTGCCCAGGCTGGTCTTGAACTTCTGGCCTCAAGCTATCCTTCTGTCTCTACCTCCCAAAATGCTGGGATTATAGGCTGTGAGCTACCACATCGGGCTTGTTTTTAAAAAACTTTTAAAGGGTTATGGGGACTATTGACCTAATGTGAGAATTTGACAACTGTGGACTCTAGAAAAATGCACATATACACAATTTCACCAGCCAGCCTGAATCCCTGTCATTGACTTTCTGGAACACTGGTTTTTAATCTTCATTATGCATCACAATCTCCTGAGGTGCTTATTAAAAATGCACATTCCTGAGCCTCACCCCAGGATTCCAACCCAGGAAGTATGCCCAGGAATCTGCACTGTGGGAAGCCCCTGAAGTGGAGGGTAAAGAAAGGCTGTGGGCCTCAAATGGGTTCCTGGCTGCACCCCTGGGTGGGTCTGGGCCAGGCAGCCCCTGTGCCAGTCTGCCCAGGGCCCAGCAGAACTGAGCTGGCATGAGCTTTGTCCCATTCTTCCCACTCCCTCCTCTCTGTAGGAGTAGGACTGGCAGGAGCCCAAGCCAAATACTTAAGACTCATTAGAGGAACAAATGGAGCCTGGGCTGATCCCAGCACAGGGGCTCTGTGCTGGGAGGGAGAAGAGGCAGGGGGCCATGCTTCTAGGGAAGTCAGAGGAGGGTGTCTCACACTCTGCCAACATCTGGGGAATGGTTCAGAGCCTTTGTTGGGAGTCAGGGAGAGAGGAAGCCAACACACACAAGCTTTGACCCTAAAGGCAGGTGTCTGACCAATAACACAACTGAGAAAGTAATGATATGTCTGCCATGCAGCCCTTTCTCAGACTATGCCCAGGGTTCTCGGGAGCAGCCTCAGAGGGGCAGGTCTTGGTCTTTTGAACCTGGATTTGGATTTTGGAAATAGCTGAAAGTTCTTTGGCTACCCGTATTGGGGAATACTTTGGACAATCAAGCAGGTTGACCAATTTTGGTCAAAGGTTGCCCTGAAGGCAATTTCTGAAGAGTTGAATGAGCTCTGGAGAAGTCACTAGAATAACTGGACAGCCTTTCAGGGGACCACTTTGAAGCCAACATCTCAGTGTTTGTATTAAAAAAAAAAAAAAAAAGGCCTTTTAGAGAGGCTACCTGTGGCCGGGCACGGTGGCTCACACCTGTACTACCCGCACTTTGGGAGGCCAAGGCGGGTGGATCAGTTGAGGTCAGGAGTTCGAGACCAGCCTGGCCAACATGATGAAACCCCATCTCTACTAAAAATACAAAAATTAGCTAGGCATGGTGACGTGCGCCTGTAATCCTAGCTACTCCAGAGGCTGAGGTGAGAGAATTGCTTGAGGCAGAGGTTGCAGTGAGCCAAGATCATGCCAGGTTGGGCGACAGACTGAGACTCCATCTCAAAAAAAAAAAAAAAAAAAAAAGAAGGCTACCTGTTAGAAAGCTGAGTTGTTGTTCCTCCCAGGGGGTTCTTGTTGCCAACTCTCAGAGAGAGAAAGGATCTGGTCCCAATGCAATTACAGTGAGAAATGTCTCAGCACCGTCTCTCTCCTGGCCCCTGCTTTGGAGGTCCTCAGCAAGGGGAGGGCCTGTCTGCCTAGGAATTGGACACCAGGATGATGGAGGATGCCCTTGGGAATGGAACAGCAGTGGAGCCCAGGGAGCAGTCACTGGTGCTCTCCCACGTTTCCCAGGATCCAGGAGCTGCAACTGGTGTTTGGGCCCAAGAACGAGCTGGCCTTTGTCCATGGAGCCCTCAGTATTGGGGTGGTGGTGGTTGGTGTCAGGGGAGGTCTGAAGGGTGCTGCCCACTGCTTGACACTTCCTTTCTCCAGCATCCTGTCTCCTAAACGTAGTCCAGCCATCTGCTGTGGTCATGGCACATTCCCGAGATGGGTAGAGACAGGTGTCCTTCTTGCGGGCAGCTCTGGAGTGAGTAGATCAGAGTTTATATCCTGCTTCTGACTCTTGTGAGCTGGGGACTCTCTCTCTGAGCCTGAGCTTTAAAAGAAGTGCAAAAATAAAGAATCAGCTTTATCTGACTGCTTGAGGTCTGGATGCAGGACAAAGTGCCTGGGACAAACCACACATTCCTGGCGAGTCTCGTCTTGTCTTTTGTTCGTATGGTGAACTGAGAACCCTTTGCAGTCTTCCTGCCTCCCAGACTGATGACACAGAGCAGGCTGAGGCTTGGCCTAGAAGCTGATGGACGAGATTTTCCTGGGGCTGATTTGCCTGGGGCCTCTTGAGCCAGCAGTGTGGGCTTACCCAGGATAGCCCTTTGACCTCTGTCAGCAAGTGTATCATAGATAGAAAAAATGCTGGCAGGTTCAGAAGCACACCGCCCTCCCCCGGGGAGAGTGCCAGGCCCTGGGTGCAGAGCGATAAGGTGTTTTTTTGTTTTTTGTTTGTTTTGTTTTAAGACGGAGTCTGGCTCTGTTGCGCAGGCTGGAGTGCAGTGGCGTGCTCTCTGCTCACTGCAAGCTCCGCCTCCCAGGTTCACACCATTCTCCTGCCTCAGCCTCCCGAGTAGCTGGGACTACAGGTGCCCACCACCACGCCTAGCTAATTGTAATTTTTTGTATTTTTAGTAGAGATGGGGTTTTACTGCGTTAGCCAGGATGGTCTCAATCTCCTGACCTTGTGATCCTCCCACCTCAGCCTCCCAGAATGCTGGGATTACAGGCATGAGCCACTGCGCCTGGCCTTTTTTTTTGAGACATGGTTTCACTCCTTTTGCCCAGGCTGGAGTGCAATGGCACGATCTTGGCTCACTGCAACCTTCGCCTCCTGGGTTCACGAGATTCTCCTGCCTCGGCCTCCTGAGTAGCTGGGATTACAGGCACCCACCACCATGCCCAGCTAATTTTTGTATTTTTAGTAGAGATGGGGTTTCACTATGTTGGTCAGGCTGGTCTTGAACTTCTGACCTCAAGTGATCTGCCCGCCTTGGCCTCCCAAAGTGCTGGGATTACAGGTGTGAGCCACCACGCCCGGCCGATAAAATGGGTTTTAGTTGCTGTCCAAGGACGATTCTAGTTATACTTTTATGTATATAGTACTGTCTCCAAAGAGCCTAACATCTATTCATTTTTTTAAAAAGTAATGTTCATTGAATTTTTTTTCTGATGTCAAAAGCAGTAAGTATTCCTCATAGACCATTTGAAAAATGCAGACCCAGCTACAGACTCAGTTTACTTGCTTGAGCCCAGGAGTTGGAGGCTGTTGTATGCTATGATCGAGCCTGTGAATAGCCACTGCACTCCAGCCTTGGCAACACAGACAGACCCTGTCTCAAAAAGAAGAAAAATTAAAAATATACAGACAAATAAAACTAAGAAAAGAAATTGTCTGTAATCTCACCACCAGATCAACTACTAGCATTTTGAAAGCCAATACTCTTTTTTAGAATAGATTTAGATTTACAGAAAAGCTGAAATGATGGTACAGAGAGTTCTCCTGTACTTCACCCCTAGTTTCCCCTAATGTTAATCGCTTACATTAGTATGGCACATTTGTCAACAACGAATGAAGCAATATTGATACAGTATTGTTGACCACAGTCCATACTTTATTCACATTTCCTTACTTTCTACCTCATTTCTTATTTCTGCTCCAGGATCCTATTCAGGATACTACAATACATTTAGTCATCCTATCTCCTTAGATTCCTTTAGATTGGGACAGTTTCTCAGGCTTGTTTTTTGAAGAACTTGATAGTTTTTGAGACGTTTTGGTCAGGTATTTTGTAGCATGTCCTTCCATTTGAGTCCGTCTGATACTTTTCTCATGATTAGACTGGGTACATGAATTTTTGGAAGTTAGAGGTAAAGTGCCATCTATCTATGATACGTCTATCATATCAATGTGATTTATCACCGGTAACTTTAACCTTGGCCAGCTGGCTGGAGTAGCGCTTGTTGAATTTCTCCACTGCAAGGTTATTCTTTCCTTCCCTTTCCATACCACACTCTTCAGAAGGAATCGCTAATTACTAGAATTTTCATATATTTACTTCAATCTAAATCCATCCCTTTGTCTACACCATCTTGAAAGCAAAATTTCACTAGGCACTTGTTTTCTCTCTTTTTTTTTTTTCGACTCTTGCAGTTTGAAAGTCAACTTAATTCTTTTTTTTTTTATTGAGATATAGACTCTCTCTATCGCCCAGGCTGGAGTACAGTGGCGCAATCTTGGCTCGCTGCAACCTCCATCTCCCAGGTGTGATTCTCATGCCTCAGCCTCCCTCGTAGCTGGGATTACAGGCACCCGCCACCATGCCCGGTCAATTTTTGTATTTTTAGTAGAGACAGGGTTTCATCATGTTGGCCAGTCCTGTCTCGAACTCTTGACCTCAAGTGATCTGCCCACCTCGGCCTCCCAAAGTGCTGGGATTACAGCCATGAGCCACCACGCGCCCAGTCTCAACTTGTTAATTCTTGACACCCTTCAATTTTGCCAGGAGCTGGGATCTGGGTTTTCTAGCCTCGTTACTTTAATTTTCTTATTTTTGGCAATTTTAGCACAGAGACACATATCACCATTCTAAATGGGTCTATGCCTTGGTCTTGTAATTCATTAAAAACAAAATTATCTAGCAATACTATGTACTGGGCACTGTGCTACGTGCTTTCCCTGACTTATTAATCTACATATGACCCCGTGATGGAGGTGATACTACTGTCTTCATGTTATGGATGAAAAACTGTGATTTGCAGTAGTGAAATCAGTTGCCCAGAGTCACCATCTTGCAAGTGGCCAGAATTGGAATTCAGTCCTTGCTTTATGATCCCAGAACTCAGCACTAAACCAAGCTTCACCAGACTGCTTCAGAGCAGTCATAGAGAAGAGAGGTTCAGAGTGCAGGCTTGGGGGTTTGAGTCATACATAACTCTTCCTCTTACTGGCTCTGTAGCCTTGTCTAAGTCACTTCATAACTTTATATCTCAGTTTTCTTATCTGTTCAACGGAGAAAATAATATTATCTGTCTCATAGGGCTGTTGTGAGAATTGAATAGTTTAAAATAATGCCTGGCTCAGGGTAAGCAGTCCATGAGGGTTATTATTGCTATTACTGTGCTATTTTTTCATTTGCATTTCTATTCATTAATCCATTCACCATCTGTGCACTCACTATCCATCCATCCCTTCATCCATCCATCCATCCATACGTCCATCCATCCATCCATCCATCCAGAAGAAGCACTGCCTGTCTTGGACCTTGGTTTCTCCATCTATAGTGAAGGTTAAAGCCCAGTAGGAATTCTTAATCCTTTCTGTGTCATGGACACTTTTGAAGGCTGGTAATATAAAATACATGGAATAACAAAGTTAACTAACGATACCAAAATACAGTTGTCAAAATAAAAAAACAAATTTGTGATATAGCAGTAACAATGCTTATTTATTAATGCATTAAGCGAGATCTAGAGGTGGCCCTGATCATTACTACAATTTTGAGGTAGTATTAATGAACAATGTTTTGAGAATTCTGGAATGCCTGTACTGAGCTATAAAAATGCCTGTCATGTCTCTTGGTGACAAAGTCTTAGGTTCTCCAAATTCTACTGTAGTTTGTTGCTTAGGTTCATGATAGAAATAAATGCTAAACTTCAGTTATAGATTAGTGAACCTTTTCCCCCTGACCTATCCAAGTTCATAGATGGATGAATTCTTAACATGTTCCCCAGATAAAAAACTGCATTGGAGAATGCTTGGGGTCCTTTCCAGCTCTGTGATTCTGTGAGACTCTGAGTCTGATCCTGGAAGGTGCTGGGGGTGAGGAGAGGGACCCTGTGCTCTGAGGATATTGACCCCAGGACAGGCCTACCTAAGGGCCTTTCAAGCCTCAGCCTTGCTTTCCTGGATGGCTCTGTTCTAGACGTTTCAGAGAAACTGGCTGGCTGCTCCCCGCGGGAGCCTTTGCCCTCACTGATCCACGGCTGCTGCGGCAGATTTATTGACCCAGCCCTTTGTTTTCGGGAAACAGCTGCCTTTCTCTTGTTAACCCCAGCCAGCCTGGCTCCAAACAGGATGCCTTCTGTGCTTTGGGCTCAGCGCTAGGGGAAGATGGACATCAGGAGAAGAGTAGCATTCTATGGATAAAGGGCATGCTCCAAAGGCCAGGAGCTATGCTGGGCCCTTTCATCTGGCTCCTTTATCAGCTGGCAGCAAAGCAGTGAGGCTTCTAACCAGGTCTGTCCGAAAGTCAAAGGCTGCGCCCTCCCTAGGGCTCTAGAAGCCTCCAGCCCTGCTTCACCACACAAGTGAGTTTAGGGATTTTTCCACCTCAGGATGCACATATACATCCTTCCCCCGGACCCTCTCCAACACACACACACACACACACAAACACTTCCTCTGATTCACAGACAGCTCAGGGCTGATTTCACCCAGCGTGGGAAGGAGCTATTGATTCAAGCTTTGGGGTGCTGGATAGCTGAGAAGGGACCTCCCCTCCCCTTGAGTTTGTTATGTTCAGTCCCTGGCATCCTACATTGTTATCATGAGTAATCCATGTCTCCAGGTTAAACATTGCCCTCCCCCAGTCTTAGTTTTATAATACAGTTGCTTCTTGACTTATGATGTGGGGTTAGTGCCCAATAAATCCATTGTAAGTTGAAAATGCATTTACTACACCTAACTTACTGAACATCATAGCTTAGCCTAGCCTACTTTAAACATGCTCAGACACTGGCATTAGCCTACAGTTGGGCAAAATCATCTGGCAACACAGTATACTGTCGAGTACCAGTTGTTTGCTCTCGTGATAGTGTGGCTCAGTGGGAGCTGCAGCTCATTCCTGCTGCCCAGCATCACAGGAGAGCATATTTCCACTTATTGCTAGCCTGGGCAAAGATCAAAATTCAAAATTTGAAGAATGGTTTCTAATGAATGTGTATTGCTTTTACACCATCTTAAAGTCAGAAAATTGTACGCTGAACCACTGTAAGTTGGGGACCATCTGGACCACCTCTATACAATTTCTAAGACAGTGCTAATTCTTTTGACCTTAAAGCCTTTTTGGCATTTGTGCAGGGTGCAAGGTGGATACAGTGAAGGGGAAGTGTGGGTTCTGAGGGGCAGAGACCCTGCCAGGGCATGCTGAAGCACTCAGCAAATTCTCCAGTTCAGTTCAATCCAGCAGACATTTTATCACACCATTTGTTATTCAGGCTGGGGATGCGGAGATGAGTAAGGAATAGCCTGTGTCTCCAGGGTCAAGGTCTGTCAAGAAGATAAACTAAAATATGGTGTCATAGGGATGATAATGGTTACAAGTGTACAATGCAAGACCATGTAGCACGGTTCACTGACTCAGGGCTTGAAGAGACATGTCATGGAGCAATTGGCGGGGAAGGACTGGAAGGTGGTGTTTTTCAGAGGGTCAAGGGAGGAGGGAGGGAAAGGCACCCCAGGCAGGTGTAAAAATGTGTGACACTTAGGAAGTGGGAGTTATATAGTTTGCTAGGGCTGCTGTAACAAAATACGACAGACACAAACAACAGAAATTTATTTTCTTATGGTTCTGGAGGCTGGACGTCCAAGAGCAAGGTATCAGCAGGTCTGGTTTCCTCTGAGGTCTCTTTCCTTGGCTTGCAGATGGCTGACTTCTTGCCCTGCCTCCTCTGAACATCCCTGGTGTGTCCGTGTGTCCAAATTTCCTCTTCTTATAAGGACACCAGTCAGACTGGATTAGGGACCATTCTAAGGGACTCATTTTAACTTAACCTCTTTAATGACCCAGTCTCCAAATATAGTCACATTCTGAGGCACTGGGGGGTCAGGACTTCAACATATGAATTTTGGGGGAACACCATTCAGTCCATAATAGAAGCTGACTGCAAAAGACAGGGGGTGGTAGGGGGATGGGCAAAGCCAGATCAGGAAAAGGCTTGATTGTTGGGGCTTCACATTTTAGGACTTAAGATGCTGGCTTCTGGTTTGAGCCTTGGGAGTTTCATTGGAAAGCAAAAGCATCTCAGCTTCCCACCCCGTTTCTGGTAATTCTGGGAGGGGTGAAATCTCTCAGGCCCACAGCCCCCAGGGTCTGTGATCAGAGCCATGCCCCAAGGAGTGGCTAGCATTATCCCTCTGCCTAGGCCCTGTGGAAAATCCCCACCCAGCTAGGTGGGTCCCGGAATCTTATCAAGTGAGAAACCTTCCTGCCTTCCAGAAACTCCCATTTGGATAGACATGGATGCACAGAGCCCATGCTAAGCAGTCTTACAGGCAATGGAGGGCTCTGCCTCACTGAGAGGAAGAGAAAGACCCTAAGACTGTAGTTCTGCCTTGGCCGTCAGAGGAGTCCGGGCCTTACCTGCCTCCCTGGCTGCACATTCCAGTCCCTCCACCACTCCCCTTCCTGCTTTCCTCCTCCATAAAATAAGGGTATGAAATGAAACCATGATAGTCCTGGCACCTTCCAGCACTTTTGGATTCTAAAACGGAGAAGGAAGTCTGGGCAGAAGGGCAGAGGAGGGGCTGGAAACACCTCCCCTAAAATGCTGCATCCACAAGCCATTGACTAGCCAGAGCGGGGAGGCCTGGGAGTCTGCTTTTCTAGGGCATGTAAATCTGGCTAGGGGAAGGGATGGAGAGTGAGGTGCTCTGACTGGATAGGATAATTCTTTTGTTCCCCCTCTCCTCTCCTCTTGAGGATAATTCCTTTACAAAATTTTTATTGAAGTAGAAAATCCATAGTGTCACCAGTGCATGACTTTTAAGTGTAGGAGTTGATTAATTTTTTACATATGAATACACTTGTGTAACAAATGTGTTAATATAAAGAACATGCCAGAAGCCTAGAAAGCTCCCTCCCTTGTGCCCCTTTGCACCCCACCTGCAGGTAACTGCTATTCTGAACTTAGTTTTGTCTTTCCTTGAATGCTGCATAAATGGAATCACACAGTTAGCACTCTTTTGCACCTGTCTTCTTTTGCTTATCATTATGCCTGGGAGATTCTGCCATTGGATTCTGCAGGAAATAGGTCCCCGGATAGGGGAAGATCCTCTGCAGTCTCTTTTGCGTATGCCCTTGAGCTTGGCTCCTTCCTGGAAGGCAGGGTGTGAAGGCTTTAAAACATGGCCTCCAAATTCCTTAATTCCTTGACATTCCTCTGCCTTAGTAGCTGGAATACTGGTGCTTGGAGCACTGGGCCACTAAGTAGGAAGTCTCAGTACTCTAAGGCCATCATGCATTGAAGAAGCCAAGCTGCAGGGAGAGACCACATGTAGGTGCTCTGTTGTTAATCCCAGCCTTTGAGTCTCCCATCATATGAGCAAAATGGCCCCAGATAACTACAACCCTAGCCATCAAATCATTCCTTGCCTTCGGGTCTTTCTGGTTGAGGCCCCAGATTATGGAACAGATACAAGTCATCCCTCTGGTCATCTTCTTCACCCCATGCCCTGCCCAAGTTCCTGACCCACAGAATAAAGGTGCATAATAAAAATGGTTATTTTAAGATGCTAAATTGTGGGGTAATTTGTTATGTCACAGTAGTAACTGGAACACAGGGTGAGAAGTGGCTGGACTTGGGAAGGGTAAGTTTAGCCTTCTCACTGGGTGGCTGTTCCACAGTAAGTCTACTGGCTGATGTACAGCCCTGCCTTGGCCTCATCCTCTGGTCCTGTCTTCAGAGCTTCTCTTATTCACTTTAGGCCAGTTGTAAATTGTCTGCCCCATTTCCCTCTAAAGCAAAAGGCATCTTCTAGTAAGGGTGTGATTTTTCCTGTAGACTGTTGCCTTTCCATCAGAGTCTCCTGAAGAGGTGGGCACATGGAATATTTGGGCAGGACAGATAGTTTCTGGCATGTGCAAGTAAATTTCTTAACACAGTCCCAAGCACACAGTCCTCAAGAGATGTGCCTACCAAAGGCATTATCCTTCCCTTCCATATAGTCTGTTCCTTCATCACTAAAAAGAAATACCTGAAGCTAGGTAATTTATGAAGAAAAGAGGTTTAATTGGCTCATGGTTCTGTAGGCTGCAGAGGAAGTATGGCACTGGCATCTGCTCCTGGTGAGGGCCTCAGGAAGCTTACAATCATGGAGGAAAGCAAAGGGGGAGCAGGTGCATCACAGAGCAAAAGCAAGAGCAAGAACGAGAGAAGAGGGAAGTCGTAGACTCTTTTAAACAATAAACAATCAGATCTGGCAGGGCATGGTGGCTCACCCCTGTAATCCCAGCACTTTGGGAGGCCGAGGTGCGTGGATCATGAGGTCAGGAGTTCAAGACCAGCCTGGCCAAGATGGTGAAATCCTGTCTGTACTAAAAATACAAAAATTAGCTGGGTGTGATGGTGGGCACCTGTAATCCCAGCTACTCGGGAGGCTGAGGCAGAGAATTGCTTGAATCTGGTAGGCGGAGGTTGCAGTGAGCTGAGATTGCACCATTGCACTCCAGTCTGGGTGACAGAGCAAGACTCTGTCTCAAAAAAAAAAAAAAAAAAAATCAGATCTCGCATGAACTGGTGGAGAGAGAACTCACTCATTACCAAGGGGATAATGCTGAGTCATTCATGAGGAATTCGCCCCCATAATCAAATTGCCTCCCACCAGGCACCATCTCCAACATTGGAGGTCACATTTCAACATGAGATTTGGAAGGGACAAACATCCAAACCATATCATTCCGCCCCTGGCCCTCTAAATCTCATGTTCTTCTCACATTGCAAGATACAATCATTCCTTCGCAACAGTCTTCCAAAGTGTTAACTCGTTCCAGCATCAAGTCCAAAGTTTTAAGTTTTATCTGAGACTCACTCCTTCTACCTATCAGCCTGTAAAATCAAAAGAAGTTATTTACTTTCAAGATACAATGGTGGTACCAGCATTGGGTAAATATTCTCATTCCAAAAGGGAAAAATCAGCCAGAAGAAAGGGGCAGTAGGCCCCATACAAATCTGAAACCCAGCAGATCAGTTATTAAATCTTAAAGCTCCAAAATAGTCTCCTTTGATACCATGTCCCACATCCAGAGCACACTTATGGAAGGGTGGGACTCTAAGGCCTTTGGAAAGTCTGCCCTTGTGGTTTTGCAGGGTACAACCCCCATGGCCACTCTCAGGGACTGGAGTTGAGTGCCTGAGGCTTTTCCAGGCTCAGGATGCAAGCTGCTGTTGGCTGTACCATTGTGGGGTCTGAAGAGTGGTGGCCCCTTTCTTACAGCTCCACTGGGTAGTGCTCTAGTGGGGACTTCGTGTGGAGGCTCCAACCCCGCACTTTCCCTTTGCACTGCCCTAGTAGAACATCTCTGTGGTGGGGTCCACCCCTGCAGGAGGCTTCTGCCTGGGCTCCTAAGCCTTTCCATGCATTCTCTGAAATATAGGTGGAGCTACCAAGCCTCCTTCACTCTTGCATTCTGCACACCTACAGGCTTAACATTATGTGGAAGCCACTAAGGCTTACAGCATGAGCCCTCTAGAGTGGCAGATTGAGCTGTACCTGGGCCCCTTTGAGCCAAGGCCGTAGCCAGAGTAGGCCTGAATCAGGAAACAGTGTCCTGAGGCTGTGCAGGGCAGCAGGTGCCCTGGGAGTGGCTCCTGAAACTGTTCTTTCCTCCTAGGTTTCTGGGCCTGTGATGGGAGGGGCTACCTAGAAGATTTCTAAAATGCCTTCAAGGCCCTTTTTCCCATTGTCTTGCTTATTAGCACTTGGATCCTTTTTTAGTCACACTAATCTCTCTAGCAAGTGGTTGCTTTGCGGCCTGCTTGTATTCCTCCTCTGAAAATGCTTTTTCTTTCTTTACCACATGGGCAGGCTGCAAATTTTCCAAATTTTTATGCTCTGCTTCCCTTTTAAATACAAGTTCCAAACATAAGTCATTTCTTTGTCTCTGTATTTGATTGTAGGTTATTAGAAGCAGACATACCACATCTTGAATGCTTTGCTGCTTAGAAATTTCTTCTGCCAGATACCCTAAGTCATCACTCTGAAGTTCAAACTCCCACAGATCCCTAGGGCCTGAACACAAAGCAGCCAAGCTCTTTGCTAAGGTGTAACATGGGTGACCTTTGTTGACCTGCATTCTCCATTAAGTTGCTCATTTTTATCTGAGACCTCATCAGCCTGGACTTCATTGTCCATATTTCTATCAGCATTCTGGTCACAACCCTTTAACCAGTTTCTAAGAAGTTTCAAACTTTCCCTCATCTTCCTGTCTTCTTCTGAACTCTCCAAACTCTTCTAACCTCTAACTGTTACCCAGTTCAAAATCTACTTCCACATCTTCAGGTATCTTTATAGCAATGCCCCACTCCTTGGTACCAATTTTTTTGTATTAGTCTGTTTTTGCGTTGCTATCAAAGAATAAGTATTCCTTGAGACTGGGTAATTTATAAAGACAAGAGGTTTAGTTGGCTCACAGTTCTGCAGGCTGTACAGGAAGCATGGCACTGGCTCTGCTCCTGGTGAGGGCCTCAGGAAGCTTACAATCATGGAGGAAGGCAAAGGGGGCGCAGGTGTGTCACATGGTGAGAGTGTAAGAGAGAAGAGGGAGGTCTCAGACTCTTAAACAACCAGATCTTGTTGCAGGAAGTCAGGGACCCCAAATGGAGGGACTGGCAGAAGAACGTGGATTGTGAAGATTTCATGGACATTTATTAGTTCCCCAAATTAATACTTTTATAATTTCTTATGCCTGTCTTTACTGCAGTCTCTAAATTGTGAAGATTTCATGGACACTTATCACTTCCCCAATCAATACCCTTGTGATTTCCTATGCCTGTCTTTACTTTAGTCTCTTAATCCTGTCATCTCGTAAGCCGAGGAGGATATATGTCGCCTCAGGACCCTGTGATAATTGTGTTAACTGCACAAGTTGTAGAGCATGTGTGTTTAAACAATATGAAATCTGGGCACCTTGAAAAAAGAACAAGATAACAGCAATGTTTAGGGAACAAGAGAGATAACCTTAAACTCTGATTGCTGGTGAGCCGGGCAGAACAGAGCCATATTTCTCTTCTTTCAAAAGCAAATGGGAGAAATATTGCTGAATTCTTTTTCTCAGCAAGGAACATCCCTGGGAAAGAGAATATGTGCCTGAGGCTGGGTCTCTGAAATGGACCCCTTGGGTTTGGCCATCTTCTATGGTCAAGACTGTAGGGATGAAATAAACCCCAGTCTCCCATAGCGCTCCCAGGCTTATTAGGAAGAGGAAATTCCCACCTAATAAATTTTGATCAGACCGGTTGCTCTCAAACCCTGTCTCCTGATAAGATGTTATCAATGACAATGGTGCCCGAAACTTCATTAGCAATTTTAATTTCGCCCCATCCTGTGGTCCTGTGATCTCGCCCTGCCTCCATTTGCCTTGTGATATTCTATTACCTTGTGAAGTACGTGATCTTTGTGACCCACACCCTATTCGTACACTCCCTCCCCTTTTGAAAGTCCCTAATAAAAACTTGCTGGTTTTGCGGCTTGTGGGGCATCATGGAACCTACTGACATGTGATGTCTCCCCCGGACACCCAGCTTTAAAATTTCTCTCTTTTGTACTCTGTCCCTTTATTTCTCAAACCGGCTGACGCTTAGGCAAAATAGAAAAGAACCTACGTGACTATCAGGGCACGTTCCCTGATAAGATCTCACATGAACTAACCAAGAGAGAATTCACTCATCACCAAGGGGATGGCACTAAGCCATTCATGAGGGATTCATCCCCATGTTGCAATGCCTCCTGTTAGGCTCTATCTCCAATATTGGAGGTCACATTTCTTTTTTGTTTGTTTCATTTTGTTTTATTCTTACTGCTTGTATAACTGCAGAATGGAGGTCACATTTCAACATGAGATTTGGA
Organism: Homo sapiens; assembly: GCF_000001405.40. Taxonomy (NCBI): domain Eukaryota; kingdom Metazoa; phylum Chordata; class Mammalia; order Primates; family Hominidae; genus Homo; species Homo sapiens. Next base: position 57,281,555 of record NC_000011.10, on the reverse strand, counting down.
GGGAACAAACATTCAAGCCATGTCACCTTCACATGGCAGGTGTCCTGTCTGTGGCCTCTGGATAGGGACACCACTCGGGGGAATGATTTTGGTACCCTGGTGATATGGTTTGGCTGTGCCTCCACCCAAATCTCATCTTGAATTGTAATCCCCATGTGTCTAGGGAGAGACCTGGTGGGAGGTGATTGGATCACGGGGGTGGTTTCACCCATACTATTCTAGTGATAGTGAGTTCTCACGAGATGTGATAGTTTTATAAGGGGTTCTTCCCCCTTTGCTCACACTGTCTCCTGCCTGCATGTGAAGAAGGTCCTTGCTTTCCCTTCACCTTCTACCACGATTGTAAGTTTCCTGAGGTCTCCCCAGTCATGCAGAATTGTGAGTCAATTAAACCTCTTTCCTTTATAAATTACCCAGTCTCGGGTATTTCTTTATAGCAGTGTGGGGACAGACTGATACACCTGGCTCTCAGGACTCTTTTCTGAGGGCCCAACTCTGTGTCAAGCTCTTTATCTACTTATGAAATGTCACTCTTGCTATATGGATAGAGTATAGTATGATACTTAAAATGATGACTTGGGCATAGTGGCTTTGCCACTTGTTAGCTTTGTGACAATGGAGAAGTTGTCTGACTTCTTTGAACCTCTGTTCCTTCATATCTAAAAATGGCATAATAAGAAATCATTCTGGATTTGTCCAGGATTGCAGTGAAGACTAACAGAGATATTAATGCCTGTACAGCATTTGCTTAGTACCTAGTAAGCCTTCAATAAATGTTAGCCCAACAAAAGAAAACAAACTGGGGAAGGGAAGAGTGAGGGCAGCTTACATGATAGGCATTATTATTGAATTTTTTAAAAGATGAGTATAGGCCTGAGGTCATAGAACTGATAGATAGAAGGGACGTGGTGCCAATTTGGGTCTGTCTGTTGCCAAAGCTCATGTTGCTTCTGTTCTGTCTCTGTCTTTAGAGCAGGTGTCTGTGGGTCTGGAGCCCATGTGTGACCTGGCAGAGTTTATGCCACACCCGGCCTTACAGCCATACCTGGTGGTAGTAGAGCTGTGTTACTCTCCTTTGTACATGGTGTCAGCCGGTTACAGTGTATCCTCCAGCTCCAATGGGCCTGGCCATGCTGGCCACTAGCAATGAGCTGCTGCCAGGACTGAAGAGCCCTCTGGGCACTGAGGGTCGCAGTACAACACAACTCTCCTGCCTCCAGCCTCCAGAGGTCCTGATTTTGTTTTCCTTCTGTGATTCATACTGTTGGGAATACAGGGGCTTGGAAACAGCCCTTGCCTCAAGCAGATGTACAAAGAAGAGCTTGGTTTATTTTACTTTTTTAACAGATTTATTGATAAATAATTTACCTGCCATATAAGTCACCCATTTAAAGTGTACAATCCAATGGCATTTAGTATATTCAGAGTTGCGCAACCATCATCACAAGCAACTTAAGAACATTTTTATCAGCCCATAAAGACACCTTGTACCCCTTAGCCATAATTGTCTGCCCCCACCCCCAGCCTCACACCTGCACCAGCCCTAGGGAACTGCAAATCTACTTTCTGTCTCTATAGACTTGCCTATTCTGGACATTTCATTTCATTTCATATAAGCAGAATTATGAAATATGTGGTTCTTTGTGACTGCTTCTTTCACTTAGCATAATGTTTTCAAGGTTCCTCCATGTTATAGCATGTGTTGGTTCTTCATTCCTTTTTATTGCCAAATAACATTCCATTGTATGACTATAGACATCTTTTTTTTTTTTTTTTTTTTTTTTTGAGACAGAGTCTCCTTCTGTTGCCCAGGCTGGAGTGCAGTGGTGCAATCTCAGCTCACTGCAACATCTGCCTCCCAGGTTCAATTGATTCTCCTGCCTCAGCCTCCTGATAGCTGGGATTACAGGCTTGTGCCACCATGCCTGGTAATTTTTTTGTATTTTTAGTAGAGATGAGTTTCACCATGTTGGCCAGGCTGGTCTTGAACTCCTGACCTCAAATGACCAGCCCGCCTCCGCCTCTCAAAGTGCTGGAATTACAGGCGTGAGCCACCTTGCCCTGCCGACTATAGACATCTTATTTGGTGCATATTTGGGTTGTTTTCACTTCTTGGCTGTTACGAATGATGCTTTTATGGGAACTGGTGTGCATGTTTTTGTGTGGATATATGTTTTCATCTCTTGGATATATGTAACTAGGAGTGGAATTGTTGAGTCATACTGTAACTCTATAACTTTTGGGAAGCCTCCAGGCTGTTTTTCAAGAAGTTGCATCCATTTTCCATTCTCCCCACCACCCCCTGGAAGTGTGTGAGGGTTCTGGTTTCTTCACATCCTCACCAACACCTGTCTTTTTGATTTTAGCTCACCTAGTGCGTATGAGGTCACGTCTTTATCATTTTGCTTTGCATGTCCCTGATGGCTGATCATGTTGATCACCTTTCCATGTGCTTATTGGTTTTTAAAAAATGTCTATTCGGACCTGATATGGTTTGGATCTGTGCTCCCACCAAACGTCATATAGAATTGTAATCCCCAGTGTTGGAGGTGGGGCCTGGTGGGAGGTAATTGAATCACGGGGCCAAATTCTCATGAATGGGTTAGCACCACTCCCTCGGTGCTGTTCTCCTGATAGTGAGTGAGTTATCGCGAGATCTTGTTTAAATGTGTGTAGCACCTCCCCACTCTCTCTCTTCCTCCTGCTCTGGCCATATGAGTTGTTTGCTCCCCCTTTGCCTTCTGCCATCATTGAAAGCTCCCTGAGGCTTCCCCAGAAGCTGCTATGCTTCCTGTGTAGCCGGGAGAACCATGAGCCAATTAAGCCTCTTTTCTTTATAAATTATCCTGTCTCAGGTATTTCTTTATAGCAATGTGAGAATGGACTAATACAAAACCTTTTGCTGATTTGTCTTTTGATGATTAGGTTGTAAAAGTTCTTTTTTTTTTTTTGTAGAGATGAGGTCTCACTATGTTGCCCAGGCGGGTCTTGAATTCCTGGGCTCAAGTGATCCTCCTACCTTGTCCTCCCAAAGTACTGAGATTACAGGCATGAGCCACAGTGCTCTGCCAGGTTGCAAGGATTCTTTACATATTCTCCATACTAGTCCCTTTGGCTGGGGTATTTTTAAGGATCTTTAGAAAGGTCATGTCATAACTTCCTTGTTCCTGTGTTTACTGGCTGAAGAATTGCATCAGAAACAAATCACTGGCTCTCATTCCACGAGGTGGAGCTGACACCCCTTGAAAGCACCAGCTGACATGTATTCCTAGTGCTGGTGAAGACAGACAGGATCCTTTTGACTCCCTTTCCCCTTTTCTCTCTTTTTGGCTTCACCGAAATCAGACAACCTCAAGTGAATAGAGTGGAGGGCACGCCAGGATCCCCTGCGGGATTGTTTCAACCCCCACAGTCTCGCCTGCCTCCAAGAGTTGGATATGTTTTCCTTTTCCTTCCCTGCCCCCACGTCCCACTTTCTTTTGAAAACCACTGTCCCAAGGAATACTTTGGAGAGTCATCCTGGCATGGCATGAAATGGCCTCTGGGTGGCAGCAAATCTGAGACGAAGACCTGGGATTGGCGGCAGGGACCAGTGCCGAATCTCAGACAAAGAAAAGAACATTCTCTTCTCGCTGGCAGTTGCACGTGAAGCCGGGTTAGGTGGTCCGTTTGTTCTCCAGCTGAAGCCAAGAGTGTCATGTAGTGAGACACGATCATGCCCTGAGGGAGGAAGGAAGGAATAGTGGCATCTTTTTGTCTCCCAGAAAGATCTTGGCAGCATCATTCAGTGTTTATTAAGTTCTAATGTTGAGCCAGGCATTGTGCTAAGAATTTTATATTCCTTGTCTCATTAATCCTCACCATAATCTTATGGGTTAGGTACAGTGGATCGTTATTTTCCAAATAAGGAAAGTGAGCGCAGGTAGATTAACTTGCCAGCTATCACCCAGCTAGCAGGTGGCAGAACTGGGATTAAAACCCAGGCCATCTGACTTCAACACCTGTATGCTTAAACAACTCCCTCTTGGTGCACAGAGCACCCAAGCTTTTGAATTCAAATCCTATGGATGTTCATTTTCACATTGTCGATTTCCATAGAAATTTGCATGAGACACAGCTGAACTGTAGAAGAAAGAGCCCCTAGCATGTGTTAGAAAACTGGCACTGAGATGTATTGCAGCACGCACAGGTTTTGAGCGACTTTGGTCAATTACATCATCCTTCTCTAAATTTCCTTATTGCACAATAGAGGTAGAGATAGCATACCCACGTCATAGGGTTATTGTGAGGGTCAAATGAGATGATTGCTGTATGATTTGGAAAATCTAAAATTTGAAAAGTCAGGGATTGTTATTCTTACTGCATTGTTCAGTTAATTCAGGTCAAATCCTGTAATTAACAGCCATAAACTTAGATAACAAGAGTTCTGAGTCTTAGCCAAGAAGCTTAGGGTTGGCTTACTTGTGAGCAATATTCAAGACAATAGACATGGGGTACCACCCAAGTGTTGGGTGCTTTGTACCTGGTTAATTCTGGAATCCTATCCATCTCTCTCCACTCCCCAGCCACCAGCTTGAATCTTGGCTCTTTTTTCCTCCCCCACCCTCCGAATTTGTACTGACTGGGCTGGCTGAGCCTTTATCTTCTGCATGACCCCTGGCAGGAGTGTATGGTTCTTTGTGGCAGAGATGGGATATGTTCGCCAAATGTCCACACACTAATTAGTTGGGTGAGTGAAATGTGAGCAGGAGTGACATGTGTTCCCTTTAGGCTGAGGCAGCAAAGAGCCAGTGCTCCTCTTCCACTTCTCCCTTCCCCTGTTAGAGGCCTGCTATCAGATGGAAGAGGGCCACTTGCCCCACATTAGTCCATAACATGAGTAGGACATAAATCTTGGTTGTGATAAGCTACTGAAATTTGAGGGTTTATTTGTTCAGAGTGTAACTTAGTGTTACTTTGATGAATGTATTCCTTGATATGAGTCTACAAAGAGGTGAGGAGGAAGACCTTATTCCATGAATAAAGATATGACATGTTCAAGGGAGAAGGAGAAAATTGGTGTAGACAGGGCTGAGGTTCGTGTTCATAGGGCCCTAGAAGATAGTGGCTAAGGTCACACACTTTGAGTTGTGGCTCTGCCATTGACTGGCTATGTGCCTTGGACAAGTTCCTGTCTCTGAGCCTTGGTTTCCTTCACTGTAAACTGTAGACAATAACAGCATCCAGACAATGGAATTGTGGAGATTGAATGAGTACTTAGCTCAGGGTAAGTGCCTGGATAAGAATTAACCATGTTAAATGTCAGTCATTGTTATAATAACAGAGGGCTGGGAAACTGATTTCAGGACAAGAAAAAGGGCTTTCTATATTTACAGTAATCTGGAGCCTAGGGTGGTAAATATGAGAAGAGGAGATAGAGTGTTCTGAGGGCACTCAGAACCAATTCATCCACCTTTCATTGCACTCCTCCATCTGTCTATCCATTCATCTATCCATCCATCCATCCATACATCCGTCCATCTGTCCATCTGTCCGTATATCCATCCATCTATCCATCCATCCATCCAACAAACAAAACAATTAATAAATTGTTAATTTATTAATCTGTCAGGGAGTCTAACCAACAGGGAGATAGAGCCTGAAACACTAGGTTATGGGATAAATCTTTTACGGACCTGTTGCCTCTTTAACAGGAGGTAGAAAAAAATAGAAAAGTCAGGAGGGGAGCCAAGGCCAATGACGTCTCAATAGGAAGGGCAGTGACAGGAAACCAGCATCAAGGCTAAGTGCTTTTTCTTGGTGTGTGTTCTCTCTGGAGGAGGAGTGGGTGAGGGGAATCTCCAACCCAGGGCACCTTAGTCATGGAGTCTCTGGCTTTCACTCCACCAGGCTTCTGGGCTGGTGGAAGGAGAGCAGGATGATGGAAAGCCAGGCTATGCTCCGCTCAAGTGAAATCTTAGAGCCACAGTGAGTGGGAAATGTCACCATGCGCAGCCTGTCATGGCCTCTGCAGCAACATCCCTTGCAGACTCTTCGGTGTGTTTGGACCTCCAGTGAACAGAGCTGTAAAGTCTGGGCAGAGTGAATGTGGTGGACTTTATGTGCTCTGTTTCCATTGCCCTGTCTCCTGGTTGCTGAGCCCACTTTAAACCCATAGGTTCAGTGAGACTGATTCTATCTCCAGCTCCAGGAATGGGCAAGTGATGTATGTTTGATAAATTACAGTGTTGATTCTTGAAGGCCACAGTGATTGGCCCAGGGGTGGGCATGTGACCAAACTGGTCCCATGAGATTCTATTGGTAAGCCTTTTTTTTTTTTTTCGTTTTTACTATAATAATTTTGGCATCTATTGGTGAACTTTTATTTGAACTATTGGGGAATAGAATCTCTCTTAATAGACTCATAGTTAGAAGGATATGACCTAGAGCTTTTGGAATTTAGTAAGTATAGATAAAGCCTGCCTGAGATTGAGGCTAACACAGCAAAGCATAGTGTTGAGAGAAAGACAGAGGCCACATCCTGCATGTGAGACCCTGGATCCCACCATACCTGAAGGCAGCTGACTTTTTCAGTTATTTGAGATTTCTGACTGGTACACTGGCATGGTTTTCTAAAGAACACCTTTGGCTTTCTGAATATGATGAGATGGGGAATCTCACCACTAGCATGCATATCCACATTCTATCTTTCCAAGCTTCCACATTTTACAATGGACAAATTAGTCTGCACCAGTTTCGGAGCTGTGCTCCTGGGATAGAAAAACAAACAGGACCTGGGCCTTATCACAGTCACAGTTTAGAAGGGGTGACAAACATAACCAGAACAGTTCAGCATAAGATGATAAGAGATAAAAACTAAGTGTCCTGGGAACTAAGAAGAGAAAGAAAGCCTGAATCTCAGAGGGAGAGGAGTGTCAATTAAAGCTATTTAGAGGAGATAATATTTATTCATTCATTCAATAGGTATTTACTGAGCATCTACTATGTGCCACAAACTGTTCTAGGCACTGGTGATATAGTAGTGATCACAGACAGATATGGTCCCTGACCTAAAGGAACTGACAGTCTATGAGAACAGGAGCATCAGATTTCTCAGAATAACCCTGGGGGCAGGGCAGGAATATGGTGCTATGAGAATAAATAACAAGGGAACCAGACTTGACTTTGGGATCTATGGGAGGCTTCCCTGAAGATGAAATTCTTCAGCTGATAGTTGAAGGAGAAGCAGGAATTAACTAGGCCAAGTGGAATGAGTGTGGATGTGTGGAAGCATCCTTAGCAGAGGAAATAGCACCTCCAAAGGTTCTGTAGAGGGAAGGAGCAAAAGGTCCAAGGGAAGGAGCAAAAGGTGCAAATAACTATTATAATAAGACCCATGTGTTTGGAGCACAGAGAGAGGAGAGGGTAAGAGATGAAGCTGGAGAAATAGACAAGAGTCAGACTCTAAGGGCCTTAAAACCCATTGCCTTCTTATGGGTTTTTGGTCTGTCTTTGATACTGGATCTGGAAGGATAAGTGAGCAAATGGCACACCAGAAGGAAGAAATGGCATGTGCAAAGGCAAAGCTGTGTGAGGCTTAGAGATCACCCCATAGCTATGTGTGCTTGAAGTGCCAGGGATCGTCATGGGGCCAGACTGTAGAATACCTTGTTTGCCCAGCTAAGGCTCATGATATTCTCTTGCTGGTTCTTGTCTTGACCTGCCCTCCCTACTCCCTGCCTGTTGATGACGTATGTTTTTTCTAACATACCTCCATAGCTCCTCTCCCTCCGAATAGTATTTCAACTAACTCTTGATGCAAAATAAGCTATCCCTAGACTTAATGGCTTAAAACAACAATGACTTATGGTTTCTCATTATTCTTTGGGTCAGGAATTTGGGCAGGGTTCAGCTGGGTGGTTCTTCTGCTCTAGTCACTCACTCAGTTGCATTTATCTGGAAGCTGGGCCTGGGATGGAAAGCCTAAGAAGGCTTCATGCATGTATCTGGTACCTTGGTACTCTTCCACTTGGCTTCCCTCTCTCTCCGTATGTCCCTGTCCATAGCTACCTTGGGCTTCCTTGCAGCATGGTGGACCCAAGGTAACTAGACTTTTACATGGTGGCTAGCTTTCAAGAAAGAGGTAGCAGAGCTGCTAGTCCTCTTTGGTCTGGGTTCAGAATGGTCACAGTGTCACTTCTGTCATATTTCAGTCACTAGAGCAAATCAAAAGGCCACCCCAAGTTGAAGGGGAGGAAAAAAAGACCTAACTTCTTGATGTGAGGAGTTGTGAGCAAGAGCAGAGAGGGAAGGAATCTATGGCACCATTTGTATATACTGCTGACCACACCCAGAACCTTTCAAACTCCATCTCTACACCCACCAAGCAGTGTGACTGCTGAGGCTACTCATTCCAGAACTCTGCTCTAAGATCTCTGGGGTAGTGGGATCTTTTTCCAGTTACCCCTTCTGCATGCTAATGTTGAAAAAACATGGATGAATCAGCACCAGCTCTGCCATATGCTAGGTGGTGACTTTTGATGAGTTACTTCATTTCACTTTGCATAGGTTCAGCATGAATGAAATACCCTTTTGTGTGTGTGTGTGTATGTGTGTGTGTGTGTGTGTCAGAGACTTTTTTGGGTATAGCAATAGTTTTTGTTTATTTTCATACTCAGAGTAAAGCTTCGTTATTAATTTTACATAATCACCAAACAAATAGAATGAATTATCTGGCTTTTTTTTTTTTTGAGATGGAGCCTTGCTCTGTTATCCAGGCTGGAGTGCAGTGGCACTATCTGGGCTCACTGCAACCTCTGACTCTTGGGTTCAAGCAATTCTCCTGCCTCAGACTCCTTAGTAGCTGGGATTACAGGTGTGCACCACCACGCCCAGCTAATTTTTTGTATTTTTAGCAGAGACAGGGTTTCACCATGTTGGCTAGGCTGGTCTCAAACTCCTGACCTCAAGTGATCTATCCACCTTTGCCTCCCAAAGTGCTGGGATTACAGGCATGAGTCACTGTGCCCAGCCTGATCTGGCTCTTATCCTGAGAAGTTAGGACCCATGATCCTTAGCTCCATAGCTTCCTTAACCCAGATGTTTTAAAAATCACTCTGAGTATCATTTTTCTTAACTACAAATGGGATAATAACACCAATTTGTTATCACAGGCCTGTTATGGGGATGCAATGAGAAGGTAGTCAGTAAATTTCAGTGAATTAAAAAAAAAATCTTTAGAGACAGGGTCTAGCTCTGTTGCCCAGGCTGGAGTGCAGTGGCACAATCATAGCTCTCTGTAAACTCAAATTCTTGGGCTCAAGGTATCCTCCTGCCTCCGCCTTCTGAGTAGCTAGGACTACAGGCACACGCCACCACACACGGCAATTTTTATTTTTATTTTTGTAGAGACAGGATCTTGCTATGTTGCTCAGGCTAATTGCAATGATTAATAATGCTTCCCTTCCCCACAGGCCCATCCCCATCATTTCAGTGGACAGTGGTTTAGGCTGTCATTTGGTCTCCAGAGTTTCCACTTTCATCAACACTCCTTTCCACTCATCAGCTCGTCACAGTTCTGCCCCCAGAACCTTGCTCCCACTGACATCTCCAGGTGGCCAAGAATTGACTTGAGCAAGAAGGATGAAGGCAGACAGAGGGTGTTATGGGATGAACTGTTCCCTATGTCCCCCAATTCACATATTGAGGTTCTAACTCCCAGTATCTCACACTGAGACTGTATTTAGAGATAGAGTCTTTAAAGAGGTCATTGAATTAAAATGATATCATTAGGGTGGGCCCTGATCCAATACTATTGGGGTCCTCCTAAGATGAGATTTGGATATAGACCTGTACAGAGGGAAGAGGATGTGAAGACATGGGAAGACTGAGGCCATCTACAAGCCAACAAAAGGGGCCTGGGACAGATCTTTCCCTCATGGCCCTCAGAAAGAACCAACTTTGCTGACACCTTGATCTGGGACTTCTGGCCTCCAGAACTGTGAGAAAATAAATTTACGTTGTTTAAGCCCTCTGTTCTGTGTTGCTTTTTTATGGCAGCACTAACAAAGGAATACAGGGTGATAGCAAGAGGCACAGAAAGGCACCTGTGTCCCCCAGCAATCCCCTGAGGCTGGGAGAGGGGCTGTACTCTCCTGTCCTTGGACACAGGTGAGAGAAGGAGAGAAATAGGCCCTGGGAACAAAGAGCTCTGTCCTCCTGCTTCCTGCACCTGTCCTGGGATGTGGGCAGGTGAATGGTGACATCTCTGAAGCCAGGCTGGAATCAGACTTCCTGGGCTCTGATGTCCTGACTCCACCACCTCCTGGCTGAGTTTGGGAAAGTTGCTTACCCTCTGTGTGCTTTACCTTCATCATCACTAAAATGGGAATCATATGTGTACCTACCCTACTGAGTTGTGGAGATTACAGGACAGTGCCTGGCATACAGTTAAGACCAAAGAGGACTAGCAGCTTCACCACCTCTTTCTTGGAAGCCAGCCACCATGTAAAACTCTACTTACCCTGGGTCCCCCATGCTGTAAGGAAGCCCAAGGTAGCAATGGACAAGGAACATGGGGAGGGAGGGAGGCCAAGTGCAAGAGCACCAAGGGCTGTGCTATGTAAGGGCTAGTGAGCGTTGGGATTACTCCCATCGCAGAACCTCACTCTTAACATGGGAGGCACATTCCTGGCCTCCTTAGATTATGCTAAATCTGAAATAGGACATGAAGTGTAAAAGAGTCTACAGATGTTAGTTCTTGAATTATTCCCTTAGTTCAAGTCCTAGTTCTTAGTTCTGCCACCCTTTCAGGCAGTCAGGTAACCTATGGATTTTAGTTTGCCTTCTTGTATTAATAAAAGGGTTCAGCCGACTCCTTGTGCCACCGCCTGCCCCATGGAACCCTTGTGAAATTCAAATGAGATAGTGATTTTGAAACTGCTTCCTAGAACTGTAAAGCCCTGTAATAGAATGAATTTATACATACTCCTCAAAATACGTTACTAAGAGCTAATATTTATAGTGTGCTTACCATTATTGGCATTCTTCTAAGTATCTTACACACATTTCTCATTTAATCTTTACAAAAACTCTGGGCTGGATCCTGTTATTTCCCATTTTATAGATGAGGAAACTGAGGATGAGGAGGTTCAGTAACTTGCCCAGGGTCACCAGTAAGCGGTGGAGCTGGGATTGCAGCCTTGAGTCGAATCAGGGTTCACACCCTCAATCACAGGGCCAGTGCTGTCCCTTGGAACATCCTGTGATGATGGAGATGCTCTGTAGCTGCCCTGTCCAATACAGTAGGCTTGCTGAGCACTTGAAATTGCCTAGTGTGACAGAGAAATGGAATTTTTAATCTAATTTAATTTTAATTGATTGAAATTGAAATTTAAACTGCTCCATGTGGCTTGTAGCTACTGTATTGGATAGGCACAGCACTAGGTACCCTGTCTACACATTTTTGTGCAAAAGCTAAATTTCAGAGAGCATGCAGGTGAGAAAACAGAAGATTGTCCAGGTCCTCACAGCTACCAGCCACAAAGCTGGGACCTCAACTTTGCTCTTGGCATTGATTCCAGGCTTCAAGCCAGACCCGACTCTTCCTTGATGAACCAGTAAAGAACAGGCTGTAACTTCCCATACCTGAGAGGCTACAAAAGTCAGGGGATTTTTCCCGTGGCAAGGATCAGAACTTCTGCGTTCCCATGGGGAAGTGGCCACAGTGGTTGAGGGCCCCTCCCTTGCTCTGCTGCTCTCCTTGCTCCCTCCATTCCCAGGCCCTGAGCTCTGCTCCCCCTGAAAGGCAGACAGAGGCTGGAAGGGAAGCTGAGGCCATGCATGCCTGCATTTCCTCTCTGAGCTGGAAGCTGAGCTGGCAGGCATTCAAGGTTTAATTAGCTGAAATAACTGCACATAATAATCTTTAAAATGATAGTGGTTAGAGTTCAGGCTTCACTGCTTCTGATTATTCAGTTGCCCTGCATGAGTGTCCTGTTGCCAGCTCAACCGTGCCAATGAAGCTACCAGGCTGAGTGGGATGATTCTGGCATGCCCTGTTGAAGCAATCCTCCTGCCATTCATTTGTCGTGTGATGGGAGAGGCAAGGCTCAATGTCTTCGGGGCTCACCTCTGCATCTGTGTGAGGGAGATGATTGTACCAGTCAAGCAGATGGGTACAAGAGGAGTCAGCTCAGGCTTCACAAAACCATCAAATACTCACAAAACCATCAAATACTCCCAAATAACCAGCTGTGTGAATGTCACAGATAAGGGGACACTGGCTTTCACTGCTCAGTGACCGTGAGCACGACACGTCATGTCTGTAAGCCTGTTTCCTTCTCTGGAAAATGGGAAGTGCTCACTTTTCAAGATTGTCTTCGAGGATCAATAGGCATATATATATGCAACACTTAGTCTAAGGGCCTGGCACATAGTAAATGCTCAACAATTAGTACCTTCTCCTTTTTTGGTTTTCTTTGTTCTTTCTGCTGTATCTTTGTAAACTTTCCTACTGCAGAATGAGAGCGGAGGACTTGGTCAGCAGGTTTAAAGGGGCTGATGCCCCAGAAACAGTTATTTCCCCAATGCCTGCCAACGCTTTCTCTAAGGGACACAGATTTTAGCAAGTGTTGGGGCCTGTGGGTGGGACCCCTGTGAGGACAGGTCGTGTGTGTTCTTCCCTAGAAACCCCTAGCAAGGGAGAGGACTCCAAAGCTAACAGATTACTTTTTGTAGTAGAATTATTAGGTTGAACCATAGGAAATTACCTTTTTTTCCCCACCATTTTATTTATTTATTTTTTAACATTTATTTTACGTTCAGGGGAACGTGTGCAGGATGTGCAGGTTTGTGACACAGGCAAACTTGTGTCATGGGGGTTGTTGTACAGATTATTTCATCACCCAGGTATTAAGCCTAGTATCCATTAGTTATTTTTCCTAGTCCTCTCCCTCTTCTTACCCTCCATCCTCTGAAAGGTCACAGTGTGCATTGTTCCCCTCTATGTGTCCATGTGTTCTCATCATCTAGTTCCCATTTACAAGCGAGAACATACGGTATTTGGTTTTCTGTTCCTGCATTAGTTTGCTAAGGATAATAGCTGCCAGCTCCATCCATGTTGCTGCAAAGAACATTATCTCATTCTTTTTTTATGGCTGCATAGTATTCCACGATGTATATGTACCACATTTTCTTTATCCAGTCTATCATTGATGGGCATGTAGGTTGATTCCATGTCTTTGCTATTGTGAATAGTGCTGCAATGAACATACACATGCATGTCTCTTTGTAATAGAACCATTTATATTTCTTTGAGTATATACCCAGTAATTGGATTGCTGGGTTGAATTGTTATTGGTGGAAGGGTGTTCAGGTTCTTGGTGTTTTGAACAAAGAATTGGACTAAACACAAAAACAAGGCAAGGAAAGAATGAAGCAACAAAAGCAGAGATTTACTGCAAATGAAAACACACTCCATGGGGTGGGAGCAGGCCCAAGCAAGTGGCTCAAGGGCCCCAGTTACAGAATTTTCTGGGGTTTCAATACCTTCTAGAGGTTTCGCATTGATTACTTGGTGTATGCCCTATGTAAATGAAGAGGATGAAGTTAAGTTACAAAGTCATTTACTGGGTGTATGCCCTATGTAAATGAAGACGATATTTCTTGTCATAGCTCAAGTGTTTCCATTTGATTTAGTTCTAGGAAGTTCTTAGGTTCCCTGCCTCCAGGCCCTATTCTATTACCTCATTTCCCACCTGAAAGATGTGATCCCCATAAATCTTTATGGGAGGCAGAGGGACTGATGGTCTTTCTTCTGTAACTGCTTCGTGTTGGCTTGGGGTGTAGTCCCTACCTATTGGGAATCATAGAACTCTTGCCCTACTCTGTCTAGTGGAGACAGGGTAGATTCTTGATGGCAGGATGTAGTGCCTTCACTTGGAACTTGCTGGAAACCTTGTCACATGATCATCTGAAGCTTGATGGTCTCTAGGCAAGAGGATGTGAATTTGGTTAAAAGATCGAATGGGAATATCGGGGGTGGATACCGATGCTGTCAAGAATGTTTATTATAGAGATGAATTGAAACATTCTGCTTAATTACTACAGAGGAAGTAATTCCATCTGTTTGGAAGGGGGCAATATAAAAATGGCCACTATTATCCAGAGCAGGTGATCTCTCCTTCCATGTGTTAACAAGTACCTTATCTCCTGGCCTGATTTTGGGTTGCTGGGATTGGCCAAGATTCAGCTATTGTTACATGTGCATATTCCTAAGTTAGGTTACAGTTTGCTCACAAGTTCTCAAATATAGAAGTACAGAGTCCTTCTCAGGCCATGGAATGCAGAACCTTTAATAACAAGAGCTTTTAGGACTCAGGAAGGACAGGCAGCCATTCTGGTTCTCCATGAGTCCATGCTTAACGTTGAACTTACGTCCTCCTGAATACCATTTGTTTCTCCAGTTTAGATGCATAGCACTGATAACTCATGGGTTATCATAGGTAATTTGACTTAGCCCATGGAGTTCATTCAAATTGTATATCTAAACAATTTCAGTATCAGCTGATTTAGCATGCAAATCTGGAAATGTATTTTCTTGGTATTCATTTAGTTTTGGGTTAGTAGTTTTATACAAGGAAATTTGATTATTTCTGTGGTCTACAGTAACTTAACATAATAAACATTATAACTGATATTATATACTCAGACATATTTAGAATTTTAGAAATCCCATACAATTTTGTAACATATATTAATATTCACTAAAATATAACCTGAAAAAGATTAAACATTTTTTTTTTATTTTGACAGTGCTTCCCATGTAACTAAACATGTCAGATAATCCTGTTTACCTCTCTTTCAGATGCTTCAGGGGCCCTCTGTAGCATCCCAAAGTTAGATGTCAGAAATGACAATTTTAAAGCTGAAGTTTGATTTTGGGAAGTCTATTAAAGATGTTAAAGGTTTACAAAATTTACATTCCTATTTCTTCTTATAATCTTTTACCATTCATTCAACCAGTTTGCACAGAGAGATGGGGCAGAAGTCTGACTGGTAAGAAATTCTTACCTTATTGGTGTCATGTCAGGTTCAGGGTTCTCTTTCCCTGAGTGGCCCTAGCAACCCTGCTCAACTGTATGCAAACAAATGCATTGCCATGAATTAAGAATATTCACAAATAATTTACAGATTTTGGAGAAATTAGGCAGAGAGAGAAATATGACTAAAATGCTATTGATGAATGTATACTCAATGCACTTAAAGTATCAGGAAGCCTAATATCCAAAAAGTTAGTTTAAGGTTTAAGAAAAAGCTGTTGTGCTCCATCAGTTCTTGCAGGCTGGACAAAGGTAGTCTAGGAATTCCAGATAAATGAAATAAATGATTACTTGCTAGAAATGCATAGGAAACAAAGTAACTATTCACAGAACCAAATAAAATCCTTCTGCTAGAAAATAAAAAAGCGTCATGGCTAGCTGGGCACAGTAGCTCATGCCTGTAATCCCAGCACTTTGGGATGCTGAGGTGGGTGGATTACCTGAGGTCAGGAGTTCGAGACCAGCCTGGGCAACATAGTGAAACCATGTCTCTACTAAAAGTACAAAAAATTAGCTGGGCATGGTGGCAAATGCCTGTAATCCCAGCTACTAGGGAGGCTGAGGCAGGAGAATCACTTGAACCTGGGAGGCAGAGGTTGCAGTGAGTCGAGATTGCACTATTGCACTCCAGCCTGGGCAACAAGAGTGAAACTCTGTCTCAAAAACAAAAAAAAACAAAAAGAAAGCATCATGGCTTTATATATCTCCACACATAAGCAAAGCCCAGAGGAGAATAAATAGCAAACAAAAGAAAATTAGAAGCAAAAACAAATAAACAGAAAATCAACCATAAATTTTTCCTACTCAATCTACCCTGGAGGCTACATTGTTACCCAGATGCCCTAAAAACCCACATAATGAATATTTTATTCCTGATACACAATTTAATATCCTTAAGTCCACTAATATCAACATACATCCTGTGCAATCAAGAAATTTACTCTAGGCACATGACCAGTAAGTATTCCAGTGCCAGCACTATCCATGAAAAACAGTAAAATAGTGTGAAGCAAGCAGGTATGTGAAATTTGTCTCCACACTAAATCCAGCTCCATTCTTAATTATATTTAAAAAAAGAATTGCCAAACAGCCAATACATTTCTTTACAATATTTCTTATTTTTCTTTAATCAAGATTAAGAGCTTTAACTATGAAAATGTTAATTAGTCAAATGTCTCCTATTCTCTATGAGGTTTTAAGGAATATTTTATTATCTAAACTTTCCCCCCAATTTTAGAAACATATTTCCCCATATCGCAACCCCTTCTTAATTGGAAATAACCCAGATATTCAATGAGCATCAACAATAATTTTAAGATTTTAATTTACACAAAAATTTACCTAAAATATTTATCTTATTTACTGTACTCAATTCTTTCATTTTTAATAGTTTATCCAGATTACTTCTGTAAACTGAGATATTAGACAGTATCACTGTTTTGAATAGCCAGGGAACATCAGGTGCTCACCTAAACCTAAGTAAAAGCCTCAAAGTTAAATACATATGTATTTTTGCCAATAACTCAGAAGATTTAGCTACCAACATTAAATTACTCTCATTTGTCAGAAAAAGGCATGCAAACCAAGATCATTTTGTTTTGGCTTATAGCTTTATAACCTTCTATGCCAAAGCCTGACACCTCAAAATATCTAGCAGAGACAAATATAAAATCCAGACAGAAATGTATGCTGATAATTCTTTTTTTGAGATGAAGTTTCACTCTTGTTGCCTAGGCTGGAGTGCAATGGTGCGATCTTGGCTCACTGCAACCTCCACCCCGCAAGTTTAAGCGATTCTCCTGCCTCAGCCTCCCACGTAGTTGGGATTACAGGCATGTGCCACCACACTTGGCTAATTTTGTATTTTTAGTAGAGATGGGGTTTCTCCATGTTGGTCAGGCTTGAACTCCTGACCTCAGGTGATCTGCCTGCCTCGGCCTCCCAAAGTGCTGGGATTACAGGCATGAGCCACTGCACCTGACCATGTGTTGACAATTCTGAAGGGATTTCTATTTTTATTTTACCAATAATTTTAAAACCAGCTTGTTTAGTAAAGTTATACTTAAATCATGTGCACTCGAAAATTGCTTAGACTTAATTTATAAGTGCTCTTTTACTTATAAGCCAATTTAGTAGACACAATATACAACAATAAGTGTGCATACAAATAAGCACATCTAGACATATGTACAACACACATAAATGAAGATCCAATAGCTTTTATTTTGGAACTCTAGCCATGAGATAGCAATACAAACTCACCAGTTTTACTTTGTTTGCCCCAATAGGTAATCCAATGAAGGGTGTGAACCAAAATTTTGGGTACAGCAGTTTCCATGGCTGTTTGATTTTTAAAGGCCAAACCTCCCCAGACTCCAAAGAACACTGGGGTCAGACAGCACCACAGGAGAACATCACGTAATAACCAGGCCTGATCCTGCTTAGAACAGCAGCACAAAAGCCTAGCTATTACAACTCCAACCTACTTTCCCATTCAACAGCAAACTCCAGATTCCAAACAATATTGGGGCCAAACGGTATTGCAGCTGTGAGAGAAAATTCTAAGGAGGGCTTAGTACTAGGCCTCAGAACTTCTGCCGAGGGCATCCCCTTTGGAGAGCTTGAGGTCCAGGGGATCCCCTGGGGGGTCCCCCCTTTGGTGTCTAATCTTAGAGTTTCAGACATCTCTGACTTTAGGTGGGCACTGGTGCCGCTTTGCATATTTTCCCTCCAGAGGCGATGGCCTACTATGAACTTTGCTTTTGTCCCTGGATGAAGACCTCGACTTCCGGCGTCCTTATAATTTGATATGGCCACACTTTCCCATGCTTCCCGTTCCATGAACTTTCATGTTAGGAACTGGAGGCTGGGTGGGTTTCTTTTGTCCCTAGCCAGTTGAGTAGGGGAAGGGAAGAATTTAGCATAAGAAAAGAAGGTTTAACTGTCCTGAAACGTATGTGAATTTGCCTGAATGAGCTGAGCCACATGTAGGAATCAGGGACCACAACCAAAAAAGATAGAAAAGAGTCCTTCCCTCTCCAGGCAGGGCAACTATCCCCATTCACTCCTTGGCCTTCAGGCAACACCCGAGGGTGGCCCTGGCCAGTTGCCCTCAATTGCCAAGGAGCTGCTAGGAAGTGACCACTGAAAGACCGAAAAAGAAAAAGGAAAAAAGGGAAAAAGACCCAGGTCTCTTACTTGAACCAGGTGACGGCAGTCAGGAGCCTCCATACGGAAACTCCTTAGTTTCACCAGAGAGTGGCCATGGCCAGAAACCTGCAGTTACCTCTGTGTTTAGGAACTGCCCACCAAGGTTCCTGAGTTGGAAAGAAAAAGAGAGAGAGAGAGAGAAAAAAAAGAGATTCCCCTGTATGGAGTAGAAAGGAAAAGAGAAAGGAGAAAAATAAATCCCAAACTTTGGGCTTACCTCCTGGCTTGCTGGCAAAAATATGTTACCGGTGGATGGTGTCCAGATTCTTGGCATTTTGAACAAAGAATTGGACAAAATGCACAAACAAAGCAAGGAAAGAATGAAATAACAAAGGCAGAGATTTTTTGCAAATGAAAGCACACTCCATAGGGTGGGAGCAGGCCCTGAGCAAGTGGCTCAAGGGTCCTGGTTACAAAATTTTCTGGGGTTTCAATACCCTGTAGAGATTTCCCATTGGTTACTTGGTGTATGCCCTATGTAAATAACAAGGATGAAGTAGGCTGGGCATGGTGGCTCACGCCTGTAATCCCAGCACTTTGGGAGACAGAGGCGGGTGGATCACAAGGTCAAGAGATCGAGACCATCCTGGCCAACATGGTGAAACCCCGTCTCTACTAAAAAATACAAAAATTAGCTGGGCGTGGTGGCATGCACCTGTAGTCCCAGCTACTTGGGAGGCTGAGGCAGGAGAATCGCTTGAACCCGGGAGGTGGAGGTTGCAATGAGCAGAGATCATGCCACCGCACTCCAGCCGGACGAAAGAGCAAGACTTCATCTCAAAAACAAAACCAAACAAAAAAAAAACCAAGAGGATGAAGTGAAGTTACAAAGTCATGTGTACACCTTATGTAAATGAAAAGCATAAAGTTACAAAGTCATTTACTGGGTGTATGCCCTATGTAAATGAAGAGAGTATTTTCTGTCATAGCTGAATGGGTCTCTGATTTAGTTCTAGGCAGCTCTCAGGTTTCCTGGCTCCAGGTCCTATTCTTCAGAATGGCATGTGTATCTTTAGGTCTTTGAGGAATCACCTCACTGTCTTCCACAATGGCTGAACTAATTTACACTCCCACCAACAGCATAAAAGTGTTCCTTTTCTCCGCAACCTTGCCAGCATCTGTTATTTTTTGACTTTTTAATTATCACCATTCTGACTGGTGTGAGATGGTATCTCATTGTGGTTTTGATTTGCATTTCTGTAATGATCAGTGATGTTGAGCTTTTTTTCATATGATTATTGGGAAAGTGCCATTTTTCTAGGTCAAAGTTGGTTGAATGTAGACAAGTCTTCTAATGTAAATAAAGGTACTACACTTGGTTTTAATTAATTAGTTCAGCCTGCATTAGGGGATGTGCTGCTTCTATGGACCTATTTAAGAACATGAGAAAAGGTATACATATTTTAATAATGAGATTTCAATAGTCGTTCAAAACACAATAGGAGAGAGACTATCAGGCAGGATGTAACTAATTGCCACGTAATCAATAAGAAAATGATTGGTGTAGGAGTTGAGAGGAAGGAGAGGGTGCGCCAGAGTAAGTGGGGTGATGAGTTAGTGGAAGGAGGCACGGTTTGAGTTGTGTGTAGAAGGAGGGCTAGCAGCTTAGACAGGCAGAGAAAAGTCAGAACAATGCTCTTGGCAGAGAGAAACTGCAAGACCAAGGTCTGGGAACTAAACCACCAGGGCAGGGAGACCATGTCTGTGTAAACAATTCTGCATCACACACACTTCCTGTCACAGAGCAGGCACCAGTACATATGGGATAAAAGAGTACATGAATGAATGAATGAACAAATGAAAAGCATGTGCAGGTGAGTGAGCAAATTGGTCGTTTGTGGGGTAGTGGGAGGCAAGGCTGAAATGACTGGCCATGGAGGGTTGTGAGTGCAGATGAAGGAGTCTGGATCTGACTCAGAGGGAATAGGAGTTCCCATCTATGAATTTAACAAATATATATTCTGTGTAAAGTCAGATTCTAGAGGTTAGAGAAGGGCCATCTAGGATCTCAAAATTTGCTGATTTTAAGTTGATGTGATCCTGGAAAATGAGGCCATTCTGTATAAGTTGGGATAAGTTAGATTATGTTGCAATCACAAATAACTCTTGAATTCCAGCGGCTTAAAGCAACCAAATGTATCTCTTGCTCCCTCTGCATCTCCACCCAGGTCAGCTGTAGCACTACCCCATGACATCTTGGCTGATCGGTAGCCTATATGTGGGGCATTACTGGGTTTTGTTTTGTTTTGAGACAAAGTCTTGCTCTGTTGTCCAGGCTGGAGAGCAGTGACACCATCATGGCACTGCAACCTTGACCTCCAGGCTCAAGTTATCCTCCCAGCTCAGTCTCCCAACTAGCTGGGGCTACAGGTGCGCACCACCATGCCTAGATAATTTTGTATTTTTTTGTAAAGGCAGGGTCTCACTATGTTGCCTAAGCTGGTCTTGAATTCCTGGGCTCAAGCAATCCCAGCTTTGGCCTCCTAAAGTGCTGGGATTGCAGGTGTGAGCCATCGTGCCCAGCTATCCATTACTGGTTTTGTAACAGAAGGAAAATAAAACACGGTAAACATGCGCAGGGTCTGCTTCTGCTTAGAAGTGAGGCATTTTCTTGGCTAAAGCAAATCATACGACCAAGCCAGATGTCAGTGGGGTGAGGAAGCATAATCCCCCCTCCTCAGGGAGTGGCAACGAATACCTTTAAACACCATAGTTCCTCACTGGAATTTTGTGGAAAGTAAGAGTAACTAGGCTATGGAAGACAAATGATCTGGGGTTTTATTCTTGGGTCAGTCCAGGTCTGAGCTTTGTAATTTTTTTCCTAGCTGTAGAGAAGACATTCTTGTCCATGTTCTGGATAGACAAGTGTTCTTTATAGGGCAGGATGGGTTACATTGCCTGTGAAAAATAAAAATGTGCACTTCCTTATTTAAAACTTGTTAAGAATTTTAGGCTGGGCATGGTGGCTCATGCTTGTAATCCTAGCACTTTGGGAGGCCGAGGTGGGCAGATTGTTTGAGCTCAGGAGATCAAGACCAGCCTGGGCAACATGGTGAAACCCCATCTCGATACAAAAAAATTAGCCGGGTGTGGTGGCATGTGCCTGTAGTCCCAGCTACTTGGGGGGATGAGGCAGGAGGATTGCTTGAACCTGAGAGGTCAAGGCTGCAGTGAGCAGAGATGGCACCACTGCACTCCAGCCTGGGCAACAGAGCAAGACACTGTCAAAACAAAACAAAACAAAACAAAACAAAAAACTCAACTTGTTAAGAATTTCAAGGCAGTGAAAGCAGAACGTGAAACCACAGGGAGCCACTTCCGCCATGGAGTTCTGTGCAATGGCACATGGTGCGTGCTCCTGAGATGGCCCTGCTGAAAGATTTAGAAAAGTCCAGGGTGGAGCTGGAGGTTCCCTCTCCTCTCCCCTTCCATTTTGACTTCCTCCTCTTTTGCACTTTCTCTCTGTCATTGTTCTCCAGATCTGAATAAGGTTATCAATTTCTCATTGTCCTGGCAACCATTTCCCTCACTCCGACCCCCAATGAGCACTTTTGTTTGAGAAGCCCTTTATGAATTGCATGGAGGGCCAAAGGGAGAAGTGGGAAGAGGGCGCCAGTGGGCAGGAGTGTGAGGCAACATCAGTACTGCAGGACTCCCAGCGACCACCATCTCACCTCCACAACTATTTCATTTCTTCTTCATTCTCTTCAAACTTCAAGGCTGCTACCCTCTGTCTACCTGTTCAGCCATCAGATGAGAACAGTCATACTCTCAAATCCAAATCTTCAAACCTATAACACCTGCATTCATCCCAGTGCCCTGGGTAGGAGGTTTCCGTCCTCCTGCCTAAGGCTAGCCCTTCCACGTGTCCTTGAATTCCTCCCCTGGGTAGCTATCATTATCTCTTTTTGCTTTCACCTAATTGTTAACTCGATTCTTTTCATTTTAAAATGATAACAGCTATATTAAGATATAACTCATCTACCATGCAATTCACCTATTTAAAGTGTACAATTCTTTTTAAAAATTGTATTTATTTTTATTCATTTTTTTTAACTTTTTTTGTTTTTTTTTTTGAGACGGAGTCACGCCCTGTCACCCATGCTGGAGTGCAGTGGCATGATCTCGACTCACTGCAACCTCTGCCTGTGAGTTCAAGCAATTCTGCCTCAGCCTCCCGAGTAGCTGGGACTATAGGTGGGTGCCACCATGCCCGGCTAATTTTTGTATTTTTAGTAGAGATGGAGTTTCACCATGTTGGCCAGGCTGGTCTCAAACTCCTGACCTCAAGTGATCCACCCACCTTGGCCTCCCAAAGTGCTGGGATTACAGGCGTGAGCCACCATGCCCGGCCTATTTTTTAACTTTTATTTTAGGCTCAGGGATACAGGCGCAGGTTTGTTATATAGATAAACTGTATGTCATGGGGGTTTGGCGTACAGATAATTTCATTACCTGGCTAATAAGCATAGTACTAGGTAGGTGTTTTTTCTGATCCTCTCCCTCCTCCCACCCAGTGTCTGTCATTCCCCTCCTAGTATCCATGTGTTCTCCTTGTTTGGCTCCCACTTACCAGTGAGAACATGTGGTATTTGATTTTCTGTTCCTGTGGTAGTTTGCTTAGGGTAGTGACTTCCAGCTCCATCCATGTTGCTGCAAAGGACATGATCTCGTTCTTATTTATGGTTGTATAGTATTCCATGGTATAGATGTACCACATTTTCTTTTTCCAGACTACTGTTGAAAGGCATTTGGGTTTATTCCATGTCTTTGCTATTGTGAGTAGCTGCAATGAATATACGTGTCTTTATGATAGAATGATTTATGTTCCCTTGGGTACATACCCAATAATTCTGTTTTAAGTTTTTTGAGAAGTCATCACACTGCTTTTCACAATGGCTGAAAAAATGCTCAGCATCACCAGTCATTAAAGAAATGCAAATCAAAACCACAATGAGATATCATCTCATGCCAGTCAGAATTAAAAAGTAAAAAAACAGCAGATGCTGGGAAGATTGCTGAGAAAAGGGAATGCTTATACACTGTTGGTGGGAGTGTAAAGTGTACAATTCAATTTTTTTAAAGAATACTCAGAGGTATGCACTCATCACTATAATAAGTTTTGGAGCATTTTTATCACTCTGCAAAAATAACCCCATACCCATTAGCAGTCACTGCCCTTTTCACCTCCCCTTCTTCCTGCCCAGCCCTAGGCAACCACTAATATACTTTTTAAAAATAGATTTGTCTATTTTGGACATTTCCTATAAATTGAATCATACAATATGTGGTTCTTTGTGACTGGCTAATTTCACCTAGCACAATGTTTTCAAGGATCATCCATGTTGTAGCAGGTATTTGTACTTCATTCCTTGTTACTGCCAAATAATATTCCACTATGTGGAGGTACCACATTTTTGTTGTTAGGCCTTTGAGTTGTTTCACCCTTTTGGCTACTATGAATAATGCTTCTATGAACAAGAATGTACAAATTTTTGTCTGAGCACATGTTTTCATTTTTCTTGGTGTCATAGTCTGTTGGGCTGCTATAACAAAAATACTATAGGCTAGGTGGCTTATAAGCAGAAAACATTTATTTGCCACAGTTCTGGGGGCTTGAAAGTCCAGGATCAAGGGAACTGGCAGATTTGGTGTGTGCTGAGGGCTTGTTCCTCACAGATGGTGTCACTTGCTATGTCCTTTTACAGTGGAAGGGGCAAGGCAGCTCTTTGGGGCTTATTTTGTAAGAGTACTAATCCCATTAACAAGAGCTCCTACCTCATGATCTAATCACCACCCAAAGGCCCCACCTCCTAATACTATCATCTTAGGGGTTAGGATTTCAACATATGAATTTTGAGGGGACATAAACATCCAGATAATAGGAGTTGGGTATATACCTAGGAGACAAATTGCTGGGTCATATGGTAACTCATTTGGGGGAACTGCCAGATTGTTTTCCAAAGCAACTGCACCATTGTATGTTTCCACGAGCAGTGTTATGAGGGTTCGTTTTTCTCCATCCTCATCAACACTTCTTATTGTCTGTAGTTCTGATTATAGTCATCCCACTGGGTATGAAATAGTATCTCACTGTGGTTTTGCTTTGCATTTTCCTGATAGCTAAGGATGTTGAGCCTCTTTTCACATGCTTATTGGCTATTTGTATATCTTCTTTGGATAAAAGTCTTTTCAAATCCTTTGCCCATTTAAAAGTTGGCTTGTTAGTCTTTTTTTACTGTTTTTGCTGGATATAGGATTCTTAGTTGACCATTTTTTTTTCTTTTAGCACTTTGTATGTAATCCTACTGCATTCTGGTACCTATTGTGTCTAATAGTTGACTGTTAATGTTATTAGGGTTGTCTTCTAGCTGACAAGTCATTTTTCTTTTGCTGCTTTCAAATTTTATCTTTATCTCTGGCTTTCAGCATTTTTACCATGATGTGTTTGGATGTGGATTGCTGTGTATTTATCTTACTTGGAGTTAATTGAGCTTCTTAGATGGTATTTTTTCATTAAATTTAAAAACATTTTGCTGGGTGTGGTGGCTCATGTCTGTAATTCCAGTGACTCAGGAGGCTGAAACAGGAGGATAGCTTGAGGTCACACGTTCAAGACCAGCCTGGGCAACATAGTGAGACTTCATCTCGAAAAAAATTAAAAAAATTAGTTGGGCATCATGGTGCACATCTACCTGGGAGGCTGAGAGGGGAAGATCACTTGAACCCAGAAGTTCAAGGCTTTCTTGAAAATAAATAAATAAATAAATAAATAAGAACTTTTCCACCATTTTTTGAGTATTTTTTCTGCTCATTTCTTTTTGTCATTTCTTTCTAGCAATCTCATTATGCATATTTTGCTGTTAATGGTATCTCACATTTCTGTGTTCTATTTTGTTTATTTTCTCATTTTTTTTCCTATCTTTGTCCTTTGTATTGCATAATCATTATTGACCCATCTTCAAGCTCACTGATTTTTTTCTTCTGTCAGGTAAAATCTATTGTTGAGTTACTTCAGTGAGTTTTTCATATCAACTATACATTTTTAACTTCAGGATTTCCATTCTGTTCTTTTTAAAATAATCACTGTCTCTTTATTTTTATTCTCATTTTGATAAGACATTGTCATCATACCTTCATTTACTTCTTTAAATATAATTCCCTTTAGTTCTTTGAAAGCATTTATCATGGCCGCTTTGACATCTTTAAAATCTATATCTGTGCCATCTCACAGGCATTTTCTGTTGTCTACTACCCCCCCAGGTATGGGGCACATTTTACCATTTCTTTGCATGTCTTTGCATTTTTTCATTGTTGAAACCCAGACATTTTAGGTCATATATTTTAGGAATGCTGGAGAGTGAGTCTGTCTTCCCTCCATGGTTTGTTCTTGTTGTTCTTTGTGTGTTTATTTGTCTAGTGACTTGGCTGAACTATTTTAGTGAAGCCTATTTCCCCTTTAATATGAAGCCTCTAATGTCACTCCTCAGAGAGTTTAGCCACGGGCATGCATACAGTCATCCTGCATGACTAGTCTCAGCTGGACTGTCTTTGACTGTCTCTTTCTTAGATCTCTTTGTTAAACTGTCTGACTGCTAGTATAACATTGAGATTTTACCCTTCACTAATTGTCATCTGATTTCTCTATTGTTTTAAACAATGCACTGGAACATAAATTGCTTTGCAGTTTGATCAAATTAAATGCAGGACTTTTGCGGAGGTAGTTTTAAAGGCAAGACTTTGAAGGAACTCAACAATAGATTTTACCTGACTCCAGGAAGCCTCTTCTTAGTTCACTCTTACCATAATTATCTCTGGTAAATGATCTGGACTTTGGTTTATCTTGCTGCCCTAATGGAGCTACTGGCCTCCATTTATTATTACTTACTACCAAAATCTCCACTGTTATTTAGAGCACCCTTAGGCTTGAACTTCCCTACACTCTGTTTCAAATAAAGTCAGTTCATCTTGAGAGAGCTTTGGAGCTCTTTGTTCTTATTAACTGCCTCTCCTACTGGCCAAAGTCTTTGAACCTTTTCTCTGGATCTGGGAACAGGGATAATGACCCACTTCTCTTAGAGTGATACCCAGATACTAGAGCAGGGCACTGAGTGATAATGGTTAACTCTTCCTCTTCTCAGTTTGCCTCCTCCAGTGTGGAACCTCTGCCTTAAAACTAAAGGTAATCAAGACCCCCGTATTCTCAGTCTGCTGTGCCTGGGGTGAATCTCTGCTCCATGAATGAGAACTAGCTGGAGAAAGTGAGCTCCTGATAGTTTGCCCACAATTCCCAGGAGTTTATCCTCTGCATTTTGGAGTTTGGGGAAATGAGAAATGCTGGTGGTCTGTCTTTCCCAGTGAAATATTATGTCCCTTGTCTGGGAACTTAGGGAAGAAGGAGTCACATTTTTTGACCACATCCATTCAGACTGAGGCCTCTATTGTCTGTCTGGACTGAGAATGTAGGACTAGGGGAAAAAGAAAGGGAGAAAGAGAGAGAGTGAGTGAGAGAGTGAGCACACATGTCATAGCTCAAGTTCCACAGACTCTTGCTGTTTTATTGAACTTTAGTTTTTGAGTAAATCTTTCACTTGCTATATACCCTTAGGATATTTTCTAGAGACTTTAAATGGTTGGGTTTTCCAGGGCTATCAGTCCTGAGATATTGGCTTCTGTCCTAAGGTCACCAGTGACTTCTGCATCTCAATGTCCATCAAGTATTCTTCTCTCATCTTATTTGATCTGTCAGCAGCATCTCAACACTCTTGACTATTCCCTCCTTATTGACCAGTCCTATTCTCTTGGATTCTATGACTTGGTGCTATGATTTGGATGTTTGTCCCCTCCGACACTCATGTTGAAGTTTGATCTCCAGTGTTGGAGTTGGGGCCCAATGGATGTGTTTTTTTCATGAGGGAAGATTTCTCATGAATACATTAATGCCCTTTCTCAGAGGCGAGTGGCTTCTCAGTCAATTAATTCCCGTAAGAGCTGGTTGCTAAAAAGAGCCTGGTATCCCACCCCTTTCTCTTTTGCTTCCTCTGTTGCCAAGTGATCTCTGCACAAGCTGGCTCCCCTTCACCTTCTGCCATGAGTGGAAGAAGCCTGAGACCCTCACCAGATGCAGAGGCCAAATCTTAAACATTCCAGCCATTAAATGATGAGTCAAATAACCCCTTTTTCTTTATAAAGTATTCAGCCTCAGGCATTCCTTTATAGCAGCACAAAATTGATAAAGACATTTGGCACTCACCTGGATTGCCCTGATGTATAAAGTTTCTAGGCTCATTCTCTTCTACCAGCTACTAAACGACAGGGTCCTCCGGGCTCTTGCATGGGCTCTGTCTTAGTTATTAATTGCCGAGAAGCACATCCTCCTCAAACTTAGTAGCTTAGAACAACAGGCACTTTTTATCTTGCAGTTTCTCTGGGTCAGGAGCCTGGCTGTGGCTTAGCTAGATGTTTCCGACTTAGAGTCTCATACAGCTGCAGTCAAGGTGTTGCAAGGTGTTAGCTGGGGCTCAGTCATCTGAAAGCTTGAGAGGGATTGTAGAATCTGCTTCCAAGCTCTTTCACAGGTAGTTGGCAGAATTCCTTTCTTTACAAGATGTTGGACTAAGGGCCTCAATCCCTCACTGGCTGTTGGGTGGAAGCCTTCCTCAGGCCCTTGCTACATAGATCTGTCCCCAGGGCAGCTAACAATATGAAGTTGACTTCTCTCAAAAAAAGTGACTGAGAGGGGGCATTCAAGATGGAAGCCAGTGTTTTTGTCATCTAGTCTTGGATGTGACATCCCATTACTTTTGCCATATTATATATTTTTGAAATGAGTTGCTAGGTTCAGCCCACATTCCAGTGGAGAGGATTGCAAATGGACAAAAATACCAGGAGGTGCAGATAATTGGGGTCACCTTAGAAGCTGCCTACCACAGGCATCCTTCTCTTCTCACTCTCTTCCTTCTCCTTAGACCATCTCACACACACAGAGACTTTAATTACCAACCACACGTGAAAGGGAGACTATTCACAAACTTGTATTTTCAGTCCAGACCTCTCCTCTGATATCTGGACTTGTGCCTAACTGATCAATTGATATTTCACTTACATTTCTCAAAACCTTCTCAAATGCAACATGCCCCAAACTGCATTCAAGCCTGGTCTTGTTCCACTGTTCCCTAAGTGTGAGTTATGGTACAAGTTAAGATATGAGGCAGAGAGACAGGGCTTTAAAAATAGTCATTTTTCTTTCTATTAATAAGCCAGAGGTAGACAGGTGGCTCAGCTCTCCTGCACACAGTGTCTTGTTGCTCTGTTGCCCTGCTTCCCTTTGGATGTTGTCTTCATCTGCATGGTCAAAGCTGGCTTGCTATCCCACATCCATGTTCCACCATATAAGAAAGGAGAAACAAAGGATATAAAGAGTAAGCAATTTCCTTTTTTAAAGAATGTGACCCAGAAGAAGCACACATTACTTTGTTCATATCACTTTGATAAGGCTTCAGGTAGTTGTAAGGGGAGGTGGAACATCTAGTCTATAGCTGGGTAGTGTGTTCCCAGCTAAAACTTGGATATTATGTTACTACCTTAGTCTAGTGTCCTAGTTTGTTTTGTGTTGTTATAACAGAATGGCATGGACTGGGTATTTTACATGAATAGAAATTTATTGGCTCATGGCTATGGAGACTGGGAAGTCCAGTGGCAAAGTGGTAGCAACTGGCCAGGGACATCTTACTGTGTCATCCCATGGCAGAAGGTGGAAGGGCAAGAGAACACAAGAGAGCAAGAGAAACGAAGGGGGCTGAACTTACTCTTTTATTGGAAACCCACTGCCATGATGACTAACCCACTTTGAGGTCATGGAATTAATCCATTTATTAGCATTGGTCTATCCAACGGTATTAATCCATCCATTAATCAAT